>NC_000002.12:3040303-3343333 GCF_000001405.40 Homo sapiens | reverse complement strand
ATGTTTATTCAACAAAACAGTTGTTTATACTTTCAGGTGAGCTGGGTGTAGGGTGGTGCCCTGAGAACAGAGAGTTGAGGTACTGGTTCTTCCCTCCAGCTGGGAGCTGCCTCTCACTCTGGCTTGCTGCCGCCCTGCAGAGTGCATCCACAGGGCAGGTGGCGGGGCGGCAGAGCTCGCATGCCAGGACCAGGGGCTCCTGTAGGCCTGGCTGTGCCGTGTCTAACTGGAGGAGCCCAGGCCCTCCACTCTTCAAGCCTCGATCTTTTCACCTGTAGATTGTGATTAATAGTAATATATTATAGGGCTGTTTTAAGGATTAAGGCACTCAAGTGTATAAAATACTTCACATAGTGCCTGGTGCAATATAAATTTCAGCCATTACTTTATTTTGCTCATGGTGGTTGATGGCATCCTGTTTGAACAGCCCCGAGTTAAAACAGTTCATGAAGATGTGTACTTGCACTACTCTATGAATCAACCATAAAATAAGGATATGTGGGAAAATCTCAAGACTCATCAGGCTTAGCAATGAAGGTTAAAGACCATTTCTATTGCAGTGTACCAGATTAGGAGACATGGGCTTGGGAGGAACATGGATCCCCCCTCTGCCCTGTGCGTGCTCGCTGGCTGGAAGAGGTGAACCTAGAGGAGATGCGTGCATCCAGGAGCTGAGTCCCATTGGA
Source organism: Homo sapiens (assembly GCF_000001405.40). Classification (NCBI taxonomy): domain Eukaryota; kingdom Metazoa; phylum Chordata; class Mammalia; order Primates; family Hominidae; genus Homo; species Homo sapiens. The sequence goes on along the minus strand of NC_000002.12, from coordinate 3,342,647 downwards.
AAGCTGTGCCTTGTGTCTTCACAAGAAGGAAAACAGCTTTATGGGAAGAAAGGCGGGCCCAGGTGGAGGCAGGAGACTGGGAGAGAGGGTCTGCTGAGACCTGCAGCCAGGCCGAGGGGCCAGCTTGGGGGCCACGCTGCACTGTCCTGAAGAGCCCAGAAAGCCCCCGGCTGCGCCTGCTGCCCTGGTTCATTTCAGGGGAGCAGATTTGCAAAGTAGTACATTTAAGCGCATCCCTGTTTTCAGTGCTAATGGATTTCCTGATAAGTAGGAAATGTGAAAAATACTGAGGAACAAAAATTCCCTAGCAACACAAAAATTACTTCTAATTTGCTATATCACCTTGTGGTCTGTGTTCCTGTGTGATGGTATTATATAATCACATGCCATTTTATAGCCTGCTTTTAAAATGTAATTCTCTTGTAACATTTTTGGTATTAATAATTGCTCTTAATCATAACTTTTAAAGCTATGTAACATTTCATAATACACTTTTTTTGTTCATTTATTCTTTGGGGCAGATTTCACAAAATCAAATTATTGTTTCAGTTTCAACATTTATGTAGTTCTTATTTACATATTATAACAAACATAAAAGAATTGGACAAGTTATAATCCGGATCAATTCTATCATAGAATTCCCTGTATTGGTTGCCATCACTTAGAAAAAGTTGGCTAATATAATAAATATTAATTAGTATGATGAAATTCTCATTTTTAAATTTTTGAGTCATTGGTTATAATAAAGAATAAATTTTCTTCATGTATTTGTTACTAGTTTTTATTCTAATGCGTTTCTGCCTGTAAGATATAACTATAACTTAACATGCATCCAAGTGCACGCATCCAGAATGTGCTACTGGGGACATCTTTACACATGCATTCACTGGTTCCCCACGCCCACGTACCCCCCACACACCCATACCCATGATGCACCCACACCCTCCCACACACCTCCCACACGCCTGCACCTGCCTCACACCCACACATACATGCACATTCACACCCATGTACACCCACCATAGCCATGTACCCACAGACCCTCACACACACCCTTACATACACACCTGCACCTGCCTCACACTCACACCCCCTCCACACACAGCTGCACCTCCCCCACACCCACACCCGCACACATACATGCATAGACCACGTACCCATGCTCCCACACACGCACTCCCACGCACATACACGCATAGTGTACCCATGCTCCCACACACAGGTGCACACCTGCATGCACACATGCCCACACCCACGTGCACCCGTGTCACTGCCATGAAGGACACCCCAGCAGACCCCTCAGATTCCTGGAGTCTGAGCCAACTCCAGGCCTGCGGTGAATGGTCTCTGTCGTTACCTCAGTTGGTTTTGCCTGAGGTAATCGCACAAGGTGCTCCTTCTCGTGTCTGATTTTTCTCACTCAGCATTGTCTGTGCGTGTGTTGTTGTTACTTGTCATTACTGTGAGAATTGCATTTGTGAATATACCACAACTGATTTACCCATTCTATTGTGGAGTTTTGTTTTGTTTTTTTTTTTTTTTTTTTTTTTTTGAGACAGGATCTCACTCTGTCACCCAGGCTGGAGTGCAGTGGCGTGATCTCGGCTCACTGCACCTCCCCCTCCAGGCTTCAAGTGATTCTCCTGCCTCAGTCCCCCAAGTAGTTGAGATTATAGATGACTGCCACTACGCCCGGCTAATTTTTATATTTTTAGTAGAGATGGGGTTTCACCATATTGTCCAGGCTGGTCTTCAACTCCTGACCTCAGGTGATCTACCCATCTTGGCTTCCCAAAGTGCTGGGATTACAGATGTCAGCCACCGCGCCTGGCCTACCCATTCTATTGTTGATGGACATCTGAGCTGTTTGCTGCTTTGGCTATCATAAATATATCTGCCGTGAAAATTCTTGCACTTGCCTTTTCTTTGGTGTTTGTAGGGTCTATCCCTAATTGTAGAGATGTGGCGTCATGGGACACATGTGTTTCTGCCAAATGTTTTTCTCAATATCACTAAGTAATCATTTAATAACTAATAATATATTATAAAATGTGTAACAGGTCCACAGAGGAAAAAACTGTTCATAAGTAAACTTTCCTTGGGTGTGGAAAGGAAAAAGAGTACAATAAATTTTCACTTATAAAAACAAGTGCTGTGTTCATTTCTCTGGTTCTTAGATGTGTGATTTGTAATTGGAAGCTGTTCACTGGGAATGTTTCTGAACCTGCTGTGGAAACTTCAGTTCCCCGAATGGAGAGGGCGGGCGCGCATGCTCCCTGGGCTCCTGCTCTGCCTCGGGCAAGCCGGCCATATCTGGCTTCTCCTTGGCCCCAGGACCCGGTGCTGGCGGCCCGCTCTACTCCTGGGAGATTGTGGTTCAGCTCACATGGCTCTGGGCACTGGCTGGGTATGAATTCCACTCTGAGCAAGTCCAGAATGACTCCCTGGGGTGACCTTGTATTAGTTCGTTCTCATATTGCTATTAAGAAATAGCTGATACTGGGTCATTGATAAAGAACAGAGGTTTTATTGGCTCACATTTCTGGAGCTGTTCAGGAAACATAGCAGCATCTGCTTCTGGAGAGGCCTCAGGAAACTTCCAATCATGGCGGAAGGCGAAAGGGGAGCAGCCGCCTCACATGGCCGAAGCAGGAGCTAGGAGAGGGAAGATGCCACTCAAAGTTTTTTTGTTGTTGTTGAGACGGAGTCTCGCTCTGTCGCCCAGGCTGGAGTGCGGTGGCGCCATCTCGGCTCACTGCAGGCTCCGCCTCCCGGGTTCACGCCATTCTCCTGCCTCAGCCTCCCGAGTAGCTGGGACTACAGGTGCCCGCCACCACGCCCGGCTAATTTTTTGTATTTTTAGTAGAGACGGGGTTTCACTGTGGTGGTCAGGCTGGTCTCAAATTCCTGACCTCAGGTGATCCGCCCGCCTCGGCCTCCCAAAGTGCTACAATTACAGGCGTGAGCCACCGCGCCCAGCCCATGCCACTCACTTTTAAATGACCAGGTCTCAGGAGAATTCACTGTCGTGAGGATGGCACCAGGTGGGGATGGTGCTAACCCATTCCTGAAGGCCCATCCCCCATGATCCAGTCACCTCCCGCCAGGCCTCACGTCCGACACTGGGATTACAATTTGACGTGAGGTTTGGACGGGACACAGATCCAAGCCCTATCAGACCCTGAGAGGAGCAGTTGGAAATAATGAAAGGGCCATCTGAGGCCTGGGTGATGTGTAGGTGCTACTGGGTATCGTGGAGACAGTTTAAAAATAGCATTTAATGTTAGATTGCAAACGTATTGCAGAGTGCGCCAGGCACAGTCAGTCCCAGACCTAGTTAGGCAAAAAATGTTAAAAGTGCAAATAAAGCACAAAGAAGTAAAGGAAAACCACCTATAATTCCACCATCCAGACACCACTCAGGTACCTACCTGCTGGTTCTCATTTGGACACGCGTACATTTTTAAAACAAAACAAAACAAAAGGATGTAGCATTCGTACAGTTTCTTTTGTGTATTCTCTTCTAAAACATATATTACATCGTTCCATGCCACTGAGTAGTCTACAGTACACCAAATGGCGTCACAATATTACCATCAAATACTGCAATTTATTTGAACAGTTTCCTATTACTAAACATTTAGGTGACTTCTAATTTTTTTTATTTCAATAATCAATGCCATAGTAAACGTACTTGGATATAAATCTTTTGTGTAGACCCATGAATATTTTCTTAGTACAAATTTACTTTTAAAAGAGGAATTATGTTTTCTCATTGACTTGGGTATTGGTAAGAAATTAAATGTGAAATCATTTTAATTCCTCTAAAAGTTATCCTGGAAAGCATGGAGATAGTATATTTAACTTTCTTATAGAGTGGCTAAAATGTTATCCTATTTAATATCATAAGATAATAGACACCAACGGCTGTTGGACTTGTTTTTGAAAAGAGGATAACAGTGTGTGAATATACAGCCCTTTCTCACTCTCTCCCACCTTAATCATGTCTGAAGTATGAGTCGAGTTCTGCCCACTATAGACAGAGTGGGCCAGGCGTGGTCAGTCCCAGACCTAATTAGGCAGTCGTGCCCTGCTGCGCCTGCCCTCCCCAGCAGCTGTGCAGCAGGCTGGGAGGACCTTGCTGATATGGACAGCCCTGGGCAGCTCTGGCCGTGACACCAACAGTGGCTCGGTCTAAGAGCCACTTGAGGACACAGCGTTTGGTGCCTTATTTCTTTAAGACTGGATATGACCGGATGGCAGTCTTACGTAGCTTGCAATCTTAGAAATGCTCCACAGGGATTTTCTAACTTGTCTTTGGAGAGGAGTCCAGTAAGAATTAAATTATAGAAGCACATACTGTTGGCATAATAACAATTAACTAAAGATGTATCTGTCACGAAATGTGCATGTGACTATTCTTTGTAATCATGATGTCTGATGAAGGTACTGAGGAAAGTGTTTGAGATCCTGATGTGCTCTTTTCTTGTATTTGTAGATCCATATCATAGATTTTGACGATGAAAACAACATTATAAATAAAAATGTCCTCCTCCATCAAGCGGGTGAAATCTGGCATATTAGCGCTAGCCCTGCAGACAGAGGTGTGCTGACGACCTGCTACAACAGAAGTAAGTGCGGCTTTTCTAAGGTACTTGCTAACTGGAGGTAACTGGAGGTATTTCCTAAGACGGGTTTTGTATTGCTAATGGGTCGACACATGACTGAAAAGATTTAGCCATTAATGAAGGTGTTGCATGCACAGAGAAGCCATGATATTGTGAGTAGATGTTTGCAGAAATTATTAGAATCTTGAGATTCTAAGAACTGAAGCTGGAATCAGCTGTTCTGAGAACGTTGACCCCTTGATCAGGGGAGTACAGTGCTGGAGTTTCCGGTGAGGCAGACACAAGTGTCCTGATGTGGAAACTGTACGTTGTGGGGAGCAGCAGGGATTCATCTCTTTCCTGTAGTGTCTTGGTGACTGTCTTCCAGTGCTCTTTGGTAAGAGCAGTTCCATGCACACACGCGCGTTGACTGGTGATATGCCTCATAGGCTTCTTCCTGCCCGCCGTTGTGCTCTCTAGGCTCTTGGAGCTCTGGGACCTTAGTTTGTGTCAATGCAGATGTCTGAGTTGCTGAACTGAGCCTTCCTCTTCCCCAGTTCTCCTTGTTTGGTCATCGTCAATGAGTACTTTCTAAATTCTGGCTCTATGGAGAAATATCTCCTAGGATCTCTTTCTCTACCATGTAAGCCAGAACAAATTCTTTGTGGTTTTTGATATATAGTTTCTAAAATGTTGCCTTCATTTGTCCCACAGGCTGAATGACTTTTTAGGTACTTTTAATGCATTCTGTCTGATCTTCTCTCTCATACCCTGGCTTCAGAATATTGATGTGTAGGGATTGCATGGCTCATATATCAAGCTGGTCACCAGGACATCCCGATCTAATATTCCACTTTCACCGGGTTCTGTGTGTGTTTCCCTTCCCTTTTCCCTTCCCTTCCCTGTTCCCTTCCCTTTTCCCTTTTCCCATCTCTTTCCCTTTTCCCTTCCCTTTTCTCTTCCCTTCCCCCTTCCCTTCTTTTTACCCTTTTCCCTTCTCTTTTCTTTTCCCTTCCCTTTTCCCTTTTCCCTTCCCTTTCCCTTCCTTCTTCCTTTCCCTTCCCTTTTCCCTTCCTTTCCCTTTTCTCTTCCCTTCCCTTCCCTTTTCCCTTCCCTTCCCTTTTCCCTTCCCTTCCCTTTTCCCTTCCCTTCCCTTTTCCCTTCCCTTCCCTTTTCCCTTCCCTTCCCTTTTCCCTTCCTTTCCCTTCCCTTCCCTTTTCTTTTCTTTTCCTTTTCTTTTCTTTTCCTTTCCTTTTCTTTTCCTTTTCTTTTCTTGACAGAGTCTCACTCTGTCGCCCAGGCTGGAGTGCAGTGGTGCAATCTGGGCTCACTGCAACCTCTGCCTCCCAGGTTCAAGCAATTCTCCTGCCTCAGCCTCCCGAGTAGCTGGGATTACAGGTGCACATCACCATGCCCTGCTAATTTTTATATTTTTAGCAGAGATGGGGTTTCACCATGTTGGCCAGGCTGGTCTCGAACTTTTGACCTCAGGTGATCCGCCTGCCTTGGCCTCCCAAAGTGCTAGGATTACAGACGTGAGCCACTGCGCCCGGCCCTTCTTCCACTTTAACTTCACAGCTGCCCCATGTCCTCCTCTGAGGGCCCTGCCTTCCACATGGAGGGCAGCATGGCATGTGGCTGAGTGTGGCTATGCACCTCCTGCCAGCGGGAGGTTGGGGGTCCGAGAGCCTCCTTGTGTTTTGTCTGCTCTCTGTGCCGATTGGTCCAAGCTGACAGTGTCTCAGCAGAAACACATTTCTCAAGAATCTGTGGGTCTTCAGTAGATTTCCTGAGGCTTCACTTCCTCAGACAAGAGCATAACTGCAGATCTTTTAGAGACGATCTCTTCTCTGCCTTGGTCTCCTGCTAAGATGGCCAAGGGACTGCCCCCTTCATCCTTGACCCTTCACCCTCCCCTTCACCCTTCACTCTCTTCTGCCTGAGGATCTGTGAGGTGCTTCCTTGGCTTCTTGAGAGGCCCTTCCTAGGCCTGCACTCTGACTTCCTGATCTTCCCGAGGCTTTAACCACATGCAGTGTGGCCCGTCCTCGGCCTTTTCTTAGGGGCACACTCTCCTGACAGTCGGGGTATTAGTCCATTCTCGCACTGCTGTGAAGAACTACCTGGGACTGGGTAATTTATGAAGAGGTTTAATGGACTCACAGTTCTGCGGGCTTAACAGGAAGCATGACTGGGCGGCCTCAGGAAACGCACAATCACAGTGGGGGGTGACGGAAGCCAGGGCCTTCTTCACAAGGCAGCAGGAGAGAGAGAGCAAAGTGGGAAGAGCCACACACCTTCAAACAACCAGATCTTACTGTCACAAGAACAGCAAGGGGGAAATCCACCCTGTGATCCAGTCATCTCCCACCAGGTTCCTCCCTGGACATGTGGGGATTACAATTCGAGATGAGATTTGGGTGGGGACACAGACCCAAACCACATCAGTTAGGCTTTTCATCTCAGCACCTTTTGCCGGCTGGAGACGCTGTGCTTGTTGTTACTCCACCATCGTATAACTCTTCCCCGTTTGCCCTCTCCTCCACCCTTGCCCTGTCCCCCCACCAGGAAACCCCCCTCGTGCAGGACCAGCCTCAGCACAACAGGAGCTGCCTCCATGGTCCTGCAGGGCATGGCCTTTCTGCACCCTGGATATTCCAGGCAAGCTCTGCTTTTTCTGTGGCTCCTCAAAAGCCTCCCAGCCTCTACCCACTGCCAAAATCCAGAGCTCCTCCCGCATTTCAGGCAGTTGTTACTGCGGCCCCGGCTTCCATAGTCATTATACACTGCAGAGGAATTCCCACAAACAGCGGCTTCCAACAGCGCATGCCTCTTCAACAGTGTGTACTGGCTGTAGCTTCGTAGCGCACTGGCCTGGGGTCTCCAGGCCCCCACCAGGCTGTGTCAGGGCTCTCGCCTCATGTGGCTCCTGGGGTTGTAGGATGCAGGCTTGTTTCCTGGCTGTCCGCTGGGACCACCCTCAGCTGCTCCCAGCTGTAAGTGGGCTTTGAGTTAAGCTGCCAAGTTTGTGGCAATTTGTAGAAGCAACAGAAAACTAAAACAATTGCCAAGCACTCTTGGTCTTGTTGGTCGTCCACAGGTGTAAGTTGATTGTGTCCTTCAAGTTACCCTGGATCTCGTGATTTCCAGTCGTGGCTTCCAGAGACTGACTCTTTCTGCCAGACTTTGAAGGCAGCATAGATCTTCTGTTAAGTATTTCCCTAATCTGTCAGCCTCTCAAGGAAGAAAGACGAAATTGTTCCACAACATTCATGTCTAAGTTCCAAGAATTCTATTTTATTCCTGCCATAGCAGAACTGAGATTTACATCCCACAGGGAAGGCTGTTTTCCAGTGTGAAATGCTGCAAGTTCCTGCTCTGATCAGGAAAGAGCAGCACAGCTGCTTGACTCGTGCTTAACCTGGCTCTTCGCCCTTCGAAGCACACACGGCGCCACGTCTCATCTGAATCAGGTCATCTGCAGCAGTGGTCGCACCCGTGGGGCAAGGCGCCAGGCCCTCCTGCTTCAGGTGCCTCCGGAAAAGCCTGGAGTCACAGACCTAAGCTTGCTGTGCATAACGCAGGGCAGGGAAAACATTCTAGAGACTTCATGTGTTTTGCAAACATACTTGTGCTCTGTAGTTTTTGCCCTTAGCTCACCTGTAAATCACTAGGCTTCCACATTGCCATGAATCATATATGAATTAAATCCAGAAGCACCACAGACTTAGATTAGACGGCATTGCTTAAATCATCACTTCGTTATAACAAATCTCTTTGTAAAGATCAGAGTTGCAATTTATCCTCTTTGTCTTCCAGTAGTGTTTTCTCCTATTGTGCTTTTACCCTGCCGGTGCCTGGGCTGGTGGGAGGCATCTTGCGGCGTTTCCTGTGTGTGTGCCGTTTGTTAGGGGTGCTTATAGAGAAGCTCCTGTTGTCTGCTGTACTTGGAGACCCACGTGTGTTTTCTTTGTTGTTGCTCTTTTGTAGCCCCTTCCTTCTTTTTGTTTCCATTAGTTTGTGTGATATTTTGGTGAACGGTGGCATCTTTTAATGAAGAGGCTGAGGGCTTCTGAGACACACCTTTCGGCGCACACCCTGCGTGGGGCAGCCAGTGTGGACAGTAGAACCGCACGTGGAGAGGGCAGGCCGATCACAGGGCCAGCTGGCGTGAGTTGTTAGGAGCACCCTCCTTCCGAAAGACAGTTGCCCTCTTCTAAAGCTGCTTTCCGTGTCTTTCTTCACAGATGTCCTAAAATCCTTTTTCATGATTTTTTTTTTTTTTTTTTTTGGAGGTAGGGTCTTGCTCTTGGCTCTTGTCACCCAGTCTGGAGTGCAGTGGCACAATCTTGGCTCACTGCAACCTCCACCTCCCAGGCTCAAGCAATCCTCCCATCTCAGTCTCTCAACTAGCTGGGACCACAGGTATGCACTACCATATCTGGCTGATTTTTAAAAAAATTTCTAGTAGAGATGAGGTCTCACTGTGTTGCCAGGCTGGTCTTGAACTCCTGAGCTCAAATGATCTACCCGCTTCACCCTCCCAAAGCACTGGGATTACAGCTGTGAGCCACCACACCTGGCCTTCCATGGATCTTATCTTATGGGGAGGAAAGGAGACGCAGCCATGGAGAAGGGGCCTCTGAGGAGGGTGTCTAGAAACAGAGTTCATTTGGAGGGCCCGGCTCTTCTTTAGGACGTGGCTATTGGTTATTTGTCAGAAGCAACAGCGTTTACATTTTATCTGTTTATTGTGCCACACTGAATCTCTGCAAATCAGTGGAAGTCTGCAGTGTGGTAGAATTCTTGTGCACGCAAGCACATGCTAGAATGAACATCACAAATATGCAGAAGTGGCTGAGCTCGTGACTTATTTTTTAAAATGCAAGCGAGAAACCCTTTCTCTGTACCCTTACTATTCTTAAGAAGGGTGGTCAGGAATGTCAGTGTTGAGCTCCCCGTGCACAGCTGAAGGATCTGGCGCCCACAGGCAGTCTCCTTGAAGAGTGATGTTCTCTTCACACTGTCTTAGAAAATGATAGAAAATTTGCATGAGGTTAAAGTATCTTAAAAAGTCAAACATTTTCAGATTAAACCCATACATCCATCTCTCCTAGCTTAAATCTCTATTCATGCAAGGAACAAGTGACAGATTGCCATCGATTACTGATAGGGATTTATAACTGCTGTTGATCTGTTTTCAGTTATTACCTGTGATGATTGTGAAAAAGACATTCTTGGAGTTGGTGGAAGGGGGAGTTGTAGCACAATAAACTCATGGAACGTTTTCTATATAGATGATGAAGATTTAAAAAAGAACTTGAACTCTCCTTTCTGATAATTTGATAAGAAAAATGCATCTCCATGAAAGCAAAATGAGGGACTGTGCCCAGGGTAGAAGCTGTCTCGACAGGACTGTACATACTTGGAACAGGAGAGATCTCAACAGTAACTGGTCTGTGGGCGTAGATTGTGGGTTGGACATGGCTGTGGGGATGGTGGCAGGTGGCAGGCTGGCCTCCGAGGAGGACGCAGGCCTCCACACACAGCAAATAACAGCACAACCTTCAGGTCTCAATTGGACCTGGAGCCCTGAGAGGCTGTGGTGTTGCCACCTGGAAGAAGCCTGGTCACGCAGGGAATTAGCATGAGTGACATATTTCTCTTGGGGTTTCTCCCTTCGGAGCTGCCGGGTACTTCCAGTCACCTCCCTCCCCAATTTGTGTGCACTTCAGAATGTGCTGCCAGCAGGCCTTGACCTTTCCGTGCATCTCACTTTCCATATTTAGAACTTGTTTCACCCACGGTTTTCTTAAGGTTCATTGAGAAAAAAGCGTATGTTTCAGATAAACATTAAAAAACCCCAACTTTGCTGCTTTTATTTCTAATGTATGTTTCTGAATTAGGGTACACCACGTGGGCCTGCCTCTGCTGACACCATCTCATGAGTGTATACACACCTGCCTCTGCTGACACCATCTCATGAGTGTATACACACCTGCCTCTGCTGACACCATCTCATGAGTGTATACACACCTGCCTCTGCTGACACCATCTCATGAGTGTATACACACCTGCCTCTGCTGACACCATCTCATGAGTGTATACACACCTGCCTCTGCTGACACCATCTCATGAGTGTATACACACCTGCCTCTGCTCACACCATCTCATGAGTGTATACACACCTGCCTCTGCTCACACCATCTCATGAGTGTATACACACCTGCCTCTGCTCACACCATCTCATGAGTGTATACACACCTGCCTCTGCTCACACCATCTCATGAGTGTATACACACCTGCCTCTGCTGACACCATCTCATGAGTGTATACACACCTGCCTCTGCTGACACCATCTCATGAGTGTATACACACCTGCCTCTGCTGACACCATCTCATGAGTGTATACACACCTGCCTCTGCTCACACCATCTCATGAGTGTATACACACCTGCCTCTGCTGACACCATCTCATGAGTGTATACACACCTGCCTCTGCTGACACCATCTCATGAGTGTATACACACCTGCCTCTGCTGACACCATCTCATGAGTGTATACACACCTGCCTCTGCTGACACCATCTCATGAGTGTATACACACCTGCCTCTGCTCACACCATCTCATGAGTGTATACACACCTGCCTCTGCTCACACCATCTCATGAGTGTATACACACCTGCCTCTGCTCACACCATCTCATGAGTGTATACACACCTGCCTCTGCTGAAACCATCTCATGAGTGTATACACACCTGCCTCTGCTCACACCATCTCATGAGTGTGTACACACCTGCCTCTGCTGACACATCTCATGAGTGTATACACACCTGCCTCTGCTCACACCATATGAGTGTACACCTGCCTCTGCTCACACCATCTCATGAGTGTGCACACGCCTGCTTCTGCTCACACCACCTCAGGAGTGTGTGCCTGCCTCTGCTCACACCATCTCATGAGTGTGTGCCCATCTTTGCTCATGTGTCTCATGAGTGTACACATGCCTGCCTCTGCTCACACCACCTCATGAGTGTGTGCACCTGTCTGCTCACACCATCTCGTGAGTGTACATGCGCTTGCCTCTGCTCACACCATCTCACGAGTGTACACTTGCCAGTCTCTGCTTACACCGTCTCATGAGTGTGTGCACCTGTCTCTGCTTACACCGTCTCATGAGTGTGTGCACCTGTCTCTGCTCACACCATCTCGAGTGTACACGTGCCTGTCTCTGCTCACACCATTCTCGTGAGTGTACATGCGCTTGCCTCTGCTCACACCATCTCACGAGTGTACACGTGCCTACCTCTGCTCACACTGTCTCATGAGTGTGCATGTACCTGCCTCCGTTTACACTGTCTCATGTGTGTGCACCTGCCTTTTCTCACACTGTCTTATGAGTGTGTGCTCCTGCCTCCACTCACACCATCTCACGAGTGCATACCTGCCTCTGCTCACACTGTCTCGTGAGTGTGCGCATTCCTACCTCTGCTCACACTGTCTCCTGGGTGGGTGTGTCTGCCTCTTCTCACACTGTTTCATGAGTGTGTGCCTGCCTCTGCTCACACCATCCTCGGCGACACTCTGTGTGGTGGCCTCTCAATCAACAGAGGGCACCAGTGGTCTGGCTCTGTGTCCCCCTTGCTCTGGACCTTCCATTGTGTCCCCTTTTGTGTCTTTGTGACCGTGTCCTAACTTGATCTGTTATACTAGTGCAAGCCATTTTGAAAACTTTCATCCACTTCTCTTGCTGCTCTCTAAATATTTTCACAGACTTTTACACCTTGCTTGAAAAACATGTTTGCAGAGTGAAACTAACTCCTGCATTTAGCTGAGGTTATACGTATTGAGTGGTGGTCACTCCAGAGCACTTTGTGGGTTTCTATAGAAAAACAAGAATGGAATTTAGTTCCTCACTCCTAAACTTCAGGAATTCGCCGAGGGGAACCTTGTCAATATCTAAGGACCTCTGACCCAGGAAGCCCAGGCTGGTGCCGCAAGATCATTAGAGAATGGTCATGGAACTGTCATCTGGGGGAGCCCAGGCTGGCACCTCGAGATCATTAGAGCATGGTGGGTAGACCTGTGATCCAGGGGAGTCCAGGCTAGTACCCTGAGATCATTATACTGTGGTATGTGGACTGATCCAAGGGAGCCCAGGCTGGTGCCCCGAGGTCATTAGAGAGTGGTCATGGAACCCTCATCTGGGGGAGCCCAGGCTGGCACCCTGAGATCATTAGAGCATGGTGGGTGGACTCTGATGTTGGGGAACCCAGGCTAATACCCTGAGATCATTAGAGCATGGCGAGTAGAGCCTGATGCAGGGGAGCCCAGGCTGGTGCCCTGAGATCATTAGAGCATGATAGGTGAACTCTGATTCAGGGGAGCCAGGCTGGCACTCGGAGATTATTAGAGCATGGTGGGTAGATCTGTGATCTAGAGGAGTCCAGGCTAGTACCCTGAGATCATTAGAGTGTGGTAGGTGGACTGATCCAAGGAAGCCCAGGCTGGCACCCCGAGATCATTAGAGTGTGGCGGGTGGGCTCTGATTCAGGGGAGCCTGGCTGGAACCTCGAGATCATTAGAGCATGGTGGGTAGACCTGTGATCCAGGGGAGTCCGGGCTAGTACCCCGAGATCATTAGAGTGTGGTAGGTGGACTGATCCAAGGAAGCCCAGGCTGGCATCCCGAGATCATTAGAGCGTGGTGGGTGGGCTCTGATTCAGGGGAGCCCAGCTGGTGCCCTGAGATCATTAGAGTGTGGTGGGTAGAGTCTGATCCAGGGGAGCCCAGCTGGTGCCCTGAGATCACTAGAGCCTGGTGGGTGGGCTCTGATTCAGGGGAGCCCAGCTGGTGCCCTGAGATCATTAGAGCCTGGTGGGTGGGCTCTGATTCAGGGGAGCCCAGGCTGGTGCCCTGAGATCATTAGAGCGTGGTGGGTGGGCTCTGATTCAGGGGAGCCTGGCTGGTGCCCTGAGATCATTAGAGCGTGGTGGGTGGGCTCTGATTCAGGGAGCCCAGGCTGGCACCCTGAGATCATTAGAACGTGGTGGGTGGGCTCTGATTCAGGGGAGCCTGGCTGGTGCCCTGAGATCATTAGAGCGTGGTAGGTGGGCTCTGATTCAGGGGAGCCCAGGCTGGCACCCCGAGATCATTAGAGTGTGGTGGGTGGGCTCTGATTCAGGGGAGCCCAGCTGGTGCCCTGAGATCATTAGAGCGTGGTGGGTGGGCTCTGATTCAGGGGAGCCTGGCTGGTGCCCTGAGATCATTAGAGTGTGGTGGGTGGGCTCTGATTCAGGGGAGCCCAGCTGGTGCCCTGAGATCATTAGAGCGTGGTGGGTGGGCTCTGATTCAGGGGAGCCTGGCTGGTGCCCTGAGATCATTAGAGCGTGGTGGGTGGGCTCTGATCCAGGGGAGCCCAGCTGGCACCCTGAGATCATTAGAGCGTGGTGGGTAGAGTCTGATCCAGGGGAGCCCAGGCTGGCACCCTGAGATCATTAGAGCGTGGTGGGTGGGCTCTGATTCAGGGGAGCCTGGCTGGCACCGAGATCATTAGAGCTTGGTGGGTGGGCTCTGATTCAGGGGAACCCAGGCTGGCACCCTGAGATCATTAGAGCGTGGTGGATGGGCTCTGATTCAGGGGAGCCTGGCTGGCACCCTGAGATCATTAGAGTGTGGTGGGTGGGCTCTGATCCAGGGAACCCAGGCTGACCCCTCTAGAGCATTAAACGTGGTGGACCCCATGTGATGAGCAGGCCATAGGGGTGGCACCCCCCAGGTGGAAATGGTCCTTAGAGAGGGATCTCTCAGTGTGAGGCAGACTCATGTGCTTCCCGTCTGAGGTAGTCTGCTGTGACAGGTGTGAGCACGGATGTTTGGACCTGGAGGTCTGAGTTCCAGGGAACGGTGCCAACACATGAGCTTCCCACGGCTCCCCAGGTGCCATCCCTCTGCCTTTGTGCCTTTCTATGGCTCTGGCCCACTCCCCACCCTCTCTTGTCTACACATCGGGAGCTCTTTTTTACCCTTAGAAATGGAGACCAAGGTGGGTAGATTGCTTGAGCCCAGGAGTTCAAGACCAGTCTGGGCAACACGAGAAGATGCAGTGACCCGTGATTGTGCCACTGCACTCCAGCCTGGGTGACAGAGTTAGACCCTATCTCAAAAAGAAAAAAAAAATACAGGATAGTTCATCTGTGGAGTTTAACAACAAAACGAGTTGAGTATACAGAGATTGAGAATAAAACCATGGTTACATGGTTAAGGAAGGGGCACTGGGAACTGTAGGTCTGAGGATGCAAAGTAGCAGGTATGTTGGATGGAGAAGGCCAGAGGCCTCATTTACAGCAGGGCTGTTGTTGATTATCTTCTATCATATTTGGGATTTTCACTAAATGAGTGGATTGTAGCTACTCTTGCCACAGAAAAAGAGAATGAGCAACTGTGTGAGCTGATGGATATGTTAATTCGCTTCACTATAGTGACCTTTTCTCTCTATCTCAGCATCATGTTGCAGACCTTAAGTATAGACAATAAAATTTTTTTAAAAATGGAAAAGGGCCAGCGCAGTGACTCACACCTGTTATCCCAGCACTATGGGAGGCCAAGGCGGACAGATCACTTGAGGTCAGGAGCTCGAGACAAGCCTGGCCAACATGGTGAAACCCCATCTCTACTAAAAATACAAAAATTAGCCGGGTGTGGTGGTGCGTGCCTGTAGTCCCAGCTACTCGAGAGGCTGAGGCAGGAGAATCGCTTGACCCCGGGAGGTGGCGGTTGCAGTAGGCTGAGATCATGCCACTGCACTCCAGCCTGGGCGACAGGATGAGACTGTCTCAAAAAATAAATGAAATGACATGACATGACATCTATGGCATATCCACCGCCTCCTGAAGGCCCCGCTCTACCCTAGCTCCCCGGGGTCCCACCCCATCTCCCGGCCCCTGTGTGGCCGTTTCTGCCAGAGCACTTGTCTCCCTGTTTCCTGTCTCGCCTGCTGACTGGAAGCCCCCGGCAGGCCTGGACGCGGCTGCCTGCCTCTGTGCCAAGCACCCTGGCCTGCAGAGGCCACGCAGCTTCGGCCGCTCATCCTGGCACCATCTTCCTCTGAAACATGACTCCGTTTGAGGGATCAGCCATTTTGCTACATCATAGCTGCTCAGAACATAGTGACAGACTGAATCGACTAATTTGAACTATGTTGAAATTATCATCTCAGTGAGATTTAGGAAGATACAGTGGATTTTTCTTGGGAACAAGGCTGCTGAGGTGTACTGAATAAATCAGTAGGAGGAAACGTAAGAGAATGACAACTGAGCAGCTAAATTCCTCTGGGTCTGCATCCTTAGGTACTGCAGTGTCCTGGAAGTGAAATGTGTGTGACGCGGAATGGGTTCTTCCCCCTTTCTCTGTCTCGCTTCTTCTGTCACACCCTGGACATGAGAACTTAGCACACTCCAGGGAGGCGTTTGTGAATGAGTGAGACCCACTGTCAGGTTGTACTGAAAAATTAAAAAGGGGAGCTAGATGTAAAGTGGTCCAGGTATTTTCCCAGCCTTTCTTTTACCTCCTTAGGTGGGCATGGTGGGAGCAGGGCAGTGGAGGCTGGGGAGGCAGCGGTCTTGCAGGGGTATCGGGCAGTGGAGAGGGCACCAGATTTGGTGGCTGGAAAACCTAGACTCTCTGCTTTTCCCTCTGCTGCTTACCGGCTCTCCAATCCCGGACCAGTCAAGTAACCTCTGGAGCGTTCATCTGTAAAATGGGCACAGTTGACTAACACCGCTGTTAAATAATGAGAAAACATGAGGCTGCTGTGAACAGGTTTGTCTCAGAGTTGGATCTATGTACCCTGCAAGGACGGGACTCCAGGGATGTGTGCAAACAGTCCTGAGCAGTGGGCTCTGAGCATCTAGAGCACACCTTATGCCCAGTCCAGGGCACCTTACCCCTTACCCCCAGGAGAGGGGGGCAGTGCTGCAGCCATAGCCTCCTCTGCACTGGGGAGCAGCCGCCTCAGGAGCCCCTGGCACAGGCAACAAAGCCCACTGGAAGCATTGGGCCAGCCCAGGAGTCTATCCGCCCTCACGGCTCACTGACCGAGCCTTCCCTTCCATGATGGGAGCTTCTTAAGCAGGGCACAGCACCTCCAGGGGTGGGTGGCAGGGTGCCAGGGGCACCTGAAGCCACAGGATAAGGGTGGTGCGTCTTTCTGTAGTGTTACTTCTATTTGATTTTGAGTAATGAAAACATGATTTATAGCCTGAAATGAATGTAGATATGTTACAAAGTAGAATGCAAACTGTGCGGTAATCTCTCAAGTGAAACATGAGGCTTGTGGAGGGTCCCTTCAGAGAAGGTCCCCAGGCCCTGTTATGCAAACACGTAGCAGTGTGTAAAGGATGCTGTCACAGTAGGATATGCTTTCTCTTTCCTCTGCCATTGGTGTGGCTCCCTGAAGACAAGGACAGAAGCTCTGTTTTCGGGGGTTGGGAGTAGGGAGGGTGGCACAGGGAAGGTTTTGTGCTGAAATGGGCCCTTTCACTGGGCGGCCCTCGAGTGGAAGGTGGCCCGCCCCAGCTTCCTGTCACCGCTTCACTGTCTTGACTTTCCTTTGCCAAATCCAAAGGGCCACAGTGGACAGGATGCTGGTCCTCTCTGAAGACCCCACCTCCTTTTCACCTCATCTCCTCCGCAGTGGGAGAATTCCCATTCTCACAACCTGGAGATGCACCTCCCACTGTACCTGTGAGCATCAGGCGTGCTCTGCACAGGCTCGCTGCACAGGGCCCCACGCTGGGGACACCTCTTGGGGCTGCTCAGTGATGCAGGATGATATTTGGGGTGGTCCTGACCGCCGGCCCTTGCAGGGAGCCCAGAGCTTGGCCTTCTCGTCAACTTTCCTTTTTGGGCCCAGTTGTAGCTCTGTCTCCCTGGGAACCAGAGAGGGGCAGTGCTCTAGCAGGTCACTAGGCAGGGTTGCTTATGATAAAAGACAGAACTGATCAGGCAGTTGTGTCTGGACTTAGGACTCTGACCCTAAACCCCTGGAGGCCGTTCTTTGGCCTTGCTGAGGGTGGCGGTCCTGCCAGATTGTGGGAACCTGGAAGCGCTGCTTTTCAGGTTGTTACAGCTCCTGTGAGGCGTGAGGCCCTAAAACCAAGGCGCCACTGACCCCAGCCTGGTGAGGGTCAGGCCCTCCCCCCGAGGTGCTGGAGGCGCGGCAGCGGCCACTTCGGAAGTCTGAGCGCGCAGGCCGCCTGCACTCCCCCCGGCGTGACCGGGGCCCACGAGGCTGGATCCTGGGGATCTTCCAGCGGGCCTCCTGCCTACTGCATCATCCCACTGACCAGAGTTGAGGACGTCCTGAGAGACTGATTATTAGAGTGACGAGTGGTCACGAAATGCTTCACAAACAAGTGGTGCCCTGGGCAGGGTCGGCTTTCAGAAGGTGCCGCCTTGAGCGGGTGGGTGGCCAGGGGCTGCCCTAAGCCTGAGTTAGCATCATGGGAGAATCCCCCCAGGACAGACAGCTGCCCGAAGCTGCAGGGCCCGTATGTGGCCACGGCCTGGGAGTCCAGCCTGGAGGGCAGCATCCTGCATCCTGAGGAGCAGCAGTGGGCACACGGAGCGACACTGTCTAAGCACTGGGCCACTGCCCGGGAGGAGCTGGGAAAGCCAGGTGGGTGCCGGGAATGGTGCAGCCTCGTGTGCTGCTCATCATGGGCTCTGTGGGTGTCCCTGCAGGGGCCGTTAATCATGTCCCCAGGGGCAGTGAGCTGTCTCGGGTGGGTCCTGCGCTCCAGGGGCTGGGGACCTGCTCTGGCTTTCACAGTGCCACATGTCGCTCGTGCAGTGCCTGGGGAGGAGGTGCTCCTGTCTCTGAGCCTCAGTCTTCTCATCTGTAAGATGGGAGGAATTCCGTCTGCCTTGACTACTTTAGACTTTGTTGGGATTCAGAGAAGGCCGTGTGCATAACATGCTTTTGTTATGTGATTTCTTAAATCGTTGTTCTGTCCCGTCATTGTTTTCACACTGGCGCTGTGAATTCAGTTTTCCTACATGTCTGGGCCTTGACTCTGAACCTTCCAAGAGTGTTCAGCCTCACCCTTGCTGCCTACTCCAACACGGCAGCAGCGGAGCACCCCTGCCTCCGCCAGCAGGGCCCAGTGCTGCCTGTGCCACGCACTGTGCTGCCTCCTTATGCAGATGGGTTCATTTAGCCCCGTGATACTAAGCAGCAGACACTGTTGGAAATCCCAGCTTTTCAGATGAGAAAACAGGGTTCATAGAGGTTGCCTGGAGGCTGGATTCAAACCTGGGCCCATCCAGACTCTGCTCTGGGTGTCTTCACGTCTTGCCACCATAGCTCCCAGACTCTCCCTCACATGGTAATTCTCTGTAAGGGACTTTAAAGGCACTCCTCAGGAGGAGGCTGCTCACGTGGCTTGGTTCATGGAGGCTGACAACACGGCGAACGTTGGCTGAGGGCCCATGTCCATCGTGGACCTGTGCCCCGAGGCCACAAGGAGAAAATGCAGAATGAAGACCTTGTCGCGTGCAGGGCTCGGAGGAAACTTAAGGAACTCTTTACCCTCATCAGTGAAGGAGACTAAAAATATGAACAGATGAAGGGCATGGATGTCCTCATGGTGTCAGATTTGTCGTAGGAAGCCGGGGATACTGGGGGCAGTTCCCCAAACCTTTCAGGCAGATACCACCCCCACATCACCTTTGGTGTCCCTGCCAGAAGCCTCGTTCCTGGCTGGGGGGACCACTGGTTTAACCGGGGATTCCACGTCTTGAGCCTAAAACCTTTAATTTCTGGTCTTCTGACACGCCTATATGGAATCATTGCAAATATGGAATGAAATTTTATAATTTTTATCATCCTGAGAGATTATCCTCTTCAGTGACTAGGTTTTTTTTTTTTAAAGAAAAAATCAGAGAGAGGAACTGTAATATAAGATTAGCTTATCTGCCAATTTCTGAATCTCCGGAAAGAGCCAGAGGTTATGAAGACTTTAATGTTTTTGCATTTTCGTAACGTTTGTCGCTTTTCGCTTATATATTGGCTGTGGCGACAGGGACACCTCGCACGTACGCCAAGGCATCCCAGCCAGATCACCCACTCGCTTCGGCAGCTGCGGGAGGGACGGTGCTGATGGGACAGGGCCCTGCCTTAAGCTCCCTAGTGAGCACTGGCCTGGGGACTTCCCACTTTGCTGATGAAGGAACTGGAGCATTGTGAGTGACTTTCTCAAGGCCACCTGCGCAGTGCAAGGGCGGATTTGGGATTCCGGCTTTGAGCTCTGCCTCCAGGCTGTGCTGTCTTCACCGGACCCTGTGGCCTCTCTGTTCAGCCAAAGGCAGATGTGTGTGCGAGGGACTCTGTCAATGGAATTCATCCCAAGGCTGCTCACCAAGTTAGGGCGTCCACAGTCAGTGCTGGATGAGGAAGACCACAGGATTGCAACTTAGGAGACTTAAGTTTTGCCGTGATTTTGCCAAAAATCAGTCCTGTAATCTCTGACACCTGAACTTTGTAGGTTCCATTTTTGTCATCTGCAAGAAAGGAAACTTAACCGTGGTTACGGCTAAGACCCTTTTCTATTTCCTGCTCTAGACATTCATTGTCATTTGCCTTTTTGAAAACATTTTTTGAGCTTTTGTTGTGATCGAGACAAAACAGTAAGTACTCAGGACAGAGAGATGAGAAGACTCAGTCCCAAACTCCAGGCACCCACCATCTAATGGGGCAGACATGAGCGACACAGCCAGTGTGTCCTGGTCAGCTAGTGCAGTTTCAACGCTGCTTTAGGGTCCTCACCGTGACCATCACCTCACCGTGACCGTCAGCCCTAAAGCCAAGGCACCACGGAGGCCCTGCCAGGGGAGGACCGTGCTGACCTCGCTGGGAAGAGCGGATTTCAGAATCCCACTCTGGCTCCTGATCCGACAGTGGAATATGCCCTGGGCCCAGGTCTTTGGACATCTTCCCGTGAAGTGAGGGTGGAATTCACCACCGATCCCTCGGATAAGATGCTGTCGAGAATTGGCTTTTGGAATCCTTCATTGTGAAGAGCAGCCTGTATCATTTGAGCTCATGCGTGGCTGTGGGCAGCGTGGCCTTTGTGGAGATTTCCACTGCTGAGGAGTCCGTGGATGAGGCAGCGTCTGTGCCTTCTGTTCACTGGGAGTGATGTCTGATGTGCCCGCCTGGTCCAGGACGTGCTTTTTAAGCTGTAGAAAGAAGGTGCTGAACTAGAGGGTTCCTGAGATTTCTTTTAGCTTCGAGGTCTGGAGGCTCTCTGCTCATAGTGAAAACTGTATCCTCCTCTACAGATTAACAAGAAAGTCAAGATACAATGGTTCTTGTTTAAAGATGCATTTTCCCCTTGATCTCTGCACCAAATGAGAAGAAAGTTGCATTTTTGAGTGGTTACTTTGCATTGTGAAAATAAGCTGAGAGAAGAAGTGGGTTTTCGCTGGAAAATAGTATTCTTAGTCTCCTCTTTGTGAAACCAGAATTCTGAGAGAAAATGACCGAGAGCCCTTTGAAAGAATGGAGTACGTGAGAGGTGGGGAGAAAAGTTGGAATCCATCAGCCTCATCGTCAAGTGCCTGCTTAAAGACGGGGCGGCGGGGGCAGAGGACGCTCTGCTGCACTCAAGATGCTGATACATTTCTCAAGCATGCCGGCTTGTGTGTCTCCGGTTAAAGTTTCCTTCCCATTTTCTGTGCAGATGTTAAAAGATTGACTCCTTTCCTTTTTTCAGGGTATAGGTGCTCAGCTGGGAAAGGTGAGAGTTAAATTTTCTCATGATGCTGGTGCCAAGAAATAGCACCTTGAAAAGAGAAAGAAATCAAGACATGATCTCCAGGGAGCTGTCGTTTGGAGCACATTCCCGAGAGCTCTCCCTGGGCCGGGAGGCTGCGTGGTGTCGTTCCCCTCAGCAGCATGCTTCAGGTGGAGCCTCCTGCCCTGTTCAGATATGTTAGATAAAAACACCTTGACAGTGCCAGCCCGTCTTTAATTTTCACACCATCTCAAGTAAAATATGTTTTGAAATGAAAACATTTTGCATTTTATTTTAAGCTTATTTTTGGGGCTCTAATTTTTTTTAAGACTAACAAAAACAGAGTCAGGTGACCTATCTTCTCTGGAATAGCCGTGCACTAACCAAATTGTCAGCTGAAGAGGGTTTTGCTTTGGAGGCATAAGCCCAGACAGGTCTGAAGTTGAGTGTATCTGCTGAATTAACAACAGAAAGGGTTTCTTTTGGTCCTTTTTCTTTTGGGATTCCTATGGAAATAGTTCACTGGGGTCACTTTGGTGAGAGAGAGGAAAACAGCATGAAATATCAATTCACCTGAGTTCTGTTTGTTGTGATTTCAGGGAACAAGTTATTATTTCAGTTCAATGATACTTCCTTTAGGGTGTGGGTTGCTAAGTCTTATTTACCATAAACTGTGAGTTTCATTGCTGCCTGGTCTAATAAATAGTTCATTTGTTAGTGATAAATGTTAACATAGCCTAGCAAAGAGAGCGTCTGTGCCCTCCCACCTTAGTGCAAGAAGAGGAAGCAGAGTTGCTGGGGGCTGCCTCTGGGACTTTGTATGCAGGACCTGGAGCACACAGGTGCAGTGTTGTCCGCAGGTGTGGTGTTTTCCTGCCCGCAGGTGCGGTGTTGCCCACAGGTGTCGTGCTGTCTGCAGGTGCGGTGTTGTCCTGCCCGCAGGTGTGGTGTCATCCGCAGGTATAGTGTTGTCTGCAGGTGTGGTGTTGCCCTGCCTGCAGGTGTGGTGTTGGCTGCAGGTGTGTTATCCCCAGGTATGGTGTTGCCCTGCCTGCAGGTGCGGGTCACCCATAGGTGCGGTGTTGCCTGCAGGGGTGGTGTTGCCCGCAGGGGTGGTGTTGCCCCCAGGGGCGGTGTTGCCCTGCCTGCAGGTGCGGTGTTGCCCGCAGGTGTGATATTGCTCTGCCTGCAGGGGTGGTGTTGCCCGCAGGTGCAGTATTGCTCTGCCTCAGGGGTGGTGTTGCCCGCAGGTGTGGTATTGCTCTGCCTCAGGGGTGGTGTTGCCCGCAGGGGTGGTGTTGCCCGCAGGTGCAGTATTGCCCTGCCCACAGGTGCGGTGTTGTCCACAGGTGCGGTGTTGTCCACAGGGGTGGTGTTGCCCGCAGGGGTGGTGTTGCCCACAGGTGCAGTATTGCCCTGCCTGCAGGTGCGGTGTTGCCCGCAGGGGTGGTGTTGCCCGCAGGTGCAGTATTGCCCTGCCTGCAGGTGCGGTGTTGCCCGCAGGTGTGGTATTGCTCTGCCTGCAGGGGTGGTGTTGCCTGCAGGGGTGGTGTTGCCCGCAGGTGCAGTGTTGTTTGCTGGAGGGAGGAAGAGCACACCGGGCGTGGTGGACAGAACAGCCTCGACTGTAGCCGGTACTTGGGCATGGAGAGTGATAAGGAAACCTCAGAAGACTGGAGCTTGGGCCCCAACTCCACTACTCGTGGTGGGTCCTTGGGCAGGTCATGTACGGTTTTTGGCTTCCATCATTTTCATCATCCTTATTTTATACATGAGGTAACGGGATAACGAAGATGACCGTGAAGATGATGACAATGACAGCTCCCATCGAGTGCTCATGTGCCAGGCACGGGGATCGGCGCTTTCTGGGAATGATCAAGTTGAGTCCTCTGTGCCATTGGCCTTTTCCCCTGAGGGAGTTGTTGCAATGACCTGCCGGGCCAGCAGCGCTAATTAGGAGCACACAGCGCACTTCCAGAGCACCTGACCTACAGCTACAAGGCTTCAAGGATGCTGCTTCTGAGGCACAGATTTTGTAAATACGCCTTGTTGTATAAACATGTTTTCTTCTTGCTGGTTTTTGTCACGCAGGATGGAGATGTAACTATTGTCTCAGAGTGACATTTGTAATGACGCTCAAGCACTGGAGTTTAGAAGCCAATGAGATTAAATATCTTAAACACTTTTCTCCTTTCTGTCTTTAGAAGTAAAATTAGATGTTATGGACCCAACTATTTTGTTGCTGGGGTAAGTTCCAAGTATCTGAATTCCTTCTTGTCTTTTTAGGAGACATCATAGAATCGTTTGGCATTCTTCCTGTAGCTCAGAGTCCCACGATTGTCTTTGTAAACACGTTGCACCAGGTCTTCTTCAGGGGACAGGTCGCAGGTGAGCTCAAAGGTGTTTATGTAAACAAGCACCCCTCCTGAGTTTGGGGTGCATGTGTGGCGATCGAGGAGTAGCACGTCACCAGATGTATTTTGGCTTCAGAGTTTGGAACGGTGTGTGAGGAGAACTCTGATTGCCGGGACAGAGCTGAGCATTGCAGAATGAGAGTCCTGGTTCTGGATATGAAGGACGTGAATAGCAAGGGGCTTCAGACAGTAGGGAGCACCTGTGTTTTTTGTTTAGTTGTGTTATGGAAATGAGGCATGGCTCTGGAATAGTGGGCCATTTTTTCGAGGCCGACTCCTGTGTTGTTTCTTGCGTTCCTCACTGACTCTTCAGATCCCGTTTGTATCATCTCTCTGTCCTCATTGACTTTCTGTAGCACCTCCAAATTCAGTGTCATCTGGCAGTGGAATTAATGTGCTGTTTATGGCTCCTTCCAGATCACTAATGAAGATGTGAAATAAGACTTGGTCCCTGGAGCAGCCCACGACGGCTCCTCACGGCGTCCTGCTCTATCATTTGCCGGGTGCTTTGTTTATGGCCCTTCCTCCAGGTTTCAGCCCACGAGGGGGTGCTTAGACAAAGCCCAATTTGAATTAATTTTTCCAGTAAGACTGTAAAGAACCGGGGCCAGCTTCTCCCTCAACCCCACATGTGTGGTGTGCTGCGCTCTTCTGCGGCCTGCTGGTCTGCGCCCTGCCCTTGGCCCACAGCCGTTTCGACATGGCAGCGGTTCCACTTGGAGGTGCAGAGAGGAGCCGTTAGGAGCCACGGCTGTGCGCCTGGGACCCAGCAGGAAGCAGGTGTGACCTTGAGATGATGCCCCGTCCGAAGTGCTGTGCATCCCGTTAGGCAGGTGCTGAGCCCGTGTCTCGGGCAGCCTGGACGGCTGAAGCAGAACACTGTGAACTGGGTGGCCCAGGCAACAGAAGTTAATTTCCTCCCGGGTCTGGAGGCTGGAGCTTCAGGGTCAGGCATGGCAGGGCTGGTCCTCCTGAGGCTATGCTCTGGGCCTGCCATCGGTCCCTTCTCACCGTGGCATCATGTGGCCTCTCCTCTGTGCACGTGCAAACCCCACGTCTCTTTCTCTTCTCATAGGGACCCAGGACCCACCTGATGACCTCCTCTAACCTTAGTTACCTCCTTAGAGGCTCTGTCTCCAGTACAGTCACACTGGGTCTAGGGCTTCAGTGTATGAATTAGGCGGGGGAATTGGGGGTGGATTCAGTCCATATAGCTTGGAGTCTTCAGTGTGTTTATTTAAGTAAGGTGGGAGGGGCCTCTATCTAGACTCGACCCTCACAGCTGCTGCGAGGTCACCTGCCTGTCAGCGCCTCATGCGCTCCCGGCACTCCGTGCTCCACCCCGCATGTGAGGCACACAGTAGGCCCTCAGCTCGGTCAGTGCCTCATGCGCTCCCAGGGCTCCGTGCTCCACCCTGCGTGCGAGGCACACAGTAGGCCCTCAGCTCGGTCAGCACCTTGTGCGCTCCTGGGGCTCCATGCTCCACCCCGCGTGCGAGGCACACAGTAGGCCCTCAGCTCGGTCAGCACCTCGTGCGCTCCTGGGGCTCTGTTCTCTACCCGGCATGCAAGGCGCACAGTAGGTCCTCAGCTTGGTCAGTGCCTCATGTGCTCCTGGGTCTCTGTGCTCCACCCCATGTGCAAGGCACACAGTAGGCCCTCAGCTTGGTCAGTGCCTCATGCGCTCCTGGGGCTCTGTGCTCCACCCCACATGCAAGGCACACAGTAGGCCCTCAGCTCGGTCAGTGCGTCATGCGCTCCTGGGGCTCTGTGCTCCACCCCATGTGCAAGGTACACTGTAGGCCCTCAGCTTGGTCAGTGCTTCATGTGCTCCTGGGTCTCCATGCTCCACCCCATGTGCAAGGCACAGAATCCTCAGCTCACACATGCACTATTTCTGTGCGTCTGACTCTTGGTGGTACCTGACAGCACATGGTCTGTTTTCCTGAGGCATTTTGAGTCTCTCACTGTTGGGACTGTGTCTAGACTATGGCAAGAGGTTGGCGTGGCTGGGGAAGGTGTGGACCAGGTCAGGGGGCTGTGAGGCCAAGGAGCCTGGTGGCCTGGCTAGCGTCTGTTCTGCAGCCAACTTTGTGGTTTGTTACTTGAAGTTATCTGTACAGCAACCCTTTGGGGAAAAAAGTAGTAATTACACAGCTTCATTGTGAAAAGTCAACGTGAAGACAGAAAAACTGGGTGAAAGTTGAAAAGCAGGAACTTGAGGAATGGGTCTCATAGAACGTGTGAGTGTGGCCTGTGAGTTGGGAGAGAGGCAGGATTCTGTCCAAATAGTAATGAATTTGCAACATCAGGTATAATGGCTGCCTGTGGATTGCCTCATAGGAAGTTTGTGTAGAAGTATGGGACTTAAATGTACCTAATCAAGGTCTATTTCAGGCATTAAATAAATAAATAAATAGATAAGTACTTAAGCCAAGCTGGTGTGCCACAGTGGCTTTGCAAAAACATGGTAAACAGATGGTGAGGAGATTGTTCCTCTGGGCAGGTGCTGCAGACTCCAAGATAAAAGCATGAGGGTAGAGGGGTCCTGGGTGTGGTGGAGGGGGTGGGAGTGGGGATGGTGGTGATGATGATAATGGTGGTGGCGATAACAGTGGTGGAATGGGGGTAGGGACTGGGATGGTGATGGTGGGAGTGGGTGTGGGGGTGGTGATGATGGTGGTGGTGATGGTGGTGGGGGTGTGTATGGGGATGGTGGTGAGGATGGTGGTGGGGGTGTGTATGGGGATGGTGGTGAGGATGGTGGTGGGGGTGTGTATGGGGATGGTGGTGATGGTGGTGGTAGGGGGTGTGGATGGGGATGGTGGTGATGGTGGTGGTAGGGGCTGTGGATGGGGATGGTGGTGATGGTGGTGGTAGGGGGTGTGGATGGGGATGGTGGTGATGGTGGTGGTAGGGGGTGTGGATGGGGATGGTGGTGATGGTGGTGGTAGGGGGTGTGGATGGGGATGGTGGTGATGGTGGTGGTAGGGGGTGTGTATGGGGATGGTGGTGAGGATGGTGGTAGGGGGTGTGTATGGGGATGGTGGTGATGGTGGTAGGGGGTGTGTATGGGGATGGTGGTGATGGTGGTGGTAGGGGGTGTGGATGGGGATGGTGGTGATGGTGGTGGTAGGGGGTGTGGATGGGGATGGTGGTGATGGTGGTGGTAGGGGGTGTGGATGGGGGATGGTGGTGATGGTGGTGGTAGGGGCTGTGGATGGGGATGGTGGTGATGGTGGTGGTAGGGGGTGTGGATGGGGATGGTGGTGATGGTGGTGGTAGGGGGTGTGGATGGGGATGGTGGTGATGGTGGTGGTAGGGGGTGTGGATGGGGATGGTGGTGATGGTGGTGGTAGGGGCTGTGGATGGGGATGGTGGTGATGGTGGTGGTAGGGGGTGTGGATGGGGATGGTGGTGATGGTGGTGGTAGGGGGTGTGGATGGGGATGGTGGTGATGGTGGTGGTAGGGGGTGTGGATGGGGATGGTGGTGATGGTGGTGGTAGGGGGTGTGTATGGGGATGGTGGTGAGGATGGTGGTAGGGGGTGTGTATGGGGATGGTGGTGATGGTGGTGGTAGGGGGTGTGTATGGGGATGGTGGTGATGGTGGTGGTAGGGGGTGTGGATGGGGATGGTGGTGATGGTGGTGGTAGGGGGTGGTGATGATGGTAGGCATGGGGGCGATGCTAGTGATGATGATGGTGGTGTGGACGGAGGTGGTGAAGACAGTGATATGGATGGCGGTGGTGATGACTGTGGTGGGGTACAGGTGTTGGGGGCGGGTGGCGGGTGATGGTGGGGACATGTGAGTAAGTGCAGCACGAGGGGATGCAGTTTGCCGGAGAGCAGCAGCAGAAGATGCTGTGTGGACACCGCCAGGGCAGGGCCTTGCCAGGGAGGCCTCAGGGTGACCAGCACTCTTGTTGCTGGTCCTGAGAGTGAGCGGCAGGTCACCAGGCAGAGCCCGTGGGGCACAACTCAGGCCTAGGTGAGAGCATCCGCAGGTGCATGCAGCTTGTTGGTCCAGTGCGGCTGAGGCAGGTCCTGGGGAGAGGCTAGCTGGAGGCTGGGGGAGAGAGCTTTCTGCAGGCAGTCAGAGGGGCATCGGAGCCTAGAACCAGAGGAGTCCCAGGATCAGGTGTGTCCTTCAGAAGGTCCCAGGGGGATTGGGAGGGGACACAAGAGAGGGACGGCAACAGGCTGGCCGGTGAGTGAGACCACCGAGGGCCCTGAGCCCAGCTCCTGCTCCTCTTCTGCCTGTCACAGAAATGCTTGTCACCCTGTGGTCTTGGAAAGATAGTCTTTACGAAGAAAAGCCAAGTACAGTGAAAATATGAAAATCCTCAACATACTGGTGAAATTTCAGGAAGACCAAAAAAGAGAGTATAGCCTTAAAAATAATAAATGTCCACCCATGATGGAGAATAAATGTAAAATGATGTGGCAAAGATTGATAAATTAGGACTGTGAAGCCTGCTGTATAATTGGGAACTGGCTTAGCTCGAGCAAGCCCTGGCCTCAGGAAAGGGGGCTGAGTGGCAGCTGGCATTAGCGGCAGCCGGAATCAATCTCCTGCCTCTGTACTTGGGAACGAGCGTCCCACGTTAGAACTGGGATGAATTTTTCAGCAGAGGAAGGTGAAATGTCAGGAAGACTGTAGATCACGCTGGCGCAGAGTCCTCGGGAAATTAGAGCCATGAAAAGCTGCCAGCGCGGCGCCCCAATGACATATGGCCAGCGTGTGTGCTCTGCATCCGCCGATGTTGCTCCCCGGGTGGTGCTCTCCGGGGAGCTAGCGTGAGAGGGGGGCTGGGTCAGCTAGTGCCACCCTCCCCGGGTCCCAGCGGCTCAGGGCCATTGACCCAGGCCCGCAGCTCGGGGACAGCCCCGGCTGCTGCTGTGACCCGCTGCTAATGAAGACCGGGGGGTGAGGGTCAGATGCACATAATGAGCCCTCTTGCCTCTGCCTTCCTCGCCCTCCCTGATCCGAATCCTGTTTTTTCCTTCATTTCTGCCCAGGCCCCAGCTTGGGCCTTGAGTTTCTCATGGGAACAAAGACAGTTTGACTCCTACAGTGACTTTTCTGAAACCCAGATCCAAACACTTACTGTGCATCTCAGAAGCTAGGGCGATAAAGCCCAGGCTCCTTACTATGCTCCTGACAGTGGGGAGAGCTGAAAATGGCTATAAATTTAGGCAGATGGGGATTTTCACCCTGGTCCCAGCATTTATTACCCCTGAGGCCTTCAGCAATTTGTGGACCTTCTCGAAGCCCGTTTATGTCCACATAAATGGGAATAATACTTGTGGGAGTCCAGCGAGTGTTCAGTGCCCATTCACCTGGAGGACTGGGCTCTGTGTCCTACTGTGAGCTGGCCCCAAGCCACCTTTTGACCTCGTCTCCTGCCATGCCTGTCCACAGTGCTCAGGTCTGTGCGCCTTGAACCCCCCCACCCACTTTTTTAACTCTCAGGCGGCATTTTGTGCTGCTCTCTCAGCCTTCGATCTTCTTCCTCCAGGTCTCTGCCTCTCAGAATCCATGTCCTCTCCCAGGGATCAGGTGATATCCAATTGGGTCCTCACTGCCTTTAACCCTCTCAGCACCCCTTTCACCTCACATGAGACTTTGTGTCTAAGGGGTGGGTGGCTGTCTGGCCCCCAGTGGGAAGAAGTGCAGCCCTCATCGCAGCTTTGGCACTGTGGACTCTGAGTTGGAGGCAGTCACCCAGCCTCATTGGGTCACTGGGTCTCCTTGAGGCTGATAGGTAATATACGTCCTGTACCTTTCTTGTAGATTTGTGTTGAAGCTGAGGTGCGAAGTGTGCATCGGAAGTAGGGTTGTCAGATAAAACACAGGATATCCTGTTAAACTTGAATTTCAGGTAAATAAGGAGTAGTTTTCAGTGTCAGTCAGTCCTGTGCCAAGTTTTTATTTCTCAATCTGGTGACCCTTATCAGTGGGTGTACCTCCATATGAGGCTTTGTTAGGTAGCATCCATTCCAGAATGAGGCCCACAGCGGTGGTCAGGCCATGACGTGCTCATGTCACAGACCAGCAGAGGCAGACAAAGCAACGTAACCATCAAGAACCTTCTCAAGCCTGGGGCACCAAAGATCTCGTTGAAGGGACCAGTGGAGGCTCTTCCCCACCCCGCCGTTATCCCCTGAGCACAGAGGCAGTGGCATCGTGGGTCCTTCTCCCTGCAAAGCTTTACCTGCAAAGCTAGGGATAAAACTTCAATTTTAAGAGACCAGAAACATGCTGACAATGATGAGCAGGTGCTGAGTGGTGGGAGGGAGCCTTGGGAGGACCATGGGAACCTGGAGATGGAATATTGGACAGGGTGTATTTTGGAGGCAGTGAGAGAAGTCCCATCATGGGGTCTGAAAAATGAACTTTGCCCCTCAGACGTGAGTCTCATCCCCACAGCAGGCACACAGAACCTTCCAGGGACTGTCTTTGCCAGGAAACTCAATTTTATGCCACAGCCGCCTAAAAAGCAGTGCAACCTTAGCCTCCGTTGACCAAGCTGTGGTCAGTGGGATGGCGGGTAAAACGTCAGAGCACACCCGGAATGCGGCCTCAGTGGCCATAGGCAGAGCAGACAGATGGGGACTGATGTGGCTGCAGGTCACTCCATGTGCAGAGTGATGGACAGATTCGGGGGGCAACTTGAGGAAATTTGGGAGCGTCCCGAGACTCATCTTCAGGCACTTCAGTTATCAGACAGAGGGGATAACTGTGTGTTGTGGCTCCAACACACAGTTATCTTGGGTCAATGAAAGCTATAGGGTGGAGGGTGTCATTTGTATGTCAGCACGAGAGTGACCGCCAGGTCCTTATGTGGTTCTGTGCGCTGTTCCAAAGAAGGCCAGGTCCAGGTTCCCGCAGGATTCAGCAGAGGCTGGGGACAACCCCGACACTGCACAGGGACCCCAGTGCCCCAAGACTGGAGCTTCATGCCCCAGGTGACTGGAGCTCCCCTCCCACCTCTGGTGCCCCAGAGTAGAGCCCCCCCGCCCAGCACCCCGCGAATGGAGCCCCCCACCACAGCATCCTGCGAGTGGAGCCCCCTGCACCCTGGGACTGGAGCTGCCGCCCACACCTCGTGACTGGAGGCCCCTGGCGCCCTGTGACTGGACCCCTAGCCCTGTACTCTGCAGACACCACCTCATGCCCTCCTGATTCTGAACGAGGGATGGTGGGTGAGACAGGAGTTAGTAGGGAGAATGTCTGGCCTGTCTTAAGCCTCAACATTTTTTGAACTAAATGAATAGAAGAAAAAGAAACTGTTGTAAGAGAATGCCACATGTTCTCAGATTTAAAATATGCCACTGCCTTCTATATGTTCTAAGTGTGAAAAAAGCAAGTCCTTGACCTTATGGGACTTGCTTGTAGCTGCCCCCTCACCCCCATAAAAATCATGCAGAATTACTTTCTAAAAATATTTTTTTTTAATGTGAAAAGAAATCATTTCTGGAATCTCAAAAGATACAAAACTACTAATTATTGTATATTTGAAAATCACATATTTCTAGGAAGAGATCATCTTGAGAGTGTGTAACAGGACCAAGGAGAAGAAAATTCTGTGGGCTTTTTCTGGTCTATCAAATAGTAAAGCTTAGAAGGTGGAGGCACTTGTGTTGATAGAGACCGTTCTACCTGTGCACATACTAGGCCTAAGTAAGTAGTAACCTTGTCTTTGCTTGCCAGTTTTCAAAGCACTCTTCAAGCTATTGCAATGTGATATTTCTGGTAATCGTCTGAGAGTGGGCATCTTCATATGCTCCATTTTTGTAAACAAGAAAATAGGAAGTTCAGAGACATTGGTTTGCTCGGGGTCTTGTACGTAAAATTTCAGAATCAAGTTTCAAGAAAAATTTATTTTTTACCCAGCAATTATTTCCCCTAACATATGGGAAACTGGGCTAATTTGTTTATTTGAAAAAAAAATTGATTGATTTGGGGGAATCATAAAATATTTATCAGTGTAACAAAGTTTAGTATATAAAATAATTTTAAATATTTGTATACCATTGAGACATAGCATACACAAGTACAACTGTACCCTGAAGATTCTTGCGTTAAATATAAATATAAGGCAGTCTTACTACAAAGTTTAGATAAGTTTTTAGTTTTAAATTATCAAGACTTTTTTTTTTTTTTTTTTTTTTTGAGACGGAGTCTGGCTCTGTCGCCCAGGCTGGAGTGCAGTGGCGGGATCTCGGCTCACTGCAAGCTCCGCCTCCCGGGTTCACGCCATTCTCCTGCCTCAGCCTCCCAAGTAGCTGGGACTACAGGCGCCCGCCACTACGCCCGGCTAATTTTTTGTATTTTTAGTAGAGACGGGGTTTCACCGTTTTAGCCAGGATGGTCTCAGTCTCCTGACCTTGTGATCCGCCCACCTCGGCCTCCCAAAGTGCTGGGATTACAGGCGTGAGCCACCGCGCCCGGCCAATTATCAAGACTTTTAAAAGCCTTTGAGAACTTACTGGTATTTCTTCTCTCCCTAAGAAAAATATTAAAAAGGAAGATTTTTATAATACCCTTAGTATCTATTTCCTGTTGTTTGGAAACCATTTGTCGTCTTCAGAACGGATAGCTATTTGCTGTAGTCAATCTTGGGTGACTGTGGAAACATTGTTTTCTGACCTTGGCGCTGAACCAAGCATGCACTCCTAATATATAAACAACTTTCCAGCTCCTTTTTCTCTAACAGAGTGTGGTGACCTTGCCGTGGGCACATAACCTCAGGGGCTGTTCTTGCTTGTGTGGGGTAGTGGCTGTGTTCTGGTGTCTGCAGTGGGGAGACGCGAATATTCCAGTTTGGAGCAGCGCAGGGAGCGTCCCTGCCCTGTGCGTACACGGGCACTGCCAGAGCCTGCACACCTGTGCGTACACAGGGGCGCTGCCAGAGCCTGCAGGGAGAATCCTACCCACACCACCGTCTCTTTCCTAACCCCCAGCTCTGCTGCCTCTCTCCCACATGATTACCTCCTTTGAACAGGTAGTAAGGGGGGTGTTAGAACAGAAGGAGGTGTGGACCGGTCTCTTCAACCTTCACTCCCATCGGGAAGCATCTGTCGTTTTGGGGTCTCAAGTCAGTGACCCTGGTCCTGGTCGAGCGCCGGCCATTTTCATGCCCTCCACTCCCACCTCCCTCGCCCACTGTTTTTCCTTTCCCGGGATGCTCTGGGTTTTGGGAGGTGGGATTTTTTGTAGACTGCATAGGCCGTATGGAGCTGGGTTGTGTGTTTATGTGCGTGTGTTTATTCCCTCTGCCAATCTCTGTCTTGTCATTGGTATACTGAGACTACTGACCTCTAAATTATTGATCTCTTAGGGCTTAACTCCGCCATGTTGTTATTTGTTTTCTGTTCTCTTTGTTTCTCATCGTTCTGTTTCTCTTTCACCTTCCTGAGTTATGTGAACGTTTTTTAATACTCCATTTTGATTTAGTTACAGTGTTTTTGAATATACAACTCTGTAGAGGTGCTTTGATGCTTGCTCTAGATATTACAATATACGTATGTCACTTACCAAACCCACAGTTATTGGCATTTTCCTACCTCGAGAGGAATAGAGGAGCCCCACTTCCATCGAGGCCATCTCTGCCCTCCCACTTTAAGAATATAATTGTCTTAAGTGTTTTCTCTCTGTACATTGACCATCAGATGTGGTGGTGTAATTTTTTCGCCAACCATCAAATATGGTTTAAGAAGCTCACGAGGAGAAAGATGTCTACTGTATTTACTGGTTTTTGCCCATTCGTTGTTCTTTTCTTTCAGAAGTTCTAAGCCTTTTTTCATTATAATTTCTTTCCGTTTGAAAAATTTTCTTTATCCATCCTTTGAGGGTAGGTCTGCTTGTGGCAAACTTCCTTAGTTTTCCTCCTTTTGAAAATATCTTTATTTCCCTTTCATTCCTAAGGATACTTGCAGTGAATATAAACTTCAAGGTTGACAATTCTTTGAAAAATGGAAATATTTGAAAAATATTGTTCTGCTTTGTTCTGGTCTCTGGTTTCGGGTGAGAACTTGGTGATCCAGTTTGAATGAAGAGCAGAGGCTGCTTTCAATTTTCGTTCTTGTCTTTAGTTTTCAGAAGTCTAATCGTGCCATGTCTTGGAATAGCTTTCTTGGGGTGTATGCTACTTGAGATTTTCTCAGGCTCTTGAATCTGTAGGCAACGTCCTTCACCAAATTCGAGGACTCTCTGTCCATTATTCCCACAAATGCTTTTCAACCTCACTTTCTCCTCTCTGGAGACTGAGGCCATCTGCTATTGTCCCGCATTCCTGAGGCTGTTCATTTTTTTTTCCGTCTATTTTCTCTCTGGTCTGGTGTTCAAATTGGACATTTCCTGTTGTTCTGTCTTTAAATGTTTTCTCTGCCATATTTATTGTGCTGCTATTGAACTCATCCATTTGGTTCTTTTTTATATCTTTCATCTCTTTGTTGAAATTTTCTGAGTTTTTCCCTTTATTTGTTTCAAGAGAAGAGTCCCTCATGGAAGCATCTTTATGGCGGCTGCTTTAAGATCATCCTGTCCATTGACTGTCTTTTCTCATTCAAATTTTGATTTCCTGGTTCATGGGAAACTCTGGGTCATATTTCAGTCACCCTGTTTAGGTTTGGGGACTGGGTCCTGGCCTTCTTCCACGGGCTGTGTTTCCAGTGGCAGCTGTCAGAGCCCCACAGTCTGTGCAAGTGGGCCTCATTCTCTGAGGCCTCCGTGGCCACACACGGCCGACAGCGTCGGCCAGCGCTGGAATGTTCTTCCTGGGGCTGGTGTGGCTCTGTTGTGTGTGGGAGACGCCGAGAGCATTCCCAGGCCTGTTCTTTTTTTAATTGATATAGCATAGAGGTACATATTTTGGAGGTACATGTGATATTTTGATACATGTATACAATGGGTCATGATCAAATAGGATCATTTGGGATAACCAAATGGCTAACATATCTTTCCTTTGTGTTGGGAACATTACAATTCTCTTCTGCTATTCTGAAATATACAGTAAAGTTTTGTTAACTCTAATTTTCCTACTATACTATCAAATACTAGAACTTATTCCTTCCATATAACTATGTTTATACCATTCACCAGCTTCTCTTCATCCCTGCCTCACTTCTTTTCCCAGCCTCTGGTAACGGGCAGTCTACTCTCTCCCTCCAGGAGAAGTGCGTTTTAGCTGGCACATGAGCGAGAGTGGGGATGCCGTCTTTCCGTGCCCGGGCTGCTCCTGAGGCTGTGCGCAGGTAGTGGGCAGGGCGGGGCTCTTGTTTCCTGGCTGCCTGGTGCTGCTCCTGCAGAAGTGGGGCTGCTGGTTCTATTGCACAGAGACAGTCTCCATAGGCCTGCTTTCTGGGGCCCCAGCATGGTAGGGCTCCTGCATGAACACTGTGCCACTGAGGAAGGGAGGCACCCACCCCAATGCCCTCTACCTCTGGCTTGGGGCCGGGAGACATTAGGGCAGGAGCCGCTGGGTCCGGGGAGACACTGGCAGGAGCTGCTGGGTGAGGGCTGGGAGGGGCTGTCTGGAGTTTTTGACACATATTGGAATTTGGGCTGGGCACAGTGGCTCACACCTGTAATCCCAGCACTTTGGGAGGCTGAGGTAGGCGGATCATTTGAGGTCAGGAGTTTGAGACCAGCCTGTCCAACATGGTAGAACCCCATCTCTACTAAAATACAAAAATTAGCAGGGTGTGGTGGCAGGCGCCTGTAATCCCATCTACTCAGGAGGCTGAGACAGGAGAATCACTTGAACCCAGGAGGGGGAGGTTGCAGTGAGCCCGGATCACGCCACTCCAGCCTGGGCAATAGAGCAAGACTCCCTCCAAAAAAATAAATAAATTAAAAAAAAAATAAAAAGATTGGAGTTTGAAACCGTATATTTATGTACATCCTAAATAGCAAATATAGGAAAAGGAGTTCTCTTTTTTGACTCTATAACTATACAGTACAGTTGACTTTGAACAACATGGGTTTGGACTGGGGGGGTCCACTTACGCATGGATTTTCTTCTGCCTCTGCTGCCCCTGAGGCAGCAAGACCAACACCTCCTCTTCCTCCTCCTCAGTCTGCTCAGTGTGAAGACGACAGGATGAAGAGCTTTATGATGATCCCACTTCCACTTAATGAATAGTCAATATATTTTCTCTTCCTTATGATCTTCCTAAAAATGTTTTCTTTTCTCTAGCTACTTAATTATAACAATATAGTCTGTAATACATTTGTCATACAAAATATGTTAATCTACTATTTATGTTAGTACAGCTTCTGGGCAACAGTGGGCTATTAGTAGTTAAGTTTTTGGGGAGCCAAAAGTTACACACAGATTTTTCAGTTGTGTTGGGGTTTGGTGCCCCTAAACTGTGTGTTGTTTATGGCCCAACCGTAATTTCATAAAGAAAACCAAACTTCTTATGACAAAAAGTAATATATGATATCACCAAAAACGAGTGACCAGGGAATAAGTTAAAGAATCTTAGATAATGAATTCTGCATAAAACACTAACCTGGGAAACAGAAGGGGGGAAAAGAGAACAAATCCAACCAAATATCCATAGAAACCCAGAATGTGGGAAAGGTGTGTACAGCGCTGTTCAGAGGAGCCAAGGGAAGGGGCGGGGCGGGACCCAGGCCACCGCTAGCATGACGAAATGATGACTTCGGGCCTCTGTCCCTCAGGCTGAATGCGTCTGCGCTGGGTGCCCATGCAGCTCACCCCAGTTTCGTTTTTGTGTCTGTCAATAAGTTCAGCACAGTATTGTTTGTAAAAGGCGTGGCTTTACATTGTAGTGGGCTCAGACCCAAGTGACTGCCTCGGAACTCAGTAGAAAGGGGGGAAGCAGCGATTTGAAATTTTCAGGTCATAGAATTGGCGTGATGATGGTAATATGTAACAAGGAGTCATCTTGTAGGAAAATACAGAATAAATAGGAAAGAAAGGAGAACAGAGCCTATGAACCGCCTGGGAGGAGGTGAGAATTTATCAGAAATGGATATGACAGACACTTAGAAGACTGTCTGGATATAGACATAAATGAAAGGGGTGAGTTGAAACTGTCAGATCACTTTCAGCCTGGCTGTGGGAGAGATTGTGGCGGTGTCGTCAATGGTGAGGGCCTTTCTGGAGGGCGGGCAGGTCCCCCTTTGTCTGTCTTTCCCCGTCTCCTGCACCTGCTCCTCCCCAGGGTTGTCAGGTCTGTGAAGGTGGCCCCAGTCCGTTACTCAATGGGGGCACAGGACAGGAGTGGAGGGCTGAACTGGACGGCAGTGGAGGGTTGAACTGGATGGGAGTGGAGGGTTGAACTGGACAGGAGTGGAGGGCTGAACTGACGGGAGTGGAGGGTTGAACTGGACGGGATTGGAGGGCTGAACAGGACGGGAGTGGAAGGTTGAACTAGATGGGATTGGAGGGTTGAACTGGACGGGAGTGGAGGGCTGAACTGATGGGACTGGAGGGCTGAACGGGATGGAAGTGGAGGGCTGAACTGGACGGGAGTGGAGGGTTGAACTGGACGGGACTGGAGGGCTGAACTGGACGGGAGTGGAGGGCTGAACTGTACGGGAGTGGAAGGTTGAACTGGACGGGATTGGAGGGCTGAACAGGACGGGAGTGGAAGGTTGAACTGGATGGGATTGGAGGGTTGAACTGGACGGGAGTGGAGGGCTGAACTGATGGGACTGGAGGGCTGAACTGGACGGGAGTGGAGGGCTGAACTGGTTGGGAGTGGAGGGTTGAACTGGACGGGAGTGGAGGGTTGAACTGGACGGGAGTGGAGGGTTGAACTGGACAGGAGTGGAGGGTTGAACTGGACGGGAGTGGAGGGTTGAACTGGACGGGAGTGGAGAGTTGAACTGGACGGGATTGGAGGGCTGAACTGGACGGGACTGGAGGGTTGAACTGGACGGGATTGGAGGGTTGAACTGGACGGGAATGGAGGGCTGAACTGGATGGCAGTGGAGGGCTGAACTGGACGGGACTGGAGGGCTGAACTGGACGGGAGTGGAGGGCTGAATTGGACGGGACTGGATGGCTGAACTGGACGGGACTGGAGGGCTGAACTGGACAGGAGTGGAGGGCTGAATTGGACGGGACTGAAGGGCTGAATTGGACGGGAGTGGAGGGTTGAACAGGACGGGAGTGGAGGGCTGAACTGGACGGGACTGGAGGGCTGAACTGGACGGGAGTGGAGGGCTGAATTGGACGGGAGTGGAAGGTTGAACTGGACGGGATTGGAGGGCTGAACAGGACGGGAGTGGAAGGTTGAACTGGATGGGATTGGAGGGTTGAACTGGACGGGAGTGGAGGGCTGAACTGATGGGACTGGAGGGCTGAACTGGACGGGAGTGGAGGGCTGAATTGGACGGGACTGAAGGGCTGAATTGGACGGGAGTGGAGGGTTGAACAGGACGGGAGTGGAGGGCTGAACTGCAGGTGTCAGGATCACATAGTCTTGGTTGCTGGATGTGGAGCAGAACCATGTCTTCTGATGAGGTTGCCTGGGTGATTCTGAGAAACGCTGGGAACCCTGGACACTTTGTTCCTCAGCCCTGGCCATCTCAACTCCGATCTCGCCAGACCACCTCCCCGCGCACAGCACGCTGTTCCCTGGATCTCTGCAGCCTTGCGTGGCGCTCCGTGGGGTCTTGGGAAGATCATCTCTGTGGCTTCACCGCTGCCTGTCCGCGTGCCTGGGCGTTTCCAGCCCTTCAGATGGATCCTTTCTGTGTGAACTTGGTGACCGTGTCTGTCTTCCTACATCAGAGTCAGCAAATCACACAGTGGGGATTTTGTAACAGGAAATCTTTTCAAACCATGCAACAAGTACTGTAAATCGGAGATTTGAGTGATAGGGTTTTATGAGAATCTTCATTATTCAACCCAAATTATATGACTGTATAAGATTTTTAACAGTCTTCCTTTGACAGCGATTGACTCTTTGGGGTTATACTCTGTCTGTTATGGCTGGTCAGCCTGCTGTGATTCCCGGTCCTCCCAGCACCCGATGGATCCCGCCGTCTGCCAGCAGAGGGCGAAGCTTCCCGGGCGCAGAGGCCGCACCGTATCACGTGTCGTCTATTGTGTTCACGGTGCCGGGAAACACTCAGAAGTCAGGTTGCCGGCGTCTGGCGGGTTTGTGGCTGCTCCTTATCTTTGGAGTAGTCTTCCTGTGCTTGGGGAAATTTCCTAGGTTATTAGTCGCATTTCCCAATATGAAAATAAGAAATCTATTTTCCAGTTTCGCTGTGACCCGACTCTGCTGGCCTGAGCATTTGGGTGAGACTGATTCAGACGTGGCAGCGTGAGGGGACAGTGGGGGCTGCCACTGCTGCTGTGAGTGGCGGTCGAGGTGGCAGCAGTGCCGGTGACTTCCAGGTGGTGGTCGGTCCCTGGCACGCAGCAGCCTAAGGCAGCAGCAGAGCTGTGGGGTGGCTTCCTTTGTGCTGGATGGGGGCCGCAGAGACTCCCCTGCTGGGCCATGGCCCTGGTGAGGCTCCGAGCTTGGCCCCCAGAGGCTCCCCTTAGCCTGGCCCTCGGCATGGCTGGTGAGAGTGAGCTGCCTGGCACCCCTCCCCTTCCACCCAGCCCCTCACGTTGATCTCCTTTTCTGCTTAATCAGCCGGAGCCAGCTTTTGTGAATTGCAACTAAAAGTGCAGCAAATACACGTGACGTTGGGCTGTGTAAGTCCCCAGGCTGGGGATGGTTACATAGGTGGACACAAGGGCACTGGCTGTCACCACAACTGAGTGCAGCTGTGAGCCAGCGCCACTGTCACTTTTCAGCGGTCTTCATATTTAATCTCCACAACTCTTGAGTCACAATTTCAGTTTTACAGATGAAAAAAACGGAGTCAGATTTCGTGTCCCTGCTGTGGCTGCCCAGGCCCTCCCTCCTGCTGACCTTGGCCCTGGAGCTTCTGCCCTTTTCCTCTGTTCTGTTCTCAGTATTGATCCCTCTCTGCTGCATGCCAGACGCCCTGCTGGAGCGCCCCGAGCTCAGCCATGCAGACACGGCTGGCCTGGCCTTTGGGAGCCTGTCGTCTGATGGGAAGACAGACACAAAGCAAGCAGTTCACCCAGAGTGACAGTGACAAGGTGGCGGGGGTTCCAGGATGCAGGGAGGGCTGTGGATCCGCAGCGGGCCTGGGCTTCTGGCAATGGCCACTGCAATGGGGCACAACCTCTGGTTCCGCGACGTCACGTCACTGCCATCGCTGTCTTCATCCGGCCTGTCGCCATCCACCAACTGCACTCAGGATCAGCTTGCTAAAGCCCAGCAGCAGAAGGAGAAGCAGCCAACAGAAAAGAACTGGGAGGCAAAGAAAGGAGAGTGTGGTGCTGGGAGGATGAGACAGCATGAGAAAGCCAAGGACCTGGATTTCAGAAGAGGGATTGTCTTCTAATTGCTTGAAACCGCAGTTTGCCACTCACCACACGTTTTATTTAAATTTAAATTTTAATTAATTGTTAACATTTAAATTTTTTGTAGAGACAGGGTCTTGCTGTGCTGCCCAGGCTTCACCAGAACCACAGAATATCAGGCGGTGACTCTGATCCTGTGATTCATTAGACATTGGCCCAGAGGCACCCTCGTTAAACTCAAAGCTGATTGAGTTTAGGAAATCAGGGGTTTTCTTTTTGCTGTATGCCGGAAAGTTTTCAGGTGGCTGGATCTGGAACCCCAAGTCGCTGAGGGAGTATTCTATACACAGGTTTCTTGAATTCAGTTCCACTCTGGAGATTTTCCCACTGCTGGCGTGGCCTCAGGAGCCCTGTAAAAGAGTCCTGTGAGCTTCTGCTTTATCGCATCTGGCAGTCTCTCCGCCTTCAGAGCCCTCATGGTGGTCCTGTCAAATCCTAACTGATGCGCTGCTCCGCCTTCTGGCCTCCTGACCCTTGTTTTAGAAGTGAGAAGCCCAGATGTGAGTTCTAAATTTGTTTTTATTCCCACGTGTTCCTGATAGAAACACCTACCACATCTAACACCTAAGACATTTTAAATGGTGGGTTTGAGTATCCACAGGTATCAAAGATGACTAACCATCCCTTGCCACTTGTCACTTTATTTTTATCCTACTGTGTTATTTTATCACCTTGAGACTGTATTTAATCAGTCTCTGAAATGAAAATAAGAGGTTTGAGGTGTCAAACAAATATTATAAGACCAGAAACACTTTTCTCGTTTGGTTTTGTTTTTAACACAGTTCAGGTATGTTTGGCCACCATTGTGGGTACCTGAGTAAGAACTAATTACTCAATAATGAGCCTGGCCCACTTGGAAGAAGAAAGAGCATTGTCTGACTTAGTGACCTGGCCTGGGAGACTCCTCAGTGTTCAGATGGCTGTCCCCTGGCAGGCACAGGGAGTGAAGGCCAGTTCTCCTTGGAGCATTCTCTAACTTAGTGACCTGGCCTGGGAGACTCCTCAGTGTTCAGATGGCTGTCCCCTGGCAGGCACAGGGAGTGAAGGCCAGTTCTCCTTGGAGTCCCCGGGACCTGCCTCCATGCTTGTTGTTGTGAAGGGGTCAGAAAGAAGATGTGTGTTTGTTGCCGTCTACTGCATCTCACTTGGAACTGAGTCACTCATCCCGGAAGCTGCATCTGAAAAGCAAGGCTCATTGCGGAATCTCATGCAGACACAGAGGAACTTGCGTGCCCGTGATGCTGACCTCTGCTTGTCCAAAGAAACTGTCATTTCCCAAAACATTTTTGGAACTTTTCTTTCAGAAATGCTCTAAAAGTCAGCTTCAGTGCCATCTGAGAAAATCTCTCTGCTGTGTTTTTGTAGGATACTTTTTGGCTCCTGATAATTTAGCCCTATGAATCATCTTTTTCATTCATCAGGCTGGCCTCTGAGATTTTTGACTATTTTGAGAACTGTACCCTGAAAAACAAGATTTCTCCTAATGAAGAACACACAGAAGCCTGTGCTGTTGGAATTGGCACTGTCCGGAGTTCACAGGTTCACTCGCTCACTCGCTGTTTATAACCCATGACATATATACTCTCTTGTAGAAAACATGCCTGGGCGACAGCTGGTTTACAAACGCTTTTGGACCATTAGGTATTTGTATGATTGGGACATCGGGACTTCCCAGCATCATCCAGAAATAAGTGCATTGTGTGTACCTTCTTGTTTTTGTTTTTGGTTGATTCTTTTTTTTTTTCATGGAAATGGTATTGGCAAGAAGGCTGTTTGATAGGGTATTAGCGCGAAAGCCCATTTGACCCTGAAGTACAGCCTTGAGAAACGGACACATTGGAGAGGCTGTGAGGCAAGGATGTGGCCGTGGACATGCAGGTGGCATTGAGGCGAGACTGCTGGGAGCCCAGTCCAGGCTTTTTAGGGAGCAATGATGAAGGCACTGTAAGAGCAGAGGAGGGGTGCTTGCATCCTGAAGCTGAGGCACTGACGAGAAGGAGAGGGGGCGGGCCTGTGTAAAGGCATTTAGATAGACCTGTGCTGGAAAGACCAGAAGCCA
This sequence comes from Homo sapiens, assembly GCF_000001405.40. Classification (NCBI taxonomy): domain Eukaryota; kingdom Metazoa; phylum Chordata; class Mammalia; order Primates; family Hominidae; genus Homo; species Homo sapiens. Next base: position 3,300,333 of record NC_000002.12, on the reverse strand, counting down.
GCCATTCATATGTAATCACTGTCTAGGTACAAAGGAGAGTACATGTGTTACAGGGGAAACTGTCGTTTTAATGGACCAAATAGAATTTTGGAGTTTTGACATCTTAAAACTAGTTTTCCATAATATAGGACATTCATTTTGCAATTGTGAAAACTGGGAGGTTAAAAGTCTTGTTTGGGATTTCACAGGGTTGAATTATATGAAATTGCTGAAATTTGACCCTTTTTGACCTATAAGAATGGCAGTTTCATATGGTTCAAACTATTGATTTAGTGATCCAGCCACAGCTGTCTGCACTGGAGTTTGCGCTTTGCCAGGCCAGGCTGCATACCTCACTGGGGAATCTTAGGGTCCCTGTCAAGAGGCACCTTGGAGACCAAATAGTGTGACTCTTGCGTCATAAATTTGCTGAGTCTGGGCTCTGAGCACTTGAGTGACTGGCCCAGGATCACTCGACTGTGAGTGGTGGTGCCGAGACTGGGAACGAGATCCTTTTCACTCACTGCCTAGAGAACCAAGCTTTCTACAGACTGTCAAGAGAGGGAATGCAGCTTGGTGAATGACATCTTAGGGACGTATAAGATTGCATGTAAACTGCCAGGTTGTCTGTCTTCCGTGATTTGGCAAAACCTAAGAAGAGCTTACATAGCTTACACGTATGGCCATAACTCAAAGTGTGTGTGTGTGTGTGTGTGTGTGTGTGTGTGTGAGAGAGAGAGAGAGAGAGAGAAAATATTTTCCTTTCTGAAATTTAAAACATACAAATGGGAATTTCAGCAGGCTATAGTGTCAAAGTCAATAGTATGATTTGCCCATTAAAACAAAAAGCCAATCTAATCCAAGGACTCTCTTTTCCTAAGAGAAGGAGATATTCGTAACAAGGCCGCGCCCAGTCAGATCACATCCATGTGGCATCCAGCTCTCAGAATGCCATCAGCAGAGCCCCAAGCAGAGTCGCTGGGACAATGAGCTGACCCAGGGCCGAGCACTGCAGGACAAGGGGCCAGGACAGTGAGCTGACCCAGGGCCGAGCACGGCAGGACGGGGGGCCAGGACAATGAGCTGACCCAGGGCGGAGCACTCCAGGACAGGGGGCAGTCCATGGAGGCTCACGCGGGAGGCCCTGTGGAGAGACAGACACAGCGACATTCTCAGCAACAGCTAGGACTTGTGATGAATCTTGGCTTCCTGAAGTCCAGAACTCACCCTGGTCATCTCATTACTTTTGAAAAATGAGAACCCCCATTTTAAATGTTTGAGGCTTTTTGGCCTCATTAATAGTGCTATGGTGGGGCTTTCCTGTATCTGTGGGGCTGTTAAGCGGGAGAGGACTGGACCTTCTCTTTCTGATCCCAGGGCAAAGATCTGAGCGCAGTGAGCAGGAGCGGGGTAGGTAAGGGAGAAGTTAACACCGAGTCAGACGATGTCCCCTGGAAGGCTGGGCTTGACGTCTGCAGCTGTCCCAGAGCTGTACGTGTCTTCTCCCAGGAAGCATTTGTGCCGACACTGGAATGCCTTCTTATGGGGGGTGAGTCTTCTGACAGTGGTTGGATAGAGTGTGGTTGGGGGTTCCTTCCCTCATGGAGAGCCCGAGCACCTTAGAGAACACGGCCCCTCTTTGGCTGCTGTCAATCCTTGTGTGGAGCATTTCTGAATACTGAGTGAGCTCTTGGTATAGGAGATCAAGAACCCACGACATCTTCTCGGGGGAGGACACCGGAATTTGCTTGTTGAGATCTGAGGACACTCAGCCAGGGGAGGATCATTATTACAGAACCAATTTACCAACACCATCGAGATCGTAAGATCCTAGATACTATCAGGATGACTTTGGAGGCCATAACTCCCTTCTGATTAATTTTATCTCTTTCAAGGGCATGACGACAGACAAGATGGGTCCAGGGGAAGCAATAGATGTAATCTGACACTAGCAAGACTTGGATTCTCTCCCACACAACCCAGCCATCAATAAAACGGCAGTATCTAGGCCAGACCAGTGGCTTTCAAATCTTGTTTTAAAGCTACCGAACCCATTTTCACAAGTGACAAGGAACCCCAATATATAAGCCTGTAATAGACATATAAATAAAACCCCGGTATGTGAAACGGGTAAGAGTGGGGCTGCAGTGGCAGAAGGAGTGGGCCGCACGAATCTCAAGCCTTTCTCTGCTAACAAGCATCTGTTAAGGGAATGAAGGGAAAATACAATAAATAGAGCAGGAAATGTATAGCATTATCCATGAGTCCCAACTGTCTGAGATGGCAGATCTTTTGGTGATGACCCCCTCTCTGACCCATAGGCTCAAAAGTGCCTGGCACATAGTAGGCACTGAGAAAGTATTTGTTGAATGTAGTGAATGAGCAAATGAACAAAGGGTTTCTCCTAAATCTCCTTAAAAAGCAAGACAAAGCTGAACCCGGGAGGCAGATCTTGCAGTGAGCTGAGATGGAGCCACTGCACTCCAGCCTGGATGACAGAACGAGACTCCATCTCAAACAAACGAACAAAAAAAGAAGCAAGACAAAGCTTTTCATGGTCTAGGAGAGGGGCCAGGAAACCACAGCCACAGCTAATTCTGGCCCACTACCTGGTTTTGTGAATAAAGTTTTATTGGCACCCAGACACACTCGCTTATTTCTGTAATGTCTGTGGCTGATTTTGCTCTACAGAGTAACTGCGATAAAGACTGTGTGGCCTGCAAAGCCAAAAATATTTATGACCTGGCCCTTTACAGAAAAAGTTTGCCGTCCCTTGGACTAGAATGCAAGGGAGAACCTGGCTGTTTCCCCTGGGCATGAGGCTGAACTGGGAGGTAGAACCTCGTAGCTCAACTCTTCTGAAACTGGTTGAACTCCGTTGTAGAAGGGACTTTGAAAATCTGCTCATCTACAGCCCTTATTTAACTGTTAGGGCAAATGCCCACCATCTGCTGAGCCCTGTGCTTACCACTTGCCTCACCAGCGGTGTAAGATGTGAATGGCTGTCTCTGCATGCTGCAGGTGAGGCAGGTGTGGCTGAAACACTCACTTCATGCCACTCAGCCTTCTTTTATACTCCACTGAAACATCAGCCTTTCCTCGCCCCCACCCTCTTTATTCCGTAGTCGGATTCCATCGATGCTGTTTTCACAGTGTCCCACACGCCTCTTTCTTTTGTGGTCACCAGATACATGCTGAGCTCCTAGCATGTGCCACACTGTCCCAAATGCTGGAGCCACAGACACAATTAAGCCCACCTAATCCCTGCCACCCAGGAGCTCATGGACAAAAGGAAGTGATTCTGGTACAGAGAGAAACTGCCACCACCTGCCTGCCGGATGGGTGCCGGGAGAAGTAGATGGCTTCCAGGCTAGGCAGGAGAACAAGATTAGCTCTTAATTGGAAACCCCTAAGGAAACAAGTCAGAGACTCGGAGAGACTTGGTCCTAGACAGCTGAGGTTGAAGAAAGGTCAGAGCCCTGGTTTCACCTGTGAGGACAAAGATGCCCAGAGCTGGATGGGCAGTGTGTGGGTGCAGAGAGGACAGGCTGGATGGACAGTGTGTGTGCAGAGAGGGAACAATCTGTGTGTGTAGAGAGGATAGGCTGGATGGAGGGTGTGTGTGTGTAGGGAGGATGGGCTGGATGGATTCTGTAGGCAGAGAGAGGACGGGCTGGATGGAGGGTGTGTGTGTAGACGGGATGGGCTGGATGGAGGTGTGTATGTGTGTAGAGAGGATGGGCTGGATGGAGGGTGTATGTGTAGAGAGGATGGGCTGGATGGAGTGTGTGTGTGTATACAGAGGATGGACTGGATGGAGGGTGTGTGTGTAGAGAGGATGGGCTGGTTGGAGGGTGTGTGTGGAGAGGATGGGTTGGATGGAGGGTGTGTGTGTGGAGAGAGGATGGGCTGGATGGAGGGTGTGTGTTTGCAGAGGGGGTGAGCTGGATGGAGGGTGTGTGTGTGCAGAGAGAGGATGGGCTGGATGGAGGGTGTGTGTGTGTAGAGAGAGAACGGGCTGGATGGAGGGTGTGTGTGTGTAGAGAGGATGGGCTGGATGGAGGGTGTCTGTGTGTGGTGAGGATGGGCTGGATGGAGGGTGTCTGTGTGTGGTGAGGATGGGCTGGATGGAGGGTGTCTGTGTAGAGAGGATGGGCTGGATGGAGGGTGTATGTGTGCAGGGAGAGGAGGGGCTGGATGGAGGGTGTGTGTGTGCAGAGAGGATGGGCTGGATGGAGGGTGTGTGTGTAGAGAGGATGGGCTGGATGGAGGGTGTGTGTGCAGAGAGAGGAGGGCTGCATGGAGGGTGTGTGTGAGTAGAGAGGATGGGCTGGATGGAGGGTGTGTAGAGAGAGGATGGGCTGGATGGAGGGTGTGTGTGCAGAGAGAGGATGGGCTGGATGGAGGGTGTGTGTGTGCAAGGAGAGGATGGGCTGGATGGAGGGTGTGTAAAGAGAGAATGGGCTGGATGGAGGGTGTGTGCAGAGAGAGGATGGGCTGGATGGAGGGTGTGTGTGTGCAGGGAGAGGATGGGCTGGATGGAGGGCGTGTTTGTAGAGAGGATGGGCTGGATGGAGGGTGTGTGTGCAGAGAGAGGACGGGCTGGATGGAGGGTGTGTGTATGTAGAGAGGATGGGCTTGATGGAGGGTGTGCAGAGAGAGGAGGGCTGCATGGAGGGTGTGTGTGAGTAGAGAGGACGGGCTGGATGGAGGGTGTGTGTATGTAGAGAGGATGGGCTTGATGGAGGGTGTGCAGAGAGAGGAGGGCTGGATGGAGGGTGTGTGTGTGGAGAGAGGATGGGCTGGATGGAGGGTGTGTGTGGAGAGACGATGGGCTGGATGGAGGGTGTATGTGTGCAGAGAGGATGGGCTGGATGGAGGGTGTGTAGAGAGAGGATGGGCTGGATGGAGGGTGTGTGTGTGCAGAGAGGATGGGCTGGATGGAGGGTGTGTGTGTAGAGAGGATAGCCTGGATGGAGGGTGTGTAGAGAGAGGATGGGCTGGATGGAAGGTGTGTGTGTGTAGAGAGGATGGGCTGGATGGAGGGTGTGTGTGGAGAGAGGACGGGCTGGATGGAGGGTGTGTGTGGAGAGAGGACGGGCTGGATGGAGGGTGTATGTGTGGAGAGAGGACGGGCTGGATGGAGGGTGTGTGTGTGTAGAGAGGACAAGCTATATGGAGGGTGTGTGTGTGTAGAAAGGACATGCCGGATGGAGGTTGTGCATGGAGAGAGGATGGGCTGGATGGAGGGTGTATGTGTGGAAAGAGGATGGGCTGGATGGAGGTGTGTGTGGAGAGAGAATGGCCTGGATGGAGGGTGTATGTGTGCAGAGAGTATGGGCTGGATGGAGGGTGTGTGTGTGTGTGTGTAGAGAGGATGGGCTGGATGGAGGGTGTGTGTGTGTGTGTAGAGAGGATGGGCTGGATGGCGGGTGTGTGTGCAGGGAGAGAATGGGCTGGATGGAGGGCATGTGTATAGAGAGAGGTTGGCTGGATGGAGGGTATGTGGAGAGAGGATGGGCTGGATGGAGGGTGTGTGGAGAGAGGATGGGCTGGATGGAGGGTGTGTATGTAGAGAGAGGATGGGCTGGATGGAAGGCATGTGTATAGAGAGAGGATGGCTGGATGGAGGGTGTGTGTAGAGAGGATGGGCTGGATGGAGGGTGTGTGTAGAGAGGACGGGCTGGATGGAGGGTGTGTGTTTGGAGAGAGGATGGGCTGGATGGAGGGTGTGTGTGGAGAGAGGATGGCCTGGATGGAGGGTGTATGTGTGCAGAGGATCGGCTGGATGGAGGGTGTGTGTAGAGAGGATCGGCTGGATGGAGGGTGTGTGCAGAGAGGATCGGCTGGATGGAGGGTGTGTGTGTGTAGGGAGGATGGGCTGGATGGAGGGTGTGTGTTTGGAGAGAGGATGGGCTGGATGGAGGGTGTGTGTGTGTGGAGAGGATGGGCTGGGTGGAGGGTGTGTGTGGAGAGAGGATGGCCTGGATAGAGGGTGTATGTGTGCAGAGAAGATCGGCTGGATGGAGGGTGTGTGCAGAGAGGATCGGCTGGATGGAGGGTGTGTGTGTGTAGGGAGGATGGGCTGGATGGAGGGTGTGTGTTTGAACATCAGTTCAAGGACACAGGTCAAAGCCAGGTCACGAGTCAGCTAAGCTGGTTGAAAGCAGTCACATGGTTATAATTATTCCTCCTGTGGGATTCTCCTAATGAACAATATTACTTCTACACAATAAGATTATCATTTATGACTTTAAATGTATTTGTTAAATGGTTATACATAATTTTTTGTTTACTGATTTTGAAAAGTTCAAGAATGAAAACATTATTTGCACTTTGGATATCATCAAAGAATTGTTTAGGTTCATATTTGTTAAAGTGTTTGGAGTCTGTGGTGTTCAAATAGCCACCATTCCATTTAATTAAATTTAAGGAAGAAAAATCTTTCTTTTTGAATAATGTGTGGTTTCTGTAGCTTCACAGAACATTAAAGGACATGTTTAGACATTAACGTGTTCGGCGACAGACAAATTCAAAATTGTCTGTGATCAAGTTGAAGATGACTTGATCATTGCCTTAAAATAATAACAGGCTGCCTCTGCGTCCTGGGGTGGGTCTCACCTGCAGCATATTAAGAGAGTTTACCTGCTGCTGTGGCCACCTGCATCCAACAGCTGTCGGGACCATTCCTTTCCTGAAAACCCGGGAGGACTGTCACCACATGCGTCCAGAGTGATGGGGAGAAGTGGAGCAGAGGTTAAGGGGCTGAGGTGCCCGTGGGGACTGGTCCAGTCGTGGCTGATGGGCCCGTCTTTGAAGCAGGTCTTCTGTGTGCTGTTTTGCAGCCTAAACGGCTGTCTGGGTGCCAGGACCCTCCTGAGCAGTCCGGGTTCTCCCTGGGGCATGCAGCTTTGCCATGAGAGAAAAAGCAGGCCACATCTGATTGGTCCAGGCCCTCCCCACGCATGGACTCACAGGCTATAGCAGCATTTCCCTCTGTCTTCCACCACGCCCCTCCTGAAGTCTTCCAAGGGCCTCCTGGAGGAGCCACTGACCCAGTAAAGATGCCCTTTCCTGAGCCTGCTAGGAAAGGTGTCCTGGGAACCCGGTTAGAGTGCTGCAGGCCGGCTCAAGGGGAGGCCCTCATCTGTGCTAGAATGTTGCTGAGTTAAGCTCAACTCACCGAGCAAGCCATGCCACCAGGCTATAGATTGTAGGGTGATAGTTTGTCGAGATTGTTCTGTGATGGAATGAAAGGAAACAGAGGAAGACTCGTAGGCTGGCAGAGGACTTGGGAGAATGCACATGGGTGCAGAAGAGCTCAGGCCTGGGCCAGTGTCTGCCCAGAAAGGCTTCATGGGACCGGGGTAGCAGGGCTTATTTCGTTTAATGTGGAAAAGGAACGTTCTCTCTCCCTTTCTCGTTTTCTGCAAATGACAGTCTTTTTTGGACCTAGCCACTAAGGTTTATATTTAGTTTTAGTTTTTTTTTTTTTTCAAAACATTTTTGCTCTCTGTCTCATATCTCATTATTTTCAGTAACAGTTGAATTCATTATAAAGAAATCAACATTATTTTAATCTTCCACATAGTACTGGCATCATCTTGGCAGAAGTTGCCGTAATGTAGATGAGAGCTTTTTGGTGGTGGTCACCTGTTCATCACATGAGGCTGCGTGCCTTGGAGGCAGCACAGACGTCAGCATCAGACATACCTGGATTTGAGTTCCGGCTCTGGCACGGAGGCTGTATGGCCTTGGGGAGGTCTCTTAGGCTTAGACTCATTCCTCATAAAAGAGGGACAGCAGCACCTATCTGGAGATCGCTCTGGGGATTAAGGAGAGGTACTTGTGAGGTGCGCAGAGCCGGCTGTCTGTGAGGTACGGGGGGCTGTCCCCGCAACAGCATGGTGAGCATGGGGGAAGTATGTGGGCCTGTTGTGAGGTGCACAGAGCCGGCTGTCTGTGAGGTGTGGGGGGCTGTCCCCCCAACAGCGTGGTGAGCATGGGGGAAGTATCTGGGGCCTGTAGGGCTCACGGTCTTTTTTGTACGAGTATCTTATGAAGGGGCACTTGAAGATGATAAACCATTAACATAAATGATGGGTCAGCCACTTAATGGACTGGGTCCCAGTCTGGCCGCGCAGTCACCTGAGGACTTAGGGAAAGTTCCAGTGCTGCAGGCCTCACCTTGACCCAGAATATTTCCCAACAGGGCCCCAGATGTTAGTAGGTTCATTCCTGAGTGATGTTAGCATGGAGCCAGAATGGAAAACTCTTCAACCTTCCTCACAGAGCAGAGCATGTGTGGCAGGAGGGTTCAGTGGACATAGGCTGCCATGTGGCCCCGTGGCGAGCACGTGTGCATGGTGCCCCTGGAGTGGATGGCCCAGCGGGGCCCCTGACGGCCACAGGACCAGGACACAGACAGGCTTGGGGCTGACAGCATCCAGCTGTGCCACCTGCTGTGACATTGCCATGGTCATGCGAAGGTGACCAACTTACCTTTACATAACATTGTGTTTCTCCAAGAAAATCAGGAAAACGGCACTAAGGTTGATATTTGAGAACTTTGGTTTGCTCTTTATAAAGTGATAACAATACCATGATATAAAAAGGTAATAACTTCCACGTCTATTATACAGATTAAATGAGAGAAAGGATGGAAAGGGCCTGGGTGAGTTTCTTAGCCACACTCCCTCACGGCATCACCCCAGAGACCACTTGAATGTGTTCCCTACTCAAGACAAATGGATGCAGATTGAATTTAAAAACCAATTTTTTAGGAGGTATGCTTTATGTTTAGATAAAACTATCTTTTAAATTATGACGTTTTTATGATATAATTTTGATCTATATCATAATGTATTTAACAACTAACCATCTCTCTTAGACTCCTTTTGAAAGCAGATAGTTATGAGTTCTAAGTGTTCAGCACCCAGCATAGTCTAATATATGGATTTGGGTACACTGCAGAACTGTGCATGCAGCCCGCTACGTGGGTTGGGGTACACGGCAGAACTGTGCGTGCAGCCCGCTACGTGGATTCGGGTACACGGCAGAACCATGTACTCTTCATATAGGATGATAGCCCACTTTGTGCTGATGTGTGTCCTAATTACAACAGAATTGAATTCTTGATCTCCAGTTGTGTGTGTTGTGATGCTGGGTGTGCCTGTAGCTTCATTCTGGGTGTTCTCGCCCCACCCCCAGGCATCCCTGCTGCTGTGGGGCTAACATCCAGCCTCGCATCTGAGGCATGTTCCTCGGGGTATCCTCATCAATGCCAGCCGTGGGGGAATCTCTTAGGGACTTGGGCAGAAGCCAAATTTTAGACCCAGTTTACTTCCTAATCAGAAAACTGAGGGCTGGCCCGTGGAATGTGAAGAGTCCATCCCACTCTGGCCTCTTTCTCTCAGTCCTGGCCTGGCCTGGAGCACCACGAGATAAAATAGATTCTCTGTGTTCCTCTTGCATTGCTCGGGCCGTGATGGAAGCGCTGTCTGTGTGTGCTGACACATGCAATCTGATGGCAATTAGTGCTGGTTGATTCGCGAAAGACCCAGATGACCGACGGTCCATTTCATGGGGCCTCTCCTGTCACAGCAAGTGCGCTCAGCCCCACTGAAGTGGTCAGGCACGGCTGCCTGTGCAGTGAGGAGAATGTGGTCCCTTGCTGCCACACCCCCGCCACCTGCCCCCAGCACCCTCCTCTTTAGAGAGCCATGGCATACCCTAAATTCATGGCCAAATGAATTCTACAGATGCCCAAGTGGCAAGACCCATTACAAAGACTAAGTCTATTTTTTTAAGGAAAAATCCCTAAAGAAGTACAAGCTACAGCTGATTGCTGCCACCACTTCTTCAGGGAGAAGATTTTTCTCTTGATTATGGCTTAGGTTCCTGGGAACCTTTGACTCCCCCAGTTCCAACCCTTCCTCACCCAACCCGCTGTCACATTTTAGTGGTAAAATAACATCTTTAAAAAGGACTCTTCCTTTTGTATTCTTTTGTATTTAAAAGGTGTTATGCATGTCATAATCTTTTGTGTACTTCATATAACACGTCATAATTACGCATCCACCATCCTTCGTTGTGCATCTTATTCTGCTCCCGGCAGCATTCTAGGCCTGGGGGCTGCATCCGGGTGAGCGAGACGAGCCACTGTCTTGTGCCACGCACTGCCCTGTATGCTGGGCCTGTAGCACCCACCAGCTACACACCTTGCCCTTGTAACCTGCAGGCTTGATGGGGGACAGACAATGCTAAGTACAAAAGAAAATGTGTAATTTGTGCAATGGGATAAAGGAGAAACAAGTGGCTGGGAAGGAGATGCCAGCCAGGGCTTAGCCAGGAGCTGTGGCAGGGCCCATCAGAGGGCATTGTGTGGTTCTGTGAGCGACCGTGGCAGCTGGAACTGCGGCACTCACCCTGGAGGCCGTGACAAAGGGTGTAGTGGTCGTGATGAGAGGCGTGGATCAAGGTGGGGCCAGTATCTTGTGGCCTGAGCAAGCATGTAGCACTGATGCTGTCTGTTGAGACGGGAAGCCCCGGGAAGGATAAGGCTGGGGGCCGCTGGCGTTCAGCTTTGGACACTAAGTGTGAATTGCGTATCATGTGTCTACTCGTCTGCTGAAGCTGGTGGCTGTGGGAGCCTGCGTCGGGGAGATGAGCATGGGAAATGTGAATTGGGTGCTGTTGACACACCCTACGGGATTCAAAGCCCTGGGGCTCATTTTAGACATGGTGCACATAGGGAGACAGGATCACGGATGGCTCTGGGCATGCCTCGTTTACAAGCTGGGAGGGAGACCGAGGGAACCAGCACAGAAGCGGAAGGCCAGGAGGCTGGTGCAGAGTGGGGAGCAGGGCATGGCTCCCAGGATCCCGTGGTCCCTCAGTTCGGTTTTGGGTCTGCCATTGCCCTTCTCCCACAGAGGACGAGACTGTTCCTTCTGTCATTTTTGTAGGCATTTGAGATCCAACAACATACTCTGGGTCCCTGGGTCACACGCCCCATCCTCTGTCTGGACAGAGAGAAAACCCTGAGCTCGGCGTTCTTTGTTTTAAAACTATAATTTGGAGGATCACCCAGAGAGAAGAGAGAGACAGCGAAATGATTGAGAAGAAAGAGACAGGAAGAGCGAGCCCTGAGAGGTCCAGGAAGCAGGCGGCAAAGAGGTTTGCCAATTAATACAGAAACAAATCCTCGCTTGTCTCCCCTCTCCCCTGAAACCGGTGGGGAGATATTAATAGAGCAGTTCTGTTGCCTAGGAAGAAAGCAAATGGGCAATTAAAACTCCAGAAAGCTGAGCAGTGCGTGAGCGTCATGGATTTGAAAGCCTGCATTTTAATTGCGGGAGATACGGCCGTGCAGGCACTTGGAGGCTGTGTGCGGGGTGGGGCTCCGCTGGGGGCCTGTGGCTGCCCAGGGGGCCAGGGCTGCTGGGGCCTGTGGGCGTTGCCGAGGCCATCACCTGGCCCTCCTACCCATCCCATGCAGGAATGGCTGGTGCACCAGAATCTGGTTTCATCCCCACTCCCACTGTATCATGGCTGCTGCGTGCTGCGCGTCTGTCCTCTGTCCCAGGCCATGCGCCATCTGATGCTGCCATGTCTGACCGTGCCTGCTGAGCAGTGTTTCCTGGTCTTGATGGAAGGTTGGGCTTGTCTCGGGATCTTCACGTTTGGCAAAGTCCAGCAGCTGCCACCCTCTGATGCCCGAGGAACTGGGAAGGCTGTTGCTTAGCAACAGATTCCAGGCCGCATCTGCCCTGTAAGGGCCACAGTGACACCCTGGTTTTGTCCTCAGAAGTGCTTTTCTTCCTGGCTTGTGTTCTTACATCATTAATAACTGTCTTTTACTCTGCCACCTGTCAGAGAAGCAAAAGAACTTTCCGGACACCCCAGCAGCCCCAGCCACGTGAGACTCATGTTCAGCTGTAACGTGGTATTTCACATCACCTCCTTGTTCGCCCTGTGGTCACTTTCGAAGAACTTGGATAGTTTCAATGACAATTTCCTAAACTGCTAGAGTCCCAAAACTTGCTTTGGGTTCAGTGTTTCAATGAGGTATGAGGGTGGCCTGCGTTTTGGAAGACCTCCAGGCTAGCAGAGAGGCAGGGCTTGGAAATAGCACACCTGCTTCCAGAGCAGCATCTGAAGGGTGGCAGGACAAGCATGTGCCAAGGCCCCAGGTGGCGGCGGGAGACTGTGGCCCTGCCCCACCCGCTGCTCTCATCTGCCATGACGCCACCGCATCAGGATGCCACCCCGTCAGGATGCACCCTGCGACAACCTTACCTACAGCAGACTCGGGCCACGGGGAGGAGAGGGGAACCCTGTGAGGGGCCACGAGGAGCTCTCATGGCAATTACCCCTTAGTGCAGGCAGCCTACTCCTTACTCAGTACCCTCTGCACACGACCTTGGCCCCTCCACCGCCTGGGTACATAGGGGCTACAGCATGCCGAATGAGCTTTCTGGAGCATGGTGAATGAGCTTTCTGGAGCATGGTGAATGAGCTTTCTGGAGCATGGTGAATGAGCTTTCTAGAGCATGGTGAATGAGCTTTCTGGAGCATAGTGAATGAGCTTTCTGGAGCATAGTGAATGAGCTTTCTAGAGCGTGGTGAACGAGCTTTCTGGAGCGTGGTGAATGAGCTTTCTGGAGCGTGGTGAACGCGCTTTCCGGATTGTGGTGAACGAGCTTTCCGGAGCGTGGTGAACGAACTTTCTGGAGCCTGAATGAACTTTCTGGAGCATGGTGAACGTGCTTTCTGGAGCGTGGTGAACGCGCTTTCTAGATTGTGGTGAACGAGCTTTCTGGAGCGTGGTGAACAAACTTTCTGGAGTGTGGTGAACGAACTTTCTGGAGTGTGGTGAACGAGCTTTCTGGAGTGTGGTGAACGCGCTTTCTGGATTGTGAACGAGCTTTCCGGAGCGTGGTGAACACGCTTTCTGGATTGTGGTGAACAAGCTTTCTGGAGCGTAGTGAACGAGCTTTCTGGAGCGCAGTGAACGAGCTTTCTGGAGTGTGGTGAACGAGCTTTCTGGAGTGTGGTGAACGAGCTTTCTGGAGTGTGGTGAATGAGCTTTCTGGAGTGTGGTGAACGAGCTTTCTGGATTGTGGTGAACGAGCTTTCTGGAGCGTGGTGAACGAACTTTCTGGAGTGTGGTGGACGAGCTTTGTGGAACATGTTGAATGAGTTTTCTAGAGCGTGGTGAACGAGCTTGGTGCTGCAGCTGGGTCTAGGTGTGATGTGCTCCCCACCACCCCCTCTGCCGGCTGGTACTCTGTGTGCTCCCCACCGCCGCCTCTGCCGGCTGGCACTCTGTGTGCTCCCCACCGCCGCCTCTGCCGGCTGGCACTCTGTGTGCTCCCCACCGCCCCCTCTGCCGGCTGGCACTCTGTGTGCTCCCCACCGCCCCCTCTGCCGGCTGGCACTCTGTGTGCTCCCCACCGCCCCCTCTGCTGGCTGGCACTCTGTGTGCTCCCCACAGCCCCCTCTGCCGGCTGGCACTCTGGTGTGTTCTTGGACGGTGGCTTCAACTCTCCAAGCCTTGGTTTCCTTGTCTGTATGTGAAATTGATAGCTCCGCCTCTTGGAGCTGCTGGGAGGATGGACTCAGCACGTGGGGACGCAGGGGCTGGCTTGTTCCTCTGGGGCATTGCTGCCTGTGCTCTGCCAGCCGCTGTCTCGGGTGCTCTGCGGGGCACTCTGGACTGTGAGATCCCCTGCTCCCCTGGAGCACACTGCATATGACATATGACAAGTGCTTATGAAAACGCTTCCAGAGTCACCAAGGTAGACACAGCCCGAAGCCTGATGCCTCAGCCTTTCCCTGTCACGGACACCAAGTGTCCCTCACCTCTCGGTCTTCCCATGTGCCCAGGACATGCCTGGTAGGATGGCCCCACCCCCGGGGGTCCTTGGCACTGCTCCTTCTGGGCCCACTCCTGGGGCTTCCTGGAATCTGGCACTTGACACCTGGAGCTGAACGGAGGCCATGTCACGGCCACACGTTTACACAGGAGCAGTGTGTGTACACGTCATACACAGGCAGGCACGGTGACGGCAGTTGTCGAATCACCCTGGGTTTGTAAATGAGGCCAACCTATTTTTTTTTATTAGCATAAAAACAACCTTTTGTGCTGCTCATGGGTTCTGAGGGTGGGGAATCAGGCAGGGATAGCAGGTGTGGCTTGTGTCTGCTCCATGTGCCTGGGGGCTTGGCTGGAAAAAGCTGGAGTCCTGGGAAGGTTTGTTCACTCCCAGTGGCTGCAGCTGGCATTGGCTCTCAGCTAGGAAGATGGAGCCACAGCTGGAACACCTACAGCCGGCTGCCCCATGTCCTCAGGGCAGGGCACTGCTTCCAAAGTGAGGGTCCCGGAGACATCGGTGACTTCTGCTCCGTGCGAGGGTCCCGGCGACAGTCGGTGACTTCTGCTCCATGCGAGGGTCCCGGAGACAGTTGGTGACTTCTGCTCCGTGCGAGGGTCCCGGAGACAGTCGGTGACTTCTGCTCCGTGCGAGGGTCCCGGAGACAGTCGGTGACTTCTGCTCCGTGCGAGGGTCCCGGAGACAGTCGGTGACTTCTGCTCCGTGCGAGGGTCCCGGAGACAGTCGGTGACTTCTGCTCCGTGCGAGGGTCCCGGAGACAGTCGGTGACTTCTGCTCCGTGCGAGGGTCCCGGAGACATCGGTGACTTCTGCTCCATGTGTTAGTAACTCTTGCGCAGCATCAGAAGCTGAGGCTCCACCAGTGCCTCCTGAGCTTTGCCTCCATGTGGTCGGCAGAGCTTTCTTTGGACTCCAACACTTTAATTCTTATGGAGCACTTCTGAAAGAAAACAAGCAAACTCCTGTTTTGAAGCTAGAAGTGCTCAGTCCCCAACGCTCAGTGTTTAATTGGCCCTGAGCCTTGATAGAAGCAGAGGCCGTGGCCAGTGCTCGCTCGCTGCAGCTGGGCAGGCGGTGGGTGTTGCTGCTCCCGTCCACCACAGCTGGGACCTGGGGGGTGGGGGTGGGGGTGGGGGGGTGGGAGGGTGTTGGCTCTGTTTCCTGGCCCCCATTCTGACCCCAGCCCTGACTTTGAGGTTTGCTCCAGGGTGTGCTTGGAGCCTGCTTCTCCCCTGCCCTGTCCCAGGTTCTTCCTCTTGGGCTGGGTGTCTCCAGTTTGTGTGGAGACAGAGGCAGTGAGGGCCACAGGCTCGCTGACCTCGGGGGACTGTCCGGCCTGCCCTGAGATGGAGTGAGCAGCCATCTTTCACGAGGACATTTTCCATGGTGGTCTGACGTGTCCCTGTGTATTTAACCACTTCTCCATTGGGGGACATTGACTTTCACTATCTTGCCCTTGTACAATGCTGTATTGAAGATCCATACCTACACGTCTGTTCTTCTTTCTTGGGGAGAGTTGCTGGGTCACGTGGTTCTGACACCCGCTTTCCCTTCTCACAGTGACCTCACCACGATCTACCCCGGGGCCTCTGCACTCTGTCCTCTCGCAGCCACCTTCTCTTCCTCTGACTCTGCTGCTGGCGGGCCCCCCTTTCCCAACTGTGTGCTCCTTCCTGCCACAAGCGGAAAGGCAGGATAATGACACGGGGAAATGGATTTGGAGTTGGGCAGACTCGAGTTGGAATCCTGGCTCCATTTGAGTTACTGTATCCTGAGAAGTGAACCGTTCTCTGCCCCTGACTTTTCTCATCAACAGAATGGAAATAACATCTGCTTTGTGGAGTGACATTAGATGGGCTGAAGAATGCAAAGTGCAGGCACATAATAGAGATTGAGTACATTTGGGTTCTGTTTCCCTTTCTGCACCACTGTCCGTGGTCTGCACACTGCTCAAGACCCGGCCTCCCGCCCCATCTCCATGTGCCCAGCTTATGTGCAGCCGTGGCGCGGCCTTCTGTGCCTGTGGGTGGCCTCCGGCCCCATCTCCATGTGCCCAGCTTACGTGCAGCCGTGGCGCGGCCTTCTGTGCCTGTGGGCGGCCTCCGGCCCCATCTCCATGTGCCCAGCTTACGTGCAGCCGTGGCACGGCCTTCTGTGCCTGTGGGCGGCCTCCGGCCCCATCTCCATGTGCCCAGCTTACGTGCAGCCGTGGCGCGGCCTTCTGTGCCTGTGGGCGGCCTCCGGCCCCATCTCCATGTGCCCAGCTTACGTGCAGCCGTGGCACGGCCTTCTGTGCCTGTGGGCGGCCTCCGGCCCCATCTCCATGTGCCCACCTTACCTGCAGCCGTGCCGCGGCCTTCTGTGCCTGTGGGCTCTCCCATTTGCACGTCTGCTTCCTGGCCTGCGTCTTGGGGAGACAGCCCTGGGCCTCTGCACCGCTCCCTCGCACATCCTCAGGTGGTTGTTTTCCCTTTTCTTTTTTTCTTTCTTTCTTTTTTTTTTTTTTTTTTTTTAGATGTAGTCTCGCTTTGTCACCCAGGCTGGAGTGCAATGGCGCAATCTTGGCTCACTGCATCCTCTGCCTCTGGAATTCAAGTGATTCTCCTGCCTCAGCCTCCTCTGAGTAGCTGGGATTTACAGACAGCCGCCACCACGCCCGGCTAATTTTTGTATTTTAGTAGAGATGGGATTTCACCATGTTGGCCAGGCTGGTCTTGAACTCCTGACCTCAAATGATCCACCTGCCTTGGCCTCCCAAAGTGCTGGGATTAGATTGGAGCCTCTGTGCCCAGCAGTTTTCCCTTTTCTTTTCTTCCCCTCTTTAACTAGTGGTGCTCGCTGGTATCTGGCTCTCCTGCCCGTCTGGGCGTCCTTTGCAGCTGGGGGAAGGCATGGCGAGTTTTGGCCAGTGTGCCGGGGTGTGAACGTGGTGCATCACTTCTGGGCGTGAGCTCCTTCTCAGTCCTCTTGTGCCACTGCAGGCAATGCGGAGGCAGCAGCTTCCCCCTCAGCTTGGGTTGCAGAGTGAGGAGATAGGAGTGGCCCCGCCACCTGCTAGGAGGGGTGGTCAGGGCAGGAGGTGGGCCTGGTGGTTCGCAGCCCCTCGGGTGCCTCCATGTTTGTTGGCGCAGTGTTACTTGGCTGCTCGGACCAGTGCGCCATGCTGCTGGTGTGGGGAGGAGGCCAGCCCAGCGTGGTGGTGCTGAGAGGTGCATTTGCTGCATGGACCCTCTTAGGATGTCCCTGCCCCAGGAGAGCCTCATCACTGTGATGGCAGTGGGAGCCAAGGGTTGGGGCAGCTGGCCTTCCCCTGATTCCTCAAAGTGGCAAGGACTGGTATGTTTCATATATTCTCCAAATGAGGACTGCAAAAACAGGGAAGACTAAATTGGGTTGGGGGGCACTGAAAATGGAATAAATAAGCAAAATAAAGCAGAGTTTGCATTAAGTAAAAGGACAGATCACCCCTAGGTATTCAGGGCTATTCCGCTGCTCTGTAGCTGACAGGCATTGTCTAAAAATAGTAAGAGCACCTCCTCGAAGCTAATTCTTTCCTCCTACTCTGTGCATTTTGTTTGGGTGGTGAGAGTGGCGTAGTCATTAATAAGGCAGCAAACCAAGCCCGTTTGTCAGTGGGAAGAGCGGGGCCTCTGGACCTGCTCCTTGTTCCTGGAGCACGGAGAGCACTAATGGGCACCCGCCGGGCACAGCCCCTGCAGCGCCGAGGTTCAGCCAGCACCGCGACAGGCGCCGGCCTGGTGCAGACTCGGGAGCGCACACTTCAATGGCTGTTCCCTGGGCAACGGAGTTGCCGCCGCCAGCTGGCTCTGCCCCCAGAGCCCATCAAAGCACACACCCTGCCAGGAGCCGGCGCAGCAGCCCGTGCGGCCGTCTGTAGGCACCGATGTCAGTGCATTGGCAGTCGGGTTTCAAGGTTAAACATGAGGGAATGAACGGGATGACTAACGAGACAGAGACCGCAATCTGGGTATGTTTATGCACCAGGTGGGAGGGAGTGACGAGGGAACACAAGAAAGGAAGTGCCGGGCTCATTGAAGTCTGTGGGGCTGTGTTTTTTGTTTTTTCCACACAAAAGGCTGGAAAGACAGATTTCACCACTTGGTCTGAGGGTAAAAGCATGTTCAGTCCAGGGCAGCTGCTAGCCATGTCCGCAGAGCTGTCCATCTTCAGGCCTCTGTGCAAGCTGCACAGAGGGGCAGTGCCCCCACCTGACGGTGGCCCGGGGCTGGTGATGGTTGCCGACACCAACCCAGCAGGGAGCTGACTTGGCTCTCCTGTTGGCTGGTTTGTCCTAGAATTTTCATAAACTTACTTATTTGATCTTTGCAGGGATTCCTCCTTCACTTGACGGCTGCACCAACTGGCTCTCATCAGTGAGCTTTTTTTGTGGCATTGAATATAAAATTCTCATTTCCACGTACGCAGTGCCCCTTTTAAAGCATCCTGGCATTTGAACTTGGTATTTCCACCTAACACTCAGTTCCATTCATGTGAGCCCCTCTAGTGCTTAAAAAGGGTCTCTATCATCCCGCAGAAACTTTGGTTTTAATCTCTCATTTTGTTAAAACTATTTTTTGTTTGTTTTTTCTCTCTGATCTATAGGAATTTGAAATAAACACAGTTACATTTGAAAAGATATGGAAAATCCAAATAATTTATTTCAGAATCAAGTTTCAACATAAAATTTTAATTTGGGATGGTTGGACAGGTAAAAATAAGAATATTTGGCATATTCCACATTGTAACATAATGAATGTCAATGCTGTTTCCGCCTTGACCGTCTGAAGGGAGCTAGTTCGATCTACTGAGCCCTTCCAGGCACGCGTTCCTGTATACGTGGGTGTTGCTCATGAGCACTGTGTGATAATAGTGACTTTTTGGAGCCGCTGACTAAATTTCCAGATTTTTCCTCAGTTTTTTCATCTCACCACTCCAGTTGCTCTCTTTTATGTGCCTTTTTCCATCGTTTTGCTTTGCTTTACCTTTTCATGAAACAGATGTAAGTATTCCCAGGCGCCTAATCCCTGGATCTGTTTACCTTTCATAATGAAGACTTCTGACTTTTGAGAAGTGCTCACTAACTCGCCCTATGTTCTCAGGAAATGTGCACGCTCACTGGATTTCTGTAAACAAATCTCCAGCCTTCCTGGAGGGACACCGAGAAGGAGGGCAGGTCCCAGCCACCACAACCAGAGGGCACTTTTGGGCCAAGAAGAGAAATCTGACTTCCCTGATTTCCAAGTTGTTGAGTGGATGTTTGTGTCCACTCAACTGTGTGAGCCAGACCTCGAGTACCGAAAGACCAGGGAGTGTGGTGTGCATTCCAGCCATGAAGGCAAGGACAGGGTGCTGTGCCCAGGGAACATGGCTTTATGTGGATGGGGGTGGGTATGGTGCTTGGGTTCTCCTAGAGGACCACGTAGGAGACAGCACCCCAAGCTGGAGGCCAGGTACAGGGATGAGTCACCAGAAGGAGGGAGATCAAGGGGAGGAAGAGCGTCCAGCAGCAGCAGCTGCACAGGCGGCTCCTGGAAATGACCACAGGAGGAGGCGCGGGTGGCACTGGCTGCTTGTGCTCAGACCTCTAACCTGGGCATGCAGCTTCTCATGTCCTGAGGCTGAGAGGAGCTGCCTCTCCTTGAGTGCGCTGGAAGGCACAGCTTTCACTGTGGCACTGGCCATGTCCCTCTGGGTGCCATCACCTCTAGGAGCCATATTGTGGAAGCCATGCCAGTGGCCTCTCATGGGAGTGAAGGAAAGAGCTTCCCCTGAACAAAACAGGCCTGCTGATGTTAAAATCAGAGCGGATACTTGTAGCTGACTTAGACAAGGCAACCTCGTTTGCTCGCAGCCTTGAGCCCTTCCCATCTGCAGGCGCGGTCAGGGTTGTGAGCGAGTTGGCCAGAGCCCCTCTTCCCCTGGAGCAGGTTAGATTCAAGTTGGGGGAGACAAGCAGAGAGGCGGGGCCAGTCTTCCCAGGGCCACTCACCCGCGGCCCATCCTGTTCCTCATGCCAGGGTGTGGCTCGTGTGAAGCCTGAGATGCCGCCTCGAGGCACCTGGAGGATGGGAACGAGGCCGGGCGAGGAGTTGGGAGACCGGGTCCGAGTTCCTCTGTGTGCGTGAGGGAGCGTGGAGCCTCCTTAAGGTTTTGCCGACTTGTCTGTAGCTGTGGGTAACCACCACGGTGCTTTGCAACCTGTGAGGCTCCGGACTCAGGTTTAAAGGGGCTAAGCAGGGCGGTCAGTGTGGAAGGAAGAGTGTTTTGGAATTACTGCTGCATCTCCCCTTTTTTCTCACAGTTAAAGAATCGGAAAGGCATAAACCACAACACATCCCTTTCCTCTTCTAAGGTGATTACAAGAAAATGGTGAACCAGAATGGGCTCCATAGAAATCATACAAATACATAAAAATAGAAAGATAAATAGTAACATTTATTTTTCTTTTCTCCGTCCTTACAAAAAGCTACTTGCAAAACTGCAGCTGATAGGCTCCAGGCTGCGCTGCGGTGACTAGTAAGAGGATGAGGTCCTGTTACTTCTTTTTAGCCAGAGACGTGGATATAAGTGAGAGGTGTTTGATTCCAGTGAATCGTTTGGCATGTGATGGAACACACCTAAACTTCCTGGGTTGTGTGTAACTTCGCATCATGGTGTTGGTTCACCTCACAGCTCTGCGCGTCAGGTCAGCGGAGCAGCCTCCTGCAGTTGCACAGATGAGCAGGCCGCTGTCCCGACCCTCGTGCCTGGGCATTCACCATTCCATACCTTCTTTAAACTCGCTTCTGTTGAGTGTCTACCTTATCTCTTAGGCTGCATGATATGTGCATTCATTTCCATCTCATTTATTATTTTAAAAATCCCCAGAAGAGAAGCATTGGTATCTGTCTACATTTTGCAGCTGGGGAGACTGAGGCTTAGGGATTGTAAGTGACACCTTGCCCAGGATCCCAGCCAGCAGGCCACAAGCGGGGATTCCGACCTTGCCTGGTATGATGTCCATTTGGCCCTGCATCCCTGTATCCTACGCTACCTCGCTGGGCTCAAGGTGACAGACTATTCCGACCTCTTCCCAGTATTTACTGACAAATATGTTTTTACAGATAAATTGATTGAATATTTTTATAAGAGAGTGTTTTTGATATTCCAGTGTGGGAAAAAATATTGGAAACCTAATTACATCAGTCAGAAAATCATCAGATTTCCAAAGAATGAAGGGATGAAGATTTTTTGGAGTGAGGGGTGTTAATTAATTTCTGACATGATCGGTTGCGAGGTGTATAATGCTGATTTTTAAAAACTACCTCCTAAAGTGCTGTGTGTCACATTTGCTTTAGCAAATGCTGGCAAACCCACATTTTCCTGTTTTAGTGAGAACATGGGTGTCGAGTCACTGTCCAGAAAGTAGTTTGATGTCAAGCAGATGTCACTGTTTCCTTCTGTAGGCATAAAAAAATGGTTCGATGTACTCAGAGCACAGGTGAACTCACGTATCAACCAAGGTTTATGCTGTCTGCCAGATTGCTTCTGTTGGCTGGAGGTGAGGCTAATGGGCTGGCGGGAGGTTGGGCAGTGCCCCCCGTGACCTCCTCCCTGCACAGGGCAGCCTCTGTGGGGCTTATGGGGTTGCCAGTTATGGGGTTGCTGGGGCAGACATGGCCTTCCATCTGCTTGATCTTCCGGGCTTGCCTGAATCCTGTATGTAGTTGGGTTTTGGAGGTGGGCCGACCTCGCTGATGGTCTGGGGGCCCTGAAGCGGACTCAGCTGGAGGGGAAGGCCCCTCCCCTTAAAGAAATGGCCACAAGTGGAGCCTCCGGTAGAGCAGGCCAGGCCAGGCCAACCTCAGGGGTCGGAAGTCGTGAGGAAGGAAGAGGGTGAGCTGGGCCTGGCTGCCTCCCAGCCTGCTCCTGCCAGGGTGCTGTGGGGACTGGGGAGGACAGGGCTTGGATTAAGGAGAGATGGTGCCCTGGGCAGAGCAGCTCTGCACGGAGGGAGGGTACTCTCTCAGAGGGCTGGCTGGCCACAGGTTAAAGGCAGGTTCCCCTGGCTCCTGCAGAGAAGTGGTAGCTTGGAGGAGGTTCCTGGTTGGGCAGCATGGGGCCCATGGTCCAAGGGCAGGGCATGTGGGCAGTGGCACCAACCACAGTCTGCATGTGGTGTGGATGGCAGCAGCTGATGGGGCAGGATGCAGGGATGCAGGTGGCCTTTGCCATCCACCTGCGTCTCCCCCTCCTCTCGTTTCCATCTCAGACTCCCCTGGGCCTCTGGGGCCTGTGCCTCGTACCTGGAGTCCCCACAGACAGACTGAGTGAGCCTGGGGACGGTGGTGGGACCAGGTGAAGTTCAACCACAGGTGCAGACCCTCCTGTTATTCCCAGGGATGATTAGGAAGGGCAGTTCCCTAGTGAGGGAGGCCTGGGAGCACAGGGTGGGCTGGGGCCCTGAAATGGGAGTGCTGGTGCAGCCCTGACTGGCTTGTGCCCCCTCATTCCATGAATGGCTGGAGAACGCAGGGACGGGCCGAGGAAGTGCCGCTTGGTTAGTGCCGTCCAAGGGCTCAAGTCCACCGTGAAACACGCCTTTTCATGTAGCTCCTTTCCATGCTCACCTCAGCCTGAGAGACGCACAGATGGGGCAGCAATGTTCGCAGCAGTCAGGGCCCCTAGCCGAGGCTGCGCAACAAGTAAATGGAGGGTAGGGGCTGAGATACGGCCGACTGCAGGCAGCGCCTGGCAGGGACCCCCACTCATGCCCCGGGCTCCTTAGAGTAGCAGGTGGGCGTTACTCAGCCTAGTCAGGTGGGTCACTTAATTAATGAGAAAAGGAACCAGATGAACACCCCGGGGAGTAGTTCCCACGGCCTGGGGTTGTTCACCGGGTAAGTGAGTTCTTATTTGTAAAGCACGTAGGTGAAGGCCACACAGGCAGGGCGAAGTAAATGTTTGCAGAATGGTCTTGCCACCCATCACCTGGTAAGGTTTTGAAGCTGTTCATCTTTGACATGGGGTCAAGGCATTTCTGCAGACCTGAGTATCCCGCATGTAAATCACCCTTCTTATGTAAATTATTCCCAGAAATGTCCTCTACCGTTTCCAGTTGTAGTTTCAATGCGTTGAATGGAGAACAGAGGACACGTGTGGAGCCGTGTGAGTGGAGACAGGTGTGGGGCCGCGTGGGTGGAGACAGGTGTGGGGCCGCGTGGGTGGAGACAGGTGCGGGGCCGTGTGGGTGGAGACAGGTGTGGGGCCGCGTGGGTGGAGAGGCTCCTGGATTTCTGTGGTTTCTCCCCCAACATTGCACTTTGTTTTGCCTGCCTCTAAATGGGCAGGGTTTTTGAATAACTTGTTTTTACTGAGACTTCCTCGTACATTCACCCGAGTTTTCCTGGTACCTTCTCTTTCTCTTACGTTTTTAATTAGAGTATTGGATTACACAGTACCCGTAACTGACAAACAGGTTTGCTCCCTGGTGACTTGTCTCATGGTTTAAGGCATTACTCAAAACATAAAGTGTAAATTTAGAAATTTCAGTAAATTAATCTATCATTGTAGGTGTTTGCATTTTAACCTAATCATATGGATGCTATTATTTTTAATATTACTCATGCTTAGAGTTGTGTTCCTTATTAAAACAACCAGAACTTAGAGAAAACTGTGAACCCAGTGCACATCCACTGAAAACGCCATCCGCTGGTAAATTACATCTGTAGATCTAGAGGAAACCTTTCCAAAGCATCCTAGCATAATTCTAGGGATGCGGAAGAGCAGCCATATTTATACTTTTTCAAAACCAGTTGACATGGAGGTAGTGGACTTGAGCTGGCCACAGTATGAGACCGAGTGGCACATGGGCCACTGTGCTCCCAAACCAGCAGGAAGACACCCAGCTTTGTGTGGTGGCCCAAGGGTGCTGGGTGCAGCAGGAAAGAACATGGTGGCTGGACTCCTGACCACGTTAGAAGAGCAATCTTGCAGAAAGACTGCAGCTAAACTGGCTGTAGTTTATCTCTTACATGTTATAAGAAAAAATTATAAAAGCAATATTTTTCATGAAAGGAAATTTCAGAGCTGTGGATAAAAGTATTTATTCAGCATGGGCTCCCACATCATCCGTTCTCTGTCTGGAGATGAATATTTATGCACCAGAATAGCTAATTATGTTACCAATAAATCGTCAAAGAATAATTTTTAGAAGTTTTTTGATATAGCATTTGCAACAGCAAGGAAGTAAACAGTCCACTTTAGATTGATTTTCACCCTAAATGGTAATTTCTAAAAATCGAGTACACTTATCTTGACAATTTATCTGTGTTTCATAGCAATGCCTATGAAATTGAATGGTTTCTTCACTTTAGTGGTGTCCTTTCATTGCCTACCCTACTGTTTTGTAAATTTTTAAAATACTTATTTGCTTAAGGTTATTGGTACATTGGATGCAATAGAGTAGAAAAATACAGTCGACTTTGAGTCCAAAGCCTTGAGTTCTCTTTTTGTTCTGCCATTAGCAGTTGTGGGACCTGAGGCAAGTTACTCAGCTGTCATGGTAGCAATTTTCTCCTGTAACCTCTATAATAATCTTCTTGAGTGTATAGTCTTTGGCAGCTAGATAATTTAACTTAGTAGTGTTTGTACTGTAGGATTTCAGCACATCCTCAATTTTGCCTTTTCACATTTAGCCATTGTTTGCTGCCTCTCACAAGGATGTATTATTGTGAAGATGCAACTTTTTCCTAATCTTTTATTCTCTCTTGGTGGTTTTTAGAAATTCTGATGTTGATATGGAGTCTCTTTTCCATAAAAGGGGGATGTCAGTTAAAAAAGGAATATGATTGTTTAATAGTAATTCTTTGAAATATATTGAGATTTTTAATGGTATATCGTATGGATTAATTTTTATGTTGCATTTACACTTGAGAAAAAAATTATGTTGTGTTTGAATCTTTTATAACCTTGCTATTTTAATTTTTTTCTAACTGGTTCTATCAGTTATTGAAAGATTTAAAGTCTCCCACTATGATATTGGATTCCTCTATTTTTATTTGTTCTGTCAATTTTTGCTTTATGTGTTTTGGTGTAATTTTATTGAGGGCATATAAGTTTAGAATTTTTTGTGTTTCTGAACCTTTGTATTGTTCAGTGGTGACCCTTACTGCTTTTGCTCAGATCTATTTTGGCAAATATTAATATGGCTAAATCAGCTTTTCTTTTGTTGCTTGGTGTGGTGTTTTCTGTTCTTTGCCTTCCTGTGTCATTACGTTTTAGGGATATGTCTTGTAAACAATGTTTTGCTGATTTTTAAAAAATTCAGTCTAACAATATCCAGCTGATGTCCCTTATAGTTATTGTGAATACTGATCTATTTGTAATAATTCCTGTCATCTTATTTTATACTTTTTTTTTGGTACAACTTTCTTTCATCTTACTTTATGCTGTTTTGGGGGGTTTTGGTCCTTTCTTGTTCTCATAAATGATTTTGAATCTTGTTTTTGCTCCATTTCTCTTACTGTATTATTTTAGAAGTTATATGCTCTTTTTCTACTGATAACATGTTGTTATTCATATTTAACATGAAATCTGAAATTAAATATTCAGTATTTCTCTATTCCAACAATATGAAAAGCTTTTAAATCTATTTTCATCTCCCTTCTATCTTAGATACTTTGTTGGCCAGTATTTTAATTTTACCTTTGGGTATTTTTATTAACCTCAAAAGTAAATATTGTTATTATCATTAGTGTCACACATATTTAGATGTTTTCTAGATTTTTGCCATTTATTTCGCTTAATTTTTTTTTTTTAACTTCGAATTTGAGACCTTTCTTCTGGGATCACTTTCTTTATTTTCCAAATATGTCCTTAGAAGTTCCCTTAGTGAGGCTTTTGGAGGTAAATTCTCATGGTTTTAAAAATATTTTATTTATACCCCAAGTAGGGTCTCATGGCTTGATTTACCTTAACATGCCTTTATTTT
Source organism: Homo sapiens (assembly GCF_000001405.40). Taxonomy (NCBI): domain Eukaryota; kingdom Metazoa; phylum Chordata; class Mammalia; order Primates; family Hominidae; genus Homo; species Homo sapiens. The sequence continues at coordinate 3,274,465 of NC_000002.12, read as the reverse complement.
TGAGTATTTAGCTGACTGAACAGTTCTGCCCTGACTTTTTTTCTAGCATTTTGTTGTGTGCTGTCTCTGGATTCCTTTGGTGCTCTTGGGAAGTCAGCTGCCCAACTGTTCATAGCACTGGCAACCTGTAAGTTTCTGTCTTTGTCTTTGGTGTTCTGCATTTGTGCTACAGTGTGTCCAGGAGTGGATATATTTTTAATTATGGTACTTGGAGATAGTTGTGCTCCTGAGTCTGATAATTTGTTTATTGATATTGTGCCTGCTGTTTTCTGTTTTTCCTGTGCACCCCACTTAAGGGTACAGTGGACCCTCTCAGTCTATCTCCCACATTCCCACGCTGCAGTCTCTGCTGTGTCCTAGGTTCTTTCTTCACATCTTTATTCCAAATGATTAATTCTCACCAGTTATTTCTAATCTGCTGTTAAATTGCCAACAGAGACTTCTATTTCAACAGTCATGATTTTTACTTCTAGATGCTTTATTATTTTTTTTAAGAAGATTCCTGGTAAATTGTGATAGTCTTTTGTTGCCTGCTCATAATCCAGCTTTTATTTCTTCGAACATTGCGATTATAGTATCTGAAGTCATTGGAATGCTCTGTTCTCTTGGCCTGCCCTCATTCAGGCCACTGTCTTCATGGGTTTGTCGTGGGTCACAGGCTCCTATCAGGCTGCCCTAAGTCGGTGGGGCCTCCAAGGGGCTGGCCTGTGGGTGCATTCCTCCAGAGACGATTCTCATTTGTTTATGGAAAATGTCCAGGGCGGCCCAAAACCCAGGACTTCTTTAAGTTAGATTCTTGGCTTAGGATTTCCTGGACCACACCAGTAAATTCAAAGTCAAACTTTTGTAAGGATCAGTGCAGTTTTCAGGTTCTCAGTGTAGATTCTTATTTTTTATAAGAGCCATAGCTGAGATAAACAAGTGGGTTTTTTTTTGCGTGTGTGTGACATTTTTCTATGCATGCCAGCTGGAGAATAATGTTTTCTAGCTCATTCGTGTAATGAGGTTGTGGGTTTTAAGGAGCCTGTGTTTTTGCAGAGGTCCTAGTATCTCCTCTTTACCTTTTGTGGGCCAAAAGCTTACTTTCCCGTTCTATCTGTGGCCTTTAGGTTCCTAGCAGAGGCCAAGCATGAAGGGTAGCTAACCGTGGTTTATCATTTTGTTTTCAACAACAGCTTTACTATTTGCTCCCAGTCGTATTCTTCACTTCCCTGAAAGCACAGCTATGCCTTCAAAAATATATCTAAGTATTTTAGAGAGGCATGATTTTGTTTTTTCAGAATTAGCTGTATTGCTAGAATCCAAAGTCCTAGAATCTATTGATACATGAAAGAGAATGTGAATAAAGATACTGTAAAGTAAAATAATCTCAAACCTTTACTTCCATCCCTGGGCTTCACATAACAATATCAAACCGCCTAGTAGCTGTTTTCGCGTAGATAGCTCTTGACATCTCAAAAGCAGCACAGTCTAAACTGTGTTCTCTGAATTACTCATGTCAGTGGGTGATGTCGCCATTGGTGTAGATTCTAGGAGAGTTTGTCAGTCAGGGTCAAGAAACCACTCTAGATACAGACGCACCTCATCGTATTGCACTGGGCTTTATTGTGCTTCTCAGATGTTGTATCTTTTGCAAATTGAAGGTTTGCGGCAACCCTGTGTCCATCAAATCTATTGGCCCATTTTTTCAATTACATGTGCCAGCTTTAACAGCACGTCCCACTCTGTGGCACATTTTGATAATCTCACAATATTTCAAATTTTTTCATCATTATTATATCTGTTATGGTGCTCTGTGGTCAGTGTTCTTTGATGTTCCTATTGTAATTGTTTTGGGGCTCCACGAACCATGCCCATGTAAGATGGCAAAGTGAATCTGTAAATGTGTGTTTTGAATGCTCCATCAACCGGCAGTTTCCTCATCTCTCTCTTTCCTCAGGCCTCTCTGTTCCCTGAGAACAACGTTATTGAAGTCAGGCCAATTAATAACCCTATAATGGCCTCTGAGTGTTCAATGAAAGGAATATCTCTCACTTTAAATCAAAAGCTAGAAATGATTAAGCTTAGTGAGGAAGGCAAGTTTCAGCCAAAAGCTGAAGTAGACCAAGAGCCGGGCCTTGCACACCAGTTGGCCAAGTTGTGAATGCAAAGGGAAAGTTCTTGAAGGAAATTAAAAGTGCTACTCCAGTGAACACACAAATGATAAGAAAGCCAAACAGCCTTCTTGCTGATAATGGAGAAAATTTTAGTGGTCTGGATAGATGATCCAAATCATGCACAACATTCTTTTAAGCCAAAGCCTAATCCGGAGCAAGACCCTCACTCTTTATTCCATGAAGGCTGAGAGGAGTGAGAAAGCTGCAGAAGAAAAGTTGGGAGCTAGCAGAGGTTGGTTCACGAGGTTGGAGGAAAGAGGTCATCTCCATAGCGTAAGAGTACAAGGTGAAGCAGCAAGTGCTGATGGAGAAGCTGCAGCAAGTTCTCCAGATCTGCCTAAGATCATTGATGAAGGGGGAACACTTCAGAACACTAAACAACAGATATTCAGTGTCAATGAAATACCCTTATATTTGAAGAGTATAAGTCATCTAGGACTTTCATAGCAAAAGAGGAGAAGTCAAAGCTTGGCTTCAAAGCTTTAATGGACAGGCTGACTCTCTCATTAGGGGCTAATGGAGTTGTTGACTTTTAAGTTGAAGCCAATGCTCATTTACCATTCTGAAAAACCTAGGCCTCTTAAGAATGATGCTAAATGTACCCTGCCTAGTCTCTGTAAATGGAACAATAAAGCCTGGATGACAGCACATCTGTTCATAGCATGGTTTAGTGAATGTTTTAAGCCCCCTGTTGAGACCTACTGCTCAGAGACAGACTCTTTTGAAAATTACTCCCCATTGGCAATGCACCTAGTCACCCAAGAGCTCTGAAGGGGAGGTACCAAAGAAACAAATGTTGTTTTCATGCCTGCTAGCACAAGATTCATTTTGCAGCCTATGGATCAAGGAGTAATTTCAACTTTCAAGTCTTATTATTTAAGAAATACATGTCTTAAGGCTGTCGTTGCCACTGATAGTGATTCCTCTGATGGGTCTTGGCATAGTAAATTGAAAACCTAGAAAGGATTCACCATTCTAGATGCCATTAAGAACATTTGCGATTTATAGGAGGTGGTCAGAATATTGACATTAATAGGAAGTTAATGGGGGAAGTTGACTCTAACCCTTGTGGATGACTTTGAGGGGTTCAAGACTTGCATGGAGAAAGTAACTGCAGTTGTGGTAGAAATAGCAAGAGAACTTGAATTAGAAGTGGAGCCTGAAGATGGGACTGAATTGCTACAATCTCATGATCAATCTCGAATGGATGAGAAATTGCTTCTTAAGGATGAGCAAAGCAAGTGGTTTCTTGAGATGGAATCTACTCCTGGTGAAGATGCTGTGAACACTGTTGAAATAATAACATAGGATTTAGAATATTCCATAAGCCCAGTTGATAAAGCAGTGTTAGGGTTTTAAAGGACTGACTCCAATTTTGAAAGAAGTTCTACTGTGCATAAAGTGCTGTCAAATAGCATCACATGCTAGAGAAATCTTTCATGAAAAGAAGAGTCAATAGATGCAGAAACTTCATTGTTATCTAAGAAACTGCCATTGCCACTCCATCCTTCAGTAGCCACCACCCTGAGCAGTTAGCTGCCATCAGTTTTGCCATTAAGGCAAAACCCTCCACCAGCAAAAAGATGACAACTCCCTGAAGGCTCAGGTGATTGTTAGTATTCTTTAGCAATAAAGTATTTTAAAATCAAGATATTCCCAGTAGTTTTTTAGACATAATGTTATTGGACACTTACTTGACTGCATTATAGTGTCAGCATAACTTTTACATGCACTAGGAAACCAAAAAATTAATATGACTCTCTTTTTGCAATATTAATGTTATTGTGGTGGTCTAGAACCAAGCCTGCAATAAGTGTGCCTGTGTTTCAGAAAGAGGGGATTTCATCCAGGGAGGAAACACAGATCTTAGTTACCATGGGAAGCAGCTACCACCGCCGCATGGAGACGCAAAAGGAAAAGGTAATGAACCTGGAGCTTGGAGGAGGTACCCCGCAGAGCACACACTGGCACACGCTGACACACCCCAGGCCCTCTGCGGGAGTGTTGGCATCCATGGAGCAGGTCTTCTGAGAGACTCTTTGGAACTGAGACCCTGCAGCGAGCACCCGTGTGGGCACAGATGGGCTTGCACTCTGCTCAGCCTGAGCCCTGACATCCCCTCCTTGTTTCACCCCTGCTTTGTGCTTTCCAAGTCCTGGTTATATGGGCAAAATGGAGGCTACTGCCTCTAAATCAATAAAGATCCATATCTCTGCCCATCTGCCCATCTGGACAATGTGGACAGCCAAGTGTCCTGCTCAGAGTTTTGCCTCCTGGTATGATTTCTCCTTACCAGTTGTTGTCAGAGACATTTCTTCATGGAGCACCTACCGTGGCTGCAGCTCATGAGGCAGTGCTGTGTGCAAGCCAAGGGCTGGTGCTCCCAAGCTGAGGGATGGTGCTCCTCTTCATTCGCGTGCTGGGGAGCTTCCCAGGAGAACAGAGGCAATGCAGCTGCGCCAAGGGCAGAGGGATCTGCTGCCTCTAGTTGTGCCATCTGCCTGTGCCTCAGGACCTGCTTGAACACAATTTTGTTTGGACGAAGCGAGATTTCCACGCAATGACTGAGTGCGATGATTGAGTGTGATGATTGAGTGCGATGATTGAGTGTGATGATTGAGTGCGATGATTGCGATGATTGAGTGTGATGATTGAGTGTGATGATTGAGTGTGATGATTGAGTGCGATGATTGTGATGATTGAGTGCGATTGAGTGCGATGATTGAGTGCGATGACTGAGTGCGATGACTGAGTGCGATGACTGAGTGCGATGACTGAGTGCGATGATTGAGTGTGATGATGATTGAGTGCGATGATTGAGTGCGATGACTGAGTGCGATGACTGAGTGTGGTGATGATTGAGTGTGGTGATGATTGAGTGTGATGATTGAGTGCGATGATTGAGTGCGATGACTGAGTGCGATGACTGAGTGCGATGATTGAGTGCGATGACTGAGTGCGATGACTGAGTGTGATGATGATTGAGTGCGATGACTGAGTGCGATGACTGAGTGCCATGACTGAGTGCCATGACTGAGTGCCATGACTGAGTGCGATGACTGAGTGCGATGACTGAGTGCGATGATTGAGTGCGATGATTGAGTGTGATGATTGAGTGTGGCTGCTGCTTCTGTCTGTGCTTAAGGCTTGATGATCAGACCACACGCATTTTTGGATGTGCAGTGCTCAGTGTACAGCATGCCCACATGATGGAGTAGATGGGGAAGCCAGGAACTGTGTCCGGATAGGAGAGAAGTTACCTGCAGAAGGGACACTGCTTTCCTCCCACACCTCAGCAGCTGGCCTGTGATTCTCCCGTGGGCCTCCCAGAGGCCCCACACAGCCTGCTTGTTCACCCCTGACACTGTGGGTGCCAGTGGCCATGCAGGTCTTCACAGCCTGCCATATGACATAGGTAGGCTTTGTATCATATGTTACCTCCCAGATTCAAAAAGCCCCACCAAAGTCGGCCTCGTGTTGGTGAAGATGCCCCCACCTGCTCCACATCACCGGAGCTTGAAGCCTCTCCGAGCCAAGGGGAGCCGGCTTACTTCCCACCCCTGTGCACTTGTGTTGTTTGGGTATCTGAGGTGCCCAAAGCTTCCTGGTCAACAGGCCCCTTGCGCGCGCTGTCCTAGTGTGCTTTCTGTCCCTGTGATTGAGGTCTTTGTGGATGAGGTCAGGCTGTATTGGTCTGGGCAGGAAGTGGAAACAGAGCAGGTTAAACAGGGAAGTTTAGTATAAAGAAGCGCTAAGTGTGGTAGAAGAGTCACAGGCGTCAGATGTGAAGAAACTCCCTCAGGTCACCAGGACTGAGCAAGAACAGCCCAGGAAGGAACATCTTGGAGGGACGCAGACCTCGGCCCACTGTGCAGCAGAGGTGGCTGCTTTGGCCAGGCTGGAGCTGGTCCACAGTCGCTGGATTGGCAGGAGGCTGCCCTCTGGAGTGCAGGTGGGGAGTGGGCGGTCACAGCTGATGGCATGCTGTGCCCAGAGAGTGCAGAGGGTGTGGGAACCCTCTGGGCTATAGACAGGGTGCAGATAGGCCCCACAGGTGCCTTCAGAGGGAACCAGGATGCTGGCGCGGGCCCCAGGCCTCCCGGAGCTGGTGTGGGCAGGAAGCCTTGGGGTGCCAGTCTCTGGATTGAGAGGCCCATGGAAAGGCTATCACCAGGCTGAGGTGGTGGGGTCACAGAGGGACCAAGGGCCCAGTGCTGGGGCCACGCTTCCCTGCACACACTCACAACCACTCCAGGACCATGGCGTGGAAGCCCCTGCCTCTTGCAGTCTCCTTCCAGGGCTTTCGGCTGAGAACGGGGGCTCACCTCCAAGGACAGCAGCCAAACAGTCTGTGCGCTACACAGGGCACGGTCTGCAGGGCGCCTTCAGCACCTGAGGTGGCAAGTGGGTCACTGGCACAGGTAGATGGAGCCAGCCGATTTCTTCCTTAAAGGGCCAGAGAGTAAATATTTTAGGCTTTGTAGGCCATTCGGTCTCTGTCTCATATTCTTCTCTGTGTCCTTTTATGTCCCTTTAAAAATGCAGAACCACTCTTAGCTCATGGGGTGCAGGCTAGATGTGCCCGATGGGCACAGCATGTTGGCCCCAGGCCTGAGTCTTGATGTAGGTCTGCAGCAGGACGTGAACAGGCACTGCTGGCCTTGCCAGGCAACAGCAAATAGCTTCTGGTGGCCCTTCAAATTGGCGGTGTGAGACCAAATTGCTAGCTCAATCTTTATATCAGAAGCCAGGGCCTGCATTCTTGTATAGACATGCTCTGTGACAACAGCGTATCTGAAATAGCTGCAGTTGGGGTTGCCCGCCTGATTAAGTTTATGATCATGCACTGTCATTCTCCAAGAACCCGCTGCTGCGACGCAGGCCAAACAGCTGGGTTTAGTGGGGTGTGGTAAAAGGCAGCACCCAGCACCTTTCACAGCCTCCATGGTGCTCCTAACTCTCCATCCCACCAACACTGCAGTGTTGCTTTTGGTTGACTATTTTCACAGGTGAGGGAATGTCCCGGGGCATCCCTCTGGTCCTTCCTGTCATCATTGGCTCTGTAGCCATGGAGTGAGTGCTCTGTGGTCGTCCTGCCAGTGCTAGGTCTGCCTATTCCAACACACATACAGGGATTGGAGAAATAGCCGCAGGTTGGATACACTGACCCCACTGGGCCCTCTGAGGTGGACTTGGGCCACAGCTTCCGGGTCCCTGCTTGGCCGTAGATCCTGTGATGTGTTGGGTCCAGTAGGACTGGCATTGATTCAGGGTGTGGGGGTAGTTCCCTCTCCCCATGGTCAGCTCTCCTATAAAATAGCCACGGGTCCTTCCCCAAGGGGACCTGGGTTCCCCTAAACTGAGGGGCCATAGGCCTGTGAGCTGGCTTAGGTGAAGAGCCGAGAGAGGCCACGCCTCTGCACGGTGGTCATCGGGCCAGCTTTCTGTCTGTCCTGAGCCTTTCTGGCATGTGGAGTAGGGGCTGAGCAGCCTGCCTGTCTTTTTCTCTCTTGGCCTCTGCTGCAGCTCCATCTGGGCTAGACTGCTCTGATTGGCACATCATGCTTGTGCCCACTGTGTCTCTGGAGCTCACGGCCAGCGAGCCCCTGACACCTCCACTTCTCAGCACCCCCTTCCTGTTGGGGCAGCAGCCTGTTGTGATGCTGGCACCACCTCCTGCTGCCTCCTGGCCAGCAGAGCTTGTCAGAGGCGCGGGTGCCCCTCACCAGTGCCTGGAGGATAAGAGAGTTGGTGTCATCCTTGTCTTGCTCATCAGCCTTGCCGCCTTCTGCAATCAGTCTCTGCCCCTGCACACTCAGGCGATGCAATCTGTACATGGTGCCATCCCTAAGGCATTTAAAAGGCCATCGAGGAAGGTATTTTTAGGCCCAGATCTTCAGACATCCTGTTGTGCACCCCGAGGCGTACCTGCATCAGGTGAGCGCCCAGTGAGGCTGTCATTTGTCCTCATCCATCCTGCTCAGCTCCTGCCAGACTCAGAGATGGCTGCGGGCTCTAAAAATAGTCCCATCTTAAGGTACTGCTTATGCAGCCCTGGAAACCTCCTCCTCCTCCAGCTGGGGATCAGATTATGTCCCCCAGGCAGGGCATTGTTCGCCCTTTAGCCGGGCTGACTGGAGCTACTATTCATGCTCACAAAGGCTCTGATCTCCTTTGAATTCCTGTAAGCCTTTTGCCTGGTAATCCCTTCCAGCAGGCAGCACACCCGTGGCTGCAGTTGGCAGTCGCGAATATGCCTCCCTCCCTTCATTTTGCCCTGATTATCTCTTTATCTCATTAAGGGCCTTGAGCTCTTGTGTTAACATGTGAAAAGTAGGTAGTGGCTTCAAATTGGCTTTGAAGATGCAACTTGGAATTTTCTCTTTCAAAGCAGGGGGCTGTTATGGGAGTCAGGAGGCTCCATTCATTCTGGACATCAGCGCTAATGAGCTGTTTGAACTTGGAAAAGTCAGTGGCTTCACTGGGCCTCAGTTTCCTCATTTGTGAAATGAAGGGGCTGTGTTCATTCAGCATGATATCGGAGTTCCCTTTCAGCCTAGGTATCGTGTGGTTCTCTGACTTCTGTCGGCACAGACACAGTTTCTGTGGGCAGTGCTGCTGCGGTTTGTGCCATATGTCTGGTTTTATGTGGCAGCCTTGAGCCCTGCCCTCTGCCGGCTCCTAGTCATTGTGATATTAATTCGGCACAGGAAGTTACATTACAGAACCTCAGTTCAGGAGCGTGTGAAAAACATAGATAAAAGATGAAATGCCTCCCTGCTTATTAACAGCATTTGCCTTCTAAAGATTAGGTTTTCCTTCTTAAAAGCTCCTTAGTTTCTTTGATGGCTGCTGGATGTGTGTTGAACACTGTTGGGATCCACACAGCTACAGAAATCCTCAGAGTTTCAGAGCTGATGAGTATGTCCCCATGGGTGCTTCTTCCTTAGTGCTGTTTACCTTCCATTTCATCTGCCTCTGAGGATGTGGAGTTTCTGGAGGTAGGAATGCCAACTGTATTTCCTGAGCCCCAAGCACACTCCTTACTCAGCAACGTGTGCAGCTTCGTTCATTTTTTTGGGTGACGATGCCAGAGACACCTCCTGCCTGCACACCCCTCTAATGTTCTGGTCTTCCTCAGGGTGGTTTCTGGTGTTCACATACTTTATTAAGGCACTTTGAACTCACCTCGTACCCACCAGATTTTCAGACTAAATTCTAGAAGGACAATTTTATAATCTTTTGGAAAATCTATGTAAATTTTTCATACACTAGACATTTCATTAATTTTATTTTAGTTACCAATTTTTAGAAAAATGCATTGGGGCCAGGTGCGGTGGCTCAAGCCTGTAATCCCAGCACTTTGGGAGGCTGAGGAGGGCGGATCACAAGGTCAGGAGTTCGAGACCAGCCTGACCAACATGGAGAAACCCCGTCTCTACTAAAAATACAAAAATTAGCTGGGCATGGTGGCGGCACCAGTAATCCCAGCTACTCAGGAGGCTGAGGCAGGAGAATCGCTTGAACCCGGGAGGCGGAGGTTGCAGTGAGCCGAGATGGTCACTCCAGCCTGGGTGACAGAGCGAGACTCGGTCTCAAAACAAACAAACAAACAAACAAACAAAAACAGCATTGGTTCATAGTGTTTTGCAAAGGAATGGGGGTGAGGTTGTCTTCTTGTGTCATGTGAACTCGCACGTGGCTAACATAGTTGATGCTTCTACCCACTGCAGTTCCCTTTTTTCATCTGTCCTGCCCGGAGGAAGCCTCCTCTGGCCCCTGCCTTTGACACTTCCCTAGCAGTGCTTGGAGCTTCCTTATTTGCCGTACACAGGAAAGTCTTTATCCAGTTCTTCTGGGGCATGGCAAGCTGAAGATGATTGGGACATTCATTACAATAAGGAAGCAGCCTGCCTATCCATCAGTGCTAATGAGCCGGATGAACGGATAAAGAAACATGGTACAAATGGAGCATTGCTCAGCCCTAAGAAGGAAGGAAATCCTGCCATCCGCAGCAGCAGGATGAACCTAGAGGTCTTGAGTGGAATAAACCCAGCACAGAGAGTCAGACACCACGCAATCTCACTTACATGCAGAATCTAAAAATACTGAAGTCACAGAAGCAGAGCAGGTGATAACAGAGGCTGGCGGGAGGGCGGATGGGGAAAAGGGAGATGTTGGTGAAAGGATACAAAGTTTCAGTTAAGGGGAGAAATGAGTTCCAGAGATCTATTGGATGTCTTGCTGACCACAGTTAGTAACAATGTATCATGGTAACTGAAGTTATTAGCAATGTATCATATACTTGAAAATTGTTAAGAGAGTAGATTTCAAGTGTCTTCACAACAAAAAATGATAAGTATGTAAGGTAATGCAAATATGAATTGGCTTGACTTAGCCATTCCACAATGTATACACATATCAGAACATTACTATAAATATATGCATTTTTTAATTAGAAAGTTAATGGTGCTGCAGCATCATTTGTTGGGGACACAGAGCCATCTGGAAATACTGGGTTCCAGGCCTCTGTGTGCTATTACTGGGGCAAGGAAACTGACAGAGGAGCTGGGTCCGGCACCGTGCCGCGTCCTGGGGAAGGCGCTGGCCGCACCGTGCCGCGTCCTGGGGAGGGCGCTGGCCGCACCGTGCCACCTCCTGGGGAGGGCGCTGGCCGCACTGTGCTGCATGCTTTTGCTGCATGAACCCGGCTCACCTAGGTGGTGCGATGTGATGTGGATAGGAGATCCTGGGCCCACTCCTGCTTGTTGTATAGTGCAGTTCTGTGGCTTCTCTGATTATGTGCTATTTGTAGTGGTGGGGCCGTTGAGGGGTGGTCTCTGGTCAGGGCATCAGGGCTTTGTTTTTGCAGCCAAGAAAGGCAAACTCATACTTGGACTAAGTGTCGGATGAACTTCTTCCTGTTCTCAGGATGGAAGGGGCTCCAGGCATCACCTTGCCACATGCAATACTGTGGGTGGGTCTCCAATTTCTCAGTCTTTTTACTTCCAGGCTTCTAACCAGTCACCAGGCAGTTGGCCATGCCCTTGAGTATGGGCCACTTTTTGCACGCCACAGGGATGGCCAGAGCAGTGCTGGGAGCCCTGCCTCATGATCACCGTTCTTCACAATCAGCTTTCCCTCCATGCTCTCCCAGCCGTCTCCTGAGCGTAGCCGTCTGACAGCGCCTGCCAATGTTTGGCTTATGCCCTCTCCCGAACTCATTGATCTGTAAAGCAGCTCAGATCTCTTCTCCTTCTTCAGCTAAAAGTACAGGACTCCCACATGGCCACAGGCATGAGTGCAGGGAGGGTCCGGGGCAGAGAAGTCTTGTATGGTTTGGGCACCTACCATGCAGTTTTCTGGTGCCCTCTGGTCCTGCCTGACTCTGTCCTGTGTGCACCGTCTCTACTTTGTAGTCAATCACTGCTGGCCCTGCCCGACCCTGTGCCGTGGTGGGTATGACTGAGCTCTTCTCATGAGTGACACGTGGCACTTGGTGCCCCATGGCCAGGAGCTCCATTATCAGGACCCAGAGGCATGGTCAGAGCTGTTTATCAAAAGACATGGTTCTGTGCTGCAGATGGCATGGCTTGCTCCAGAACCCCGGGACCACGTGGTGACTCCAACCGGGCTCTCCACAAAGTCCACACTGCATGCTTTCTACCACTGACAACTTCCACACCAGCAGGTCTACTAGGCGTCCCCAGAAGCAGGGCTGCCTCTCCCCAGCCTGATCTTGCTGTAGTGCCCTCTTGGCCTAAGCTGGCAGCCTTACGTGCTACCCCAGCATCTGGGCTGGTCCAGCCTTCCTAGGTGTATAATGTGTCACCTCTAGAATGAAGAGGGCTGGCAGGCATTACAGCGTCTTTTCTGCTTTTGCTCTGGAGGGGAAGTCCTGGTGTCCTCAGCAGAAGTAGCAGGTCCTGGAATTGCCATAGCTTGTGTTTCCTGCCGTCTTGCCAAGGTCTTCTGCACGCTCCTCCTACGTTGTCACTGTAATGTCATGAATGCAGTGGGTCCATGTGATGTTCTGTGGGCTGCCCAGGTCTGTTTGGACTATATTATGATAGAAAATGGGAGACCAGCACAGCTCTGTGGCAAGAGTGTATACTGTTTTCCTTTGCTTGTGAATGCGGATGGTTTCTCATCTTCTTTCTTCATTGGGATAGGACAGCGTGCATTTGACGGTCTGTGTACACACATCATGTGCCTGAGGGCCTGGGAATCTGCTCTAACAAGACTCCACAGCTGGCACTGTGGATCTGAGTGGGCTCCTGCTTTGTTGAGCTTAGAGTCATCCACAGGCATTCTCCAGGGCCCATTAGCTTTCTGCAGAAGCCAATGGTGAATTCAGCAAAGCCACACCCACTTCATATCCTTGATTCTTAAAGTAAGCGCAGGTCTCTACCACTCTTTGATGGGTTGGGACGGGGAGGCAGTTTCAGAGGCTTCTATGTGACCTTCCCATTAACTCCACAGGTCACAGGCCCGGTATGGGTATTTCACAAACTGCCCAGGATGTCAATCCCATTTGACCTTAACAGACCTTGGAGTTGCCCACCAGGTGCGCCCACAGACTCAGAGGATCTGCGGTAAGCCAGGCCCTGCCTAGGACTTTACTTATCACCTGGCATCCCCATGCCCCACTCGGGCCGGAGGACAGTGGGACACTGGGTTGCTGGACCCCTGTGCGTGTCTTTGTGTTCAGCAGACCTGGAAATGTGTGGGGATTACCCTTTGCCCAGGGAATGGCATTCAGGAAAATGGCCGTGGGTCCCTTTGGGTACAGACTAGGGTAATCATTGCAGTGTACACCTGCCCTAGGGTTGCAGGTTCCTAACCCGTGGGGAATCTGACCATCTTTACCGTCAGTGGGTTCCAGCTCTGAAGCTGCCTCAAATCTGGATCTGGGTAAGGGATTGTGACTGTGAGTGGGGTGACTTCCCTCAGCCTTCTGCTCATTCATTCTTGTTTTCTTTTTAATATGTATGTACGTTATGTACGTTTGCACTCATGTGTGCATGTGTCAGGCAGGCAGTACTCTCCTTGAATGCCTTGTCTGTTTCACCCCTAGGAATACCAACTCTATTAACTGTCTCCACAGCCCTCTGCCAGTTGAGCTTCCTTGGCCGGCACTCTGGTCTCGTTGGTCATTATGATAATTGCCACCCCCTGACTTCTGGCAGTTACATACCGTCACCCGACCACATTTACTTGGGGCTGGGTTTAACTGCCCAAGTCAGAAAGCTGGACAAAGCTTATTATCAACAAGCCAAGCTTTGTGACAGCTTCTTCTAAGAGTGGAATTATTGGGTCATCTGGTAAGTGAATGTTCAACTGCAAAAGTGTTTTCCAAAATGTGTGTACTGTTTTACACTCTTTTTTCACAATCCGTGAGAGATCCAGTTACTGTACATCTTTGCCAATACTTGCTATTGTTGGTCTTTTTTAAATGAAAATTTCACCACTCTAGTAAGATGTGTGGTGAGTCTCACATGGTTTCACTTTGCCTCCTTCCAATTATTAATAATGTTGAGCATCTTTTCTGGTGCTTGTTGACCATTCATATGTTTTCTTTTGTGAAGTGTCTGATTTGGCGTAAGGTACATTTAAAAAAATTGGGTTGTTTCATTATTAAGCTGTGGGAGGTCTTTATATTTATTCTGGATACAGGCCTTTTGTCAGATATATGTATTATAAATATCTCCCCCAGTCTGTCTTTTCTTTTCTTTTGTTTTCTTTCTTTCCTTTCTTTCCTTCCCTCCTTCCCTCCCTCCCTCCCTCCCTCCCTCCCTCCCTTCCTTCCTTCATTTTTTGAGATGGAGTCTCGCTGTGTTGCCCAGGTTGTAGTGCAGTGGCACAATCTTAGCTCACTGCAACCTCCACCCCCCAGATTCAAGCAATTCTCTTGCCTCAGCCTCCCAAGTAGCTGGGATTATAGGCGCCCACCACCATGCCCAGCTAATTTTTATATGTTTAGTAGAGACGGGGTTTCACCATGTTGGCCAGGCTGCTCTCAAACTCCTGACCTCATGATCCGCCTGCCTTGGCCTCCCAAAGTGCTGGGATTACAGGCGTGAGCCACCATGCCCGGCCACTGCTTCATTTCTTTAATAGTGTCTTTCTGAAAGCAGAGTTTTTCATTTTGATTTTAAAGAAGTTTTAAATTTTAATGAAGTCCAATTAATAGGGTCTTTTGGTGAATAGAAGTTCTTAATTTTAATAGATTCTATGTTATTCGTCTTTTTCTGTATGATCCAGCTTTTTTTCCTGCCATTTAAGGAATCTTTGCTTGTCCCAAGGCTGAGAAGATATTCTACTATGTATTCTTGAAAAGATTTGTATTATTTTATCTTTACGTCTTTATCATCAGTCTAGCTGGAATTGGTTTTTGAGTATGTTATGAGGTAGGATACAAGTTTATTTTCTTTCATATGGATATACAATTGATCCAGCATCATTTATTGAAAAGACCATCCTTTCTCCACTCTTGAGTGTTATTTTTGTAGTAAAACAAGTGACCATCTTTCTAAGGGTCTGTTTCTTTCCAGCTTCCAAAACTTCATTGCTCTTCTATCCTTGTGGGTTTATGTTTTTAAAAGAAAATAGAAAGAAAAACCCCTCTTTGTTACAACATTAGAAGGGTTTCAGAATGGAGTAAAAGTTGAAGTGAGTGTAGATTCTCTTATCTATATTTTCTTGGAGGTTCCTCCATTGCCTTCTCTACTCTGTGAAGTTGATGGACTGTGGGGAGAGAGGTGAATAGCGCTACATGAACCGGATACGTGGAAACTTCATTGTCCAGCTGGTCACTTAAACATTGTATCTGGTGTAGACTTTGAAGGGAGGTAGCTTACCTGAGAGTGGAAAATCTTACTTCACCTGTACCACTTTTGCTTTATTGAGGGCAACGTGGATATAGTTAAGGAGTTTGGTGAGCTGGCGTTTACAGGAAAGTCACTTTCTTTACACCTGAACAGAATTCTCCAAAGAAGGAACTTGTTGGGGATGTGGGGGGGAGTGTCTGCCATTAGTCATTTCTTCCACAGAATAGCTGTTTTTACTATTCCCTGCCTTTGTCATCTTGTGTATTTCATTCATTTTGAAGTGCAGCCACAATTTAGTGCTCCCATTATTAGTTCTATAACTTGTAAGATTAGACATGTATTTTTCTACCATTTAGAAAGATTAAGATAATCTACACCTCTGTTGGGTTAGTGTGTGCTAGTGGGTTAGGCATTCATTTTTTTCTTTCCTACTCCAAATTGCCAACTTTCCCTTTGGTTATTTTTGTGTTTCCAGGAGTGCCATTGCCAATCTCGTGGGCTCTGCAGAAAGATCGTGTAACTGAAAATTTCAGCAAATAAATAAATAAATAAATAAATAAAATTCCCTTGTAGACAGAACTGTCTGTACACTCCATTTTTGTAAAGTTGGAAGTGTGAACATTATATGAATATATGATGGAGTTTTTTTTCTTTAAGCCATAATTGCATGTTCTTTTAGACCCAATATGGTATATAAAATGGTCACTGAATTTGGAATCAGAAAATCCTGGTTGAAGTCTTAATCTTTTAACTTCTTATCATTCAATCATGGTTAACAATGGTATTAATAATATTCACAAAGTTAGATATTTTGTCATTGAGTTCGTTGCTATATTGCTTGGTCGATTAGTTGATATTGAGATCGCAAGAGCATCATCACCAGTAAGTGATACATTTTCGATTGTAACCTAAGGTCGTTGTTATTTTGTAATGCCATGCTGTTTTCCTTCTTGTACTACCCATGAAATGTTTTTTTATGTTCTAACGCAATATATAATATTTTTATGTTCTTCACTTGTTATCAATTGATGATTTAATGTTGAATCCTGTTTGCTAGTTTATGATTATTCATTAAAGGCCATCTTTAAAAGGGAGAGGTGTTTAGCACATATTCAATTGAAAACTAAATGGAAAGCAAATTCTGAAAGGATTTATGTTCAAGAATTCAATGTTAAATCTAATTTTTAAAAAATTTATCATATTGAGAAATTTTCTAGAGCATCAGAGACCTTCCTTGGAAACAAGTGACCCCAGTCTTTCTAATGCAGGTTGAGTCTCTATCCACAAAGTGGCTTTTCTAGGTACTCTAGATTCCTGGAGCATCTTGAAAATAGAGTATCAAGACTCAGGGAGACCGAGCAGCCACCAGCAGGATCGTGTAAGGATGGCACTCTCATTTCTAGGAGAAGAGGCTGTATTGATGGTGACATGACCAGGCTGGGCTGCCACCTGCTGCCCACCAGGGCTCCAGGCCTCAGCATGCGATGCCTCTGAATGGCATTACCTTCCGGTCCCAGATACTCATCACTTTAGGTAAACTGAGGCAGAATAACATGCGTGACAGGATTTCCGAATGGAATATCGCTCAGTGTGCCTAATAGTCATTTAAGGTGATCTCATACAGCTATGGAGAGAAAACCCGTTTAATGCCAACCTTAGACACCAGCTGCGTGCGTGGTGATTATATCTTTAGTCCCCCATTTTGCTCCCTTTTTTGAAGAACTATTGAAGAAGAACGGAAGGAAATCGATTTTGAGGAAATTAAATTTTCTTTTGAAACAGCATGATGGTTTTTAAAACAAAGAGAAAGTGGGGAACAGGATGCTGATTACGAACCGTGCCGGGTTCTGCCTGCCGACTCAGGCTGTGCTTCTCCCTGCTCCGTCTTTGCTGCCTGCAATCGTACATATTTTAAAGAGCAGATGCGCGCTGCTTATGGATTTGTGTAAATGTGCGTGTGCTGTCTGCAGAATGCGGGGCACACCGTGCTCTGTTGACATTATCCATTATGCTCTGTTGCTCAGCTTCAGACAGCAAAGTCCTGACATGTGCAGCCGTGTGGAGGATGCCGAAGGAATTGGAATCAGGCAGCCACGAGTCCCCTGATGATTCATCCAGCACTGCACAGACCCTGGAGCTGCTCTGTCACCTTGACAACACAGCCCATGGCAACATGGCCTGGTAGGATTTTGCATATTTCATGCGCCCAGAACGAGCCTGCAGGTTGGCCAGGTGCAGGAGCTTGTGCAGATTCCTTTGCAGGAGCCACCGTCCACACCTCGGAAACGCTCCTTTCTTTTAAAAAGCTGCGAGAATTTGATTTTTAATTTTAGTCCCTGTGTTTTCTAGATTAGCCGCATTGACAGAAATGTAGCCAGCGCGCCTGCATCCCCACTTTCTCCTCTTCATCTAAGAGGAGTGTTGCCCGTGGGGACCTGCCAGAGGGTAAAGGGTCAGGCACTGCACTGCCCTCGAGCGCTGTGTGGCTTTTCAGCTTGGTCAGCATGCACTTATTCACACTCACATGGCAATTATTTACCACTTCAGGTTGAGGCTTACAATCCCTTCCTCCCGTGGACAAAGCATGAATGCGTGGTGTGCCTGTGGGGCTGCGTGCCCAAGCCCGCCCGTGTCCGGCATGTGGTGTGTCATTCACGTGGCTCCCTGGCCAGTCGCTGCTTCATGAGCTTGGAGGCCTGGCTGTGTGCACCCACTGGTCATTCCCAGGGACCTCTCCACGGCAGTCACAGCTGCTCTCTGAAGGCCCTGAGGCCTTGGTAAAAATTAAGAAGCCGTATTTTCTAAAGGAGATTGCGGGGGCATACTGTTGTTATGAGTGTTTACAATAACGATAGTGATTGTTTTACTTAATGCATTAACACATACACATGTGCGTGTGTGTCTGCAAGAGACAAATCGTTTGTACAGTGACTTCTGTCTCGTCAGTTCTACCAATTAAATAAATTTAATACAACAAATACTTATTAAATACCTGCTACAGAAACCCTGCCAGGCTCCAGGGACACCAAGGTGACAAGTTAGAGGGCCCGGCCTCCGAGAGTCATGATCTCCACGGGGAGACCCAGGGTGTACACAACTAACTGTGGCTGGGCCAGCCGTGGCGTACCCCGAAATCATTACGAACTGTACGCTGTGGCCCCGGAAGGAGCAGCCATTAATTGTTATTAGAGGAATTGAAGAGGGATTCGCTTACGAGGTGGAGTTTGGAACGGGGACTGAGGACCGACTCAGGTTTCCCTCGTCAGGTATGGAGGAGAGCAGTGCTGAGGGTCAGGCAGTCTGTGGCTCCGGATGCTCTCTGTGTATCAGTTTGTGGTGGAATTATTTTTATACTTGCTGTGCTTCTACCACGTCGGTGGATATTTCTTCTTACGGAGATGCTCTGAGTATTAAAATCACAGCCAGTCTTGCACAGTAAGGGGAGGCAGATGAAGAGTCCCAAAGTCCCCAGGAGTGATTGCCACTGCTGTCACTCCCCGCCCGAATGCAGGATCTCTGTGCAAACCACACAGCACTGTTAGGAGTTCCACATTTCAAATGATTGCCACATCCCCAGCAAATAGACATTTGTGCGCATGTGTGTGATGCACATGTGCACACATTTGTGCTTGTGTCTCTGTGCACACGTATGTGTGCACATTTGTGTATGTGTTAATGTGTGTACACGTTGCAGGAGACACCGGCACCAGGGAGCAGATGAGTGAGACTCTGCGCAGGTCAGTGGTCACGTTAGGGAGGTTAGCATGTGTAGCGGATGGCAGTCCTGCTGGGATGTGCAGAGACAGGTGAGCTCAGAAAAGGGACCTTGGCCCTGCCTGGGGACAAGGAGCTGTCAGACTGCTTCTCAACTTCCCACCTTGTGCAGACACTGTATGCAAAGACAGGCCACATGGGTGTGTGTCATGGGGAACTGATTATTAGATTGTAATGTTAAATTGCATCATACCTACATAGACTTATGAAAATAGTTGTTGAAGGTGGGGTGCAGTGGCTCACACCTGTAATCCCAGCACTTTGGGAGGCCAAGGTGGGTGGATCACCTGAGGTCAGGAGTTCGAGACCAGCCTGGCCAACATGGTGAAACCCCATCTCTGCTAAAAATACAAAAATTAGCCGTGTGTGGTGGCACGTGCCTGTAGTCCCAGCTATTTGGGCAGCTGAGGCAGAAGAATCACTTGAATCTGGGAGGCGGAGGTTGCAGTGAGCTGAGATCAGGCTACTGCACTCCAGCCTGGGTGAGAGAGACTCCGTCTAAAAAAAAAAAAAAAGAAAGTAAGAAAGTAATTGTTGATATTAAACAGGCAAATTCAACTATCCTCAGATCTACCTTGGAATGCCATTTGCTCTGATTTTGCCTCTGTTGTTCAAAGTATTGCTTGAATTCCATTTTGTTATCCAATATATTATTGCATATTCTTTTTTCTCTTAAGCTTTTTATTTTGAGGTTGTACATTCACATATAGTTATAGGAGTAACAGAGAGATCCCGTGTATCCTTCAGCCAGTTTTCCCCAATAGTAACACTGCATAACTATGGTACTGTATCACAAACAGGAAACTGGCATTGATACAGCCCACTGAACTTACACAGATTCCTCCTGTTTATATGCATTCGTGTGTGAACATTGACATCTGTGCCATTTATTGTGTGTGTGGGTTCGTGTAGCCACCACCAGAGTCAAGACACAGAACAACTCCAACCCTGGGTCCCTTGTGCTATGTTATATTTATAACCACAGCCACCTCCCTTCCGCCTCCAAGGCCTTAGCCCCTGGCCACCCCGAATCTGTACTCTATCTCTGTATTGTTATTTGGAGAAGGTTCTATAAATGGAATCACCCACAGTGTAACCTTTAATAACTGATGTTCTTTACTCGGCTTGATTCCCTGGAGGTTGAGTTGCTGCTTCATTTTCAAGTTTGGGTTCCAGCCACCATGCGTGCTGGTCAGTGGCTGGTTCCTCTTTGCTGCGGCGGGATATCCCATGGCATGACGCACCACGGTTTGTTAAGCACTTGCCTGTTGAAGCTCATCTGGGTTTTTCCTTGTTTTTGGCGATTATGACTACAGTTGCGGTAAGTATTAATGAACAGGTTTTTGTATGAACAGGAAGTTTTATTTCTCTCGGCTCAGTTAGTTTTGTGTGGAGCTGCTGCACGTGTGATGCCATGACAGAGCGTGAGGGCTCCTCCTCTCTGCGTCCTCCCCAGCATTTGGTGTCATCATGCGTGTTCTTTTAAGTGTCTTCCATGGTGTGAAAGTGTTATGATTAGATAGGGAATTTGATTTGGGGGAACGTCGGTCTGGTGAATACGGCACAGGTGAAGGCTGCCCTTTGGGGTCAGGCTCCAGGTGCTTGGTGGTGGTTTTGTTTGCCTCCTTTTGGCATATAATTGGCACCAAGAACAGCTCCAGGAGATGTTTACTGCACAAAGCTTCTGGCCACCTGGGAGTGCCCGAGAATGCCACACGGTTCCCCACACTCACGTCGCTACCACTCCAGCTGCCATCACGCCTGCCATGGGTGCTCCCTGCAGACTAGAGGCATGCCCCACACCGCAGGAAATGGTGTTAGGGGCTCCTGTCCTCCTGGCCATTTCAGCTTTTGCCTGTCTGGAGCAATCTGATGTCCTAATTTCCATCACCCCTCCTGTGTCTGTCTCAGCACTCCAACAAGCAGAGGCTGAACAGGGCACCCCACCAGTCGCCTTTAGCTCCTGCTAGTGGGAACAGCGAAGGCTAAGGAAGGAACTTATAGAGCCTTATGACCCAGTGTGCCCCCCAGAACACTAATCAGACATGCTCCAGAGCCAGGCAGCCTATGGAAGCAGACAGAGACTAGCTGGGAAGTACTGAGTCCGGTTTCTCGTCCTCACCCACTCCTCGGGAGCAGTAGGGTCTTTAGGAAGTCACTCATTTCTCTAGCTCAAACCTTCATCCCTGAAACGGCGATGACGTTGCTCAGCTGATGGTTGTGTGGCAGGGCCTCTACATGGTGTCCACCAAGAGTCCAGTTCTGTAAAATATTTGAAGAGATTTATTCTGAGCTGAATATGAGTGACCACGGCCCTCAGGGGGTCCTGGGAACATGTGCCCAAGGTGGTCGGGGCGCAGCTTGGTTTTATACGTTTTAGGGAGTCATGAGACATCAATCAAATACATTTAAGAAATACATGGGTTTGGTCCAGAAAGGGGGGACAACTCGAAGCAGGAGGCTTCCAGACTGTAGGTAAATTTAAACATTTTCTGGTTAACAATTGGTTGAATTTGTCTAAAGACCTGAGATCAACTGAAAGGGATGCCTGGGTTAGGAAAAAGGACCGTGGAGACTCAAGTTCTTATTGCAGAGGAAACTTCAGGTGGCAGCTTCCGAGAGAACAGGCTATAAAATGTTTCCTATCAGACTTAAAGCCTGTGTCGATGTTGATGCCAGAGAGGTAGAATGAGGCACGTCCGATCCCCACTTCCCATCATGGCCTAAAACAGCCTTTGAGGTTAAATTTTAAAAGAGCCCTGGCTAGGGAGAAAGTCCGTTCAGATGGGTGGGGTTCTTAGAGTTTTTTATTTCTGATTTACAGTGGAAATGTGTCCCTTACTATATTTGCTAAGGAAGATCCTAAAAACAAGGCAGTGCCGGGGTTCCTGTAAGGGCCCCTCAGGTC
Organism: Homo sapiens; assembly: GCF_000001405.40. NCBI lineage: Eukaryota > Metazoa > Chordata > Mammalia > Primates > Hominidae > Homo > Homo sapiens. The sequence continues at coordinate 3,252,797 of NC_000002.12, read as the reverse complement.
CCCGCCAGCCCTGGTGCTCTGCAGCTCTGCCCGGCAGGGATGGAGCCCCTGAGCTGGCCTTAGAGGACCTGCCCCATCACCAGCCCCACTTAGACGCTCCTGTCTCAGCCTCGCCTGGTTAACCCTTCCCTCTCAAGTCACCATGCTCTGCCCCACCCTGTGATTTCTTGCCATTTTGCCCAATTTTTTGTTTTTGTTTTTGTTTTGGAGATGGAATCGCCCTCTGTCACCCAGGCTGGAGTGCAGTGGCATGATTTCAGCTCACTGCAACCTCTGTCTCCCGGGTTCAAGCAATTCTCTTGCCTCAGCCTCCTGAGTAGCTGGGATTACAGGCACCCACCACCACGCCTGGCTAATTTTTGTATTTTTAGTAGAGACGGGGTTTTGCCATATTGGCCAGGCTGGTCTTGAACTCCTGACCTCAGGTGATCCGCCCACCTCAGCCTCCGAAAGTGCTGAGATTACAGGTGTGAGCTGTTGCACGTGGCCCGTTTTGCCGTTTTATCTTCGTAGGAGTTGCCGCTGCTCAGTACTCCCGTCTCTGTTCTCACTCACGTGTGGTGTTCTCTGTGGACGCTGAGCCTCTGCAGAAGCTGCTGACTTTGTCAGGTCCGAGGCTGTGTCCTCAGCACCAAGGACAGCACAGGGCGGACACTCCGCGTATTTGAGTGAGAAAATGAATGCTTTGCAACAACCATATCGTATTGAACCGTTCTGTGAACGAGGCCCCTTTGCTAGGGCTTTGCATGCATTACCTCACTCATGCAAATCCTGTAAAGTAGGGACTGTCCTTTCCCATGGCCCCAAGAGATTAAGGTAAAGGTATCTGGAATTACTCACTCCTACAGAGGGAGTATTCAGGATTCATAGCCAGAAGTCTCGCCCCAGAACTCCAGAAACACTGGGATCACCTCCCTGTTGAATGAACAGAAGGAGCCATTTGTGTTCCTCACAGTGTGATTATGAAATTGTCTCTGTTCCTGGGAATATAAATGTATCTTCATGACAGTAAGCGTTGAGGATGTTTCAGTATTTCTAGCTGGTCCTTTTGGTTGATAAACATTAATAAAGTATGCTGTATATGGGAATTAAGCATTTTGAAAATAACAAAATGCCCTTCTTTTTAAACCTGCTTTCCCCTCTCTACCTCTGGTTTGCTTCTTCGTCAGCTATAGTGACTTGTGGGAGAGATGGTGGACTTCAAGGCAGCAGACCTAGGGTGGCGGGCTCTCGTTTCAGATTTACAGGTAGTTATTTGTAGTGTTCCAACTTTGGGCAAGTCATTTCTGTTGAGGCCTTGTTCCCTTGTGTGTGGAGTGGGGGTGGTTGTGGGGCCTCGGATTCTTTCCAGTTCTACGTTTATTAGATGTAGAGGACATTTATTTATTTGTTTATTAGATGCAGAGTCTACATTTATTGACTGTTGCTCAGTGCCACATCACTTTGTTTTTAATGAATCAAAAATAAATTACAGACCCTCTTCCCACCCTCCCTTTAGCCTCACAGTGGCTGACACCCCTGCTACTCCAGCCAAGGCAGCCTGCCTCAGGAGTAGGAACTTACAGAGGGCACGGCCGCAGTCTTCTCGCTGAAAAGGACTTTGGAAATCATTCAGATGAGTTCCCTCTGTGGATGAAGTCAGTTCAGCAGACCGCTGGCCGCCTGGGTGGAATTGAACTGAACACTCCCTTGGGGGTGCTTTTATCAAATTATGCCCATCTAGTGTAATGTTTTAACTATTTTTCAGTATATCTCACACTGTTATATTTTATTTTATGTGTGTTAGCTGCCTCTGTTAGTCTGTTTGCATTGCTATAAAGGAATACTGAGACTGGATAATTTATTAAAAAAAAAAAGAGGTTTATTTGGCTCAGGGTTCTGCAGGCTATATAAGCATGGTACCAGCATCTGCTCTTGGTGAGGCTTTAGGAAACTTACAACCATCGTGGAAGGTGAAGGGGGAGCCAGGACATCACTTGTTAGGAGAAAGAAGCAGCTGCCAGACTCTTTTAAACAAGCGAATCTTGTGGGAACTAACTGAGCGAGAAGACTCAGTCATCACCAAGGGACGGGTGCTCAGCCTTTCATGAGGGATCCGCCCCTGTGGTCCAGTACCTCCCACTAGGCCATGCCTCCAACATTGGGATCACATTTCCACATGAGATTTGGAGGGGACTAACATTCAAACCATACCATTCTGCTTCTGCCCTCAAAGAGCTCATGTCCTTCTCACATCACAAAATTCAATCATCTCTTTCCAGTAGTCCCCCAAGGTCTTAACTTGTTCCAGCCCCAACTCAAAAATCCAAAGTCTCATTTGAGACTCAAGGTATGGGCTGTAAAATGAAAATCAAGTTATTTACTTTCAAATTACAATGGGGGTGCAGGCATTAGGTAAACATTTTCATTCCAAAAGGAAGAAATCAGCCAAAACAGAGGGGCAGCAGGCCCCATGCACGTCTGAAACCTGGCAGGAAAGGTATTAAATGTTAAAGCTCCAACACTGACTCCATGTCCTACGTCCAGGGCACACTGGTGTGAGGATTGGGCTCCCAAAACCCTGGCCAGCTGTCCCCATGGCTGCCTGCATGGGTTGGAGTCAAGTGCTTTTGGTTTTTCCAGGCTCAGGATGCAAGCTGCTTCTGGCTCTACCATTCTTGGGCCTGGAGGGCAGAAGGTTCCTTCCTACAGCTCCACTAGGCAGTGTCCTAATGGGGACTCTGTGGGGACTTCAACCTCACATTTCCCCTAAGCATTACCCTAGTGCAGTCTCTCTGCAGTGGCTCCACCCCTGTGGCAGTCTTCTGCCTGGGCACCCAGGCTTTCCCATGTATCCCATGAAATCTAGGGGAAGCTGCCAAGCTTCTTTCACTCCTGCATTCTATGTACCCACAGACTTAGCACCATGTGGAAGTTGCCAGGGCATATAGCTTGCACCTGCCGGAACTGTACCTATGGCCCCTTTGAGCCATGACTGGAGCTAGATGCAGGGAGCAGTGTCCTGAGGCTGCACAAGGAAGTGGGGCCCCGGGCCTGGCCTTGGAAACCATTATTTCCTCCTGGGCCTTTGGACCTTGGATGGGAGGGGCTTTCCCCCTCCCAAGATGCCTGAGATGTCTTCAAGGCCTTTTTCCCATTGTCTTGACTATTAGTGCTTGGTTCCTTTTTAGTCATGCAAATCTCTCTAGTAAGTGGTTGCTCCACAGCCCTCTTGGATTCTTCCCCTGAAAATCCTCTTTGCTTCTTTTCTACATGGCCAGGTTGTGACTTTTCCAAACATTATGCTTTGATTCCCTTCTAAACATAAATACCAACTTTAAGTCATTTATTTGCTCCTGTATCTGATTGTAGGCTGTTAGAAGCAGCCAGGCTACCTCTTGAATACGTTGCTTCTGAGAAATGTCTTCTGCCAGATACTCTAGGTCATTTCTTTTAAGTTCAAACTTCCACAGATTCCCAGGGAATGGACACAATGCAGCCAAGCTCTTTGCTAAGGCATTAACAAGGGTGACCTTTGCTCCAGTTTCAAATAGCTTCCTCATTTCCATCTGAGACCTCATCAGGCCTTCACTGTCCATATTTCTATAAGCATTTTGGCTACAATCACTCAATAAGTCTCTAAGAAATTCCAAACTTTTTCTCATCTTGCTTTCTTTTTCTGAGCCCTCCAAATTCCTTCAACCTCCGCTCGTTACCCAGTCTCAAAGCTGCTCCACATTTTCAAGCATCTTCGTAGCAATGCTCCCCTCCTCAGTACCTATTTAATGTGTTAGTCCATTTTTGTATTGCTATAGGGAAATACATGAGACTGAGTAATTTATAAAAAAAGAGGTTTATTTGGCTCACAGTTCCACAGGCTGTACAGGAAGCATGGCAGCAGCATCTGTTCCTGGTGATTCTTTAGGAAACTTACAATCATTGTGGAAGGTGAAAGGGGCCCAGTGCATCACATGGTGAGAATAGGAGCAAGAGAGAGAATGGGGAAGTCCCAGACTCTTTATTTTTAATTTAATTTAGTTTTCTTTTTTTTAGACAGTCTCACTTTGTCGCCCAGTCTGGAGTGTCATGGTGCCATCTTGGCTCACTGCAACCTCTGCCTCCGCCTTCCAGTATAAGTGATTCTCCTGCCTCAGCCCCCTGAGTAGCTGGGATTACAGGTGCCCACCATCACGCCCGGCTAGTTTTTTTGTTTTTTTTCTTTTTCGAGACGGAGTCTTGGTCTGTTGCCCAGGCTGGAGTGCAGTGGTGCAGTCTCGGCTCACTGCAGCCTCTTCCGCCAGGGTTCCAGTGATTGTCCTGCCTCAGCCTCCTGGGTAGCTGGGATTACAGGCGCCCACCACCACGCCTGGCTAATTTTTGTACTTTTAGTAGAGACAGCGTTTTGCCATGTTGGCCAGGCTGGTCTCGAACTCCTGACCTCAGGTGATCCACCCGCCTTGGCCTCCCAAAGTGCTAGGATTACAGGCGTGTGCCACCGCACCCAGCTCATGCCCGGCTAGTTTTTGTGTTTTTAGTAGAGATGGGGTTTCACCATGTTGGTCAGGCTGCTCTTGAACTCCTGATCTCAGGTGATCCACCCACCTCGGCCTTCCAAAGTTCTGGGATTACAGGCGTGAGACACCACACCCAGACCCCAGACTCTTTTAAACATCCAGATTGTGTATGAACTAACTGAGCGAGAACTCACTCACCACCAAGAGGATGCTGCTAGGCTATTCATGAGGGATCCGCCCCCATGCCCCAATACCTCCCACCAGGCCCCACCTCCAGCACTGGGGATCACATTGCAACATGACATGTGGAGGGGACAAACATCTCGACTATGTCGCTCCCTTAAATTCTTTCTGGAAAAGATGGGCTATAGATAAATAAGAAGAATTAATAAAATTCTACCCTTTGACTGTTACAGAAATTGAGGCTAAATGAGATGAATACCAACGTCACCCTTATAATTGATAACAAATTTTTACTTTCCAAGAGTAGATAAGAAAGGTTTCTTTAGGACACCTTTTAAAAATATTGTATATGGTTATTCTTCTATTAAAGGATTAGGTTTCTCCCTGAGTCAATGATTAAACTGATAGCTAAATGCATCTTATCAATATGTAGAGTGTACATATTGATAGTGAATAATGAGCAATTGACTGTGGACCCACCACATCCTCTAATGCTTCCCAGCACTTTGCACCTACCCAGCTCATGTTTACACCAGTGCCCTTCGGAGCCCTGATAAAGGGGAGGTTTCCTGGAACTCTGCAGGTAAGAGCAGGAAGGAGGTAATTATCTTCTGCAAGTACTGTTCTCTTGTGTCGGCTTGCTGTGAAGTTGGGATGTGGTGTCTCCACAATGCATCATCATCACCATTGGTTCGATGGCTGATTAGCCACAACAGGGTAATTTTATGGTTTTCCATCGCCCTTTGATGATAAAGAGGCTCTCCAGCTGTTCAAGAGTTATGCACCTTCACTGTAGATTAATGCTCCCTGCTGGCTAGTGGAAGCAACGTCAAAATAATGGAAACCTCGGCGCATTCTTGTTGTGCTCCGTTTCCCAAGTGGTATATCAAGAGTCGTCCTAGAAATCGCCTTGTTTCTTGGATGATGAAAATCTCCTTTAAAGGCAAAGTTACTAGAATCCATAATAAGAAGCTTTTGAGGGATGGGAGTGAAGTGAATGACAGTGGCAGCTCCCTCCCTCTCTCCCTCCCTCTCTCCCTCCCTCTCTCCCTCCCTCTCTCCCTCCCTCTCTCCCTCCCTCTCTCCCTCCCTCGCTCTCTCCCTCCCTCGCTCTCTCCTCCCTCGCTCTCTCCCTCCCTCCCTCCCTCCTTCCCCTCTCTCCCTGTCTCCCTCCCTCTCTCCCTCCCTTCATCCTTCCCTCTCTCCCTCCCTCTCTCCCTCCTTCCCTCCCTCCCTCCCTCCCTCCCTCCCTCCTTCCCTCCCTTCCTCCTTCCCTCCCTTCCTCCTTCCCTCCCTTCCTCCCTCCCTCCCTCCCTGCCTCCCTCCCTCCCTCCGTTTCTCCCTTTCTCCCTCCCTTCCTCCCTCTCTTCCTCTCTCCCTCCCATGGCTACCACCCCGGCAGGGAGGAGGCTACAGGGAGGAGTCCTGTGGGCTGGAGCTGAGCAAGGCTGCACTCCACACGCTGTGTGTTTCTCTGACATGTCCAAGTGCCCGTCACCTGCATGGTGGCTAGCTGATCTCTGTGTGCCATCTGAGCCAGTTTCTGGGGGAAGACAATCCCCTCAGTGTAGATGGAGGTAAATATCACAGTGAAATGCCAGACAGGCTGAGAGCATTTAGCATTACCTGGGAAAGCAGGGTGTACGTGTTAAGATTATTATCAGAAGAAAAGAAAAGGGCACAGAAGGCGGTATTGAGGCAGGGGGAAGGAAAGCAGTGTGTGTGGCTCCGCCAGGCACAGGGGGCATTTTGTTCAAAAAGCAGGATTTGGCTTCAGCTCTCTTCATTTTTCCTCATTTTAGTTTAGTATGACAGAACAGTGGAAATTGGCTCAGGTTAAATGTTACAAAGAGGAGTGAACTGATAGCTATCCTTCCCATTTTGTAAATGTTGTGTTTGAGGATAAGTAGTAAGAAAATGTGCTCGAAAGTCTCAGAGACCCTATGATATGATTCTGCTATTAAGGAGAGTAGGGAATTGTCTGTGATTATGGCAGTATTGCCACTGAAGATTTATTAGGTTCTTTTTTTGAGACGGGGTCTGGCTTTGTCACTCAGGCTGGAGTGCAGTGGTGTGATCACGGCTCAACCACAGCCTCGGCCTTCCAGGCTCACGTGATCCTCCCATCTCAACCTCCTGCAAAGCTGGGACCATAGGCATGTACCACCATGCCTGGCTAATTTTTAAATTTTATGTAGAGATGAGGTCTTAATTTCTAAATTTTAGGCAGAGATGAGGTCTCCCTACATTGCTCAGGCTAGTCTCAAACTGCTGGGCGCAAGCAGTCCTCCCACTTCGGCCTCCCAAACACTGAGATTACAGGTGTGAGCCACCGCACCTGGCCCAGATTCTTGTAAGAAAGATTTACATCAGTGCTGGTTGGCTTTAGCCAGCCTAGATGCGCTTAGGTGTGAAGTGCCTCACACTGGCATGCTTTCCTGGTTACTGGCTCCTGAGCAGAGTTGTCTATTAGCTTTCCAAAGGAGCTCAGAATGATGCCTAACATCCCTTAGTTTGTGCAGGAAAAGAACAACTTGTGTTATTACAGGAGAATAGAAAAATGTCTTCTTTCAAGTTTGTTTAAAGTCTCCATTTAAAATGGGGAATGAGGCTGGGCATGGTGGCTTATGCCTATAATCTCAACATTTTGGGAGGCCAAGGCGGGTGGATCACCTGAGGTTAGGAGTTTGAAACCACCCTGGCCAGCATGGCAAAATCCTGTCCCTACTAAAAATACAAAAATTAGCTGGGCACGGTGATGGCTGCCTGTAATCCCATGTACTCAGGAGGCTGAGGCAGGAGAATCACTTGAACTCAGGAGGTGGAGGTTGCAGTGATCCCAGATCGCTCCACTGCACTCCAGCCTGGGTGACAGAGCAAGACCCCATCTCAAAAATACAATACAATGCAATGCAACGCAACGCAACGCAACGGTAAAGTAAAATAAAGTAAAATAAATAAAATAAAATAAAATAAGGAATGGTTATCAGAGTCTCCCTTGCCCCATATAAATGTTATTAAAATTAATTATTAGAAAGGAGATGATGAGAAAATACTTTAGTAAAATGCAAAGTACAGGCGCAACTTATTCTAGGAAGAGTCATAATACAAAAATCTAAATATACAGTGCAGAAAATATAGATAATTACTTATATTGCAAGAGAAATTCCTATCTCCCCTAGGATTTTAGTTCAATTTCCATTAAATAATGTGGTTCAAAAGTATGTTTTTGTTGATCCTTTTATGAAGCAAATGGGTGTTTTAGGTAAAGAGAGGCAGATCGGTGTGTCCAGGCGAATGGCTCAGAAAACGCCTTAGTCCATTTGGGCTGCTTTAGCACAATCCCATAAACCAGGTAGCTTCCAGACAGCAGAAATTCATTGTTATAAGTTCTGGAGGTTGGGAAGTCCACGATCAAGGCGCTGGCTAAGTTGGTGTCTGGTGAGGCCCCTCTTCGTGGTTCACAGATGGCTCCTTTTTGCTGTGTCCTCTAGTGGTGGAAGGGAAGAAGGAGCTCCCTCAGGCCTCTTTGATAAAGGGCACTGATTTTGTTTGCCAAGGCTTTGCCCTCATGATCTGATTACCTTCCGGAGGCTCTGACTCCTAATACTTTCACTTTGGGGATTAGAATTTCCACATGTGAATTCTTGACGGGGTGGGGGGCTTCCAACAAGAACATAGCAGAATAAGTTTTTCAAAATTCTATTTGTGATATTTAAACTTGAAGTTTAAATAATTTTAAAATGTTATGCCTGAAGGTATACTAACCCTGCATGTAAGGAATTTTAACTAGAGTTGACTTTTCTTCTATGTTTAATAAACAGGGGTCAGGGGAGGAGAAAGAGAAGAAGTAGAAGAAAAAGGAGACCAAACTGCTGTTCAGGTTTTAGACAGCACATTTTACCTAGAAATGTGTTATGATTCAGAGGCTATCTTTGGACTTGCTGAGAAGACCCAGGGAGAAGACTGTTTGATATGTTAACGTTTCCCTGGAAGTCCTTTGCTGATGCAGCCGTGCTCTCCCACCTGCATCCTGGGAGGAGCTCTGCAGTGAGGGAGCCCCTGTGGGCCTGGGTTGTCACAGCCTTAGAGAGGAGACACCATGTGAACCCGAGAGAGGACACAGGTGAGCCCTGGGGCTGGTGTGAGTTCTGTCCGTCAAAAGGGCATTCTGAGCCCTGCCTGTGCTCCTCCAACCCTCTGTGGGATGGAGAGTCAGGACTGTGAGGCCTCCAGCATGGAGCCATGTCCTGGACGTCACAGCAGAGCCATGCCCTGTACGTCACAGCCCATATCTGCCCCAAGGACAGGCTTGCCCGGGTTGTGGCCCATTTCCCACCAGAGGATAGGGTTTTGAGGAATGGAGGGCTGGGTGATTAGGGCCGTTGTTTTTCTGCCTACACACTGATAAATGGTCCTGGTTTTGCTTGTGAATTCTTTTTAAATTTTTAAAAAAAATTTTTAATTTAATTTCATTTTGGGTTTTTTTTGAGATGGAGTCTTACTCTTGTCACCCAGGCTGGAGTGCAGTGGCGCGATCTCGGCTCACTGCAACCTCTGCCTCCCGGGTTCAAGCAGTTCTCCTGCCTTAGCCTCCTGAGTAGCTGGGACTACAGGCGTGGGCCATCACACTCAGCTAATTTTTGTATTTTTTAGTAGAGATGGGGTTTTACCACGTTGGCTGGGCTAGTTTCGAACTCCTGACCTCAGGTGATCCACCTGCCTTGACCTCCCAAAGTGCTGGGATTACAGGTGTGAGCCACCGTGCCTGGCCTTGCTTGTGAATTCTTAGTGTTAGAGTGCTTGTTTCTGTTGAGCTATGCCCAAGTTCTATGAAGCATATACTTAGGCTGTTAATTATTGATGTCAGTCTCCACAAAAAAGAAAAAAATTGGAGAAAAAAGCCATTCCCCTCATGTGCAGCCCGTATCTTCCTTTTGCTTTCTGTCAGACTTTAAACGGGGTTATTTGGTTGATGGAGCTATATGTTTGTCCCAGTGAGAGATGTCTGAGTAAACACAGACTTTTAATAACTGAGTTACCCAGTGTCAAACTTCCATGCTTGCCTGTCAGAAAGCGTTCCCAGGAAGCATAGAAACATGATTCTGTTCCTGGAAGTATTCCATAGGTCCCAACATAAAGAACTTGTACATCTGCAGATTTGATCAAAGGGAGCCTGGGGACTGAACGGTGTGATTCTCGGAGTTTCCTTTTTTATACTTCTTGCACGTGTGGAAAGCTGTCACGTGCTTTACTGTGGCTTTGCAAGCAGGAAGAAATTAACCACATTGCCAAGTCTGTGTGTTGTAAACGATTTGTAAGCTGGGGAAATAATTCATTATATTCTCTTTTAAAAGGGTTTCTCAAAGTTCAACTGGTAAGCAATGACATAATCACCATCATTGGATAGATACATATCTTTCTTAAGGCTTCTCCTTCTTCAGTACAGTAATAAACTTGAGTTTTAGGAAGCATTTGGAATCTTAGTCTGAGCACAAGCTTCCACGCCATCTGAAATCTCTGTCTTCCAGCCGTCGATGGCTGCTGCCTGGTGTGTGGTGTGGAGTCAGGGGCCTGAAATCTCTGTCTTCCAGCCGTCAGTGGGTGTGGAGTCGGAGGCCTGAAATCTCTGTCTTCCAGCCATCGGTGGGTGTGGAGTCGGGGGCCTGAAATCTCTGTCTTCCAGCCATCGATGGCTGCTGCCTGGTGTGTGGTGTGGAGTCGGGGGCCTGAAATCTCTGTCTTCCAGCCGTCAGTGGGTGTGGAGTCGGGGGCCTGAAATCTCTGTCTTCCAGCCATCGGTGGCTGCTGCCAGGTGTGTGGTGTGGAGTTAGGGGCCTGAAATCTCTGTCTTCCAGCCGTCAGTGGCTGCTGCCGGGCCCATGGTGTGGAGTCGGGGGCCTGAAATCTCTGTCTTCCAGCCGTCAGTGGCTGCTGCCGGGCCTGTGGTGTGGAGTCGGGGGCCTGAAATCTCTGTCTTCCAGCCATCAGTGGGTGCTGCCTGGTCCGTGGTGTCGAGTCGGGAGCTCCTGTTCTGTTAGGAGCTGTGCCTCTTGCCATTTGTCCTGGTACCTCCCCTTCCCATCCTACATGACGGCGGGGCTAGGAGGCATCTGCACACCATCGAATGTAGTCGATTTTGTGTTGAGGTTGTTCTGAGAATTTCTTGGTGTCCCTAGAGTTATCCCCACCCCACGTGCCAGAGTCCAGAATGGTGAATCACTCATTTTAGAATCACTTATTTGAAGAAGAAAAGTATGCATTTTGTTTGATCAGCATGAAACCTGCCGAATTAGGACCATATCCCACGATGATGACCCTTGTGAATGCCTCAAAGAAGTTCAGCTTGTTATTTGCTTGTTTCAGTTTATCTGGGCTTATTGACACAGCCCATTTCCAGCACCTTCCTCTCAGTGGCAATGAAGGGATGCTGCATACTCACATCAGGTGTGCGCCACCTAGTTCCTGACTTGTTCATATCGTTTTATGTCCTCTCCAATTCAGTGGGAGAGACTGATAAAGCAGAAAAGTGGGTGATTTTTACGAACAAAGAAATAAACGTCTTAGTTTGGAGTAGCGAGTATTGCAGAAATTCTAGGTTATTTTCTCATGTTTATGGCACTAGTTTCATGGTGATGGTCCATGATAAAATAGAAATTCTCTTTTTATTGCACTTTGCATACTCCAGTTATTCCAAGGTATACGGCAAACAGTAATGATTATAGGGATTGCTACGTATAAAATAACAGCAGTTATTTCCAGATGTATCACCCATGGATAAATAGTGAAAGATACGATAAAGGAGCTCTCCCTACCATAATTCTGGCTGGCAGTTGGGCCCCCATGGATTACCTCGTGGCATCTGCATCTCAGCTCTGCGGAGGTGCCTTCAAAATGCTTTGTTTTAGGAGGTACCAGCTGGCTTTGCTTTAGGAGGGACCTGCTCGCTGTTCTTGAGGAAGGATCTGCTGGCTATTCCTGAGGAAGAGTCTGCTGCTTTTCTTTAGGAAGGATCTGCTGGCTTTGCTTTAGGAAGAGTCTGCTGGCTTTTCTTTAGGAAGGATCTGCTGGCTTTGCTTTAGGAAGGATCTGCTGGCTTTGCTTTAGGAGGGATCTGCTGGCTTTGCTTTAGGAGGGATCTGCTGGCTTTGCTTTAGGAGGGATCTGCTGGCTTTGCTTTAGGAAGGATCTGCTGGCTTTGCTTTAGGAAGGATCTGCTGGCTTTGCTTTAGGAAGGATCTTCTGGCTTTGCTTTAGGAGGGATCTGCTGGCTTTGCTTTAGGAAGGATCTGCTGGCTTTGCTTTAGGAAGGGTCTGCTGGCTTTGCTTTAGGAGGGATCTGCTGGCTTTGCTTTAGGAGGGATCTACTGGCTTTGCTTTAGGAGGGATCTGCTGGCTTTGCTTTAGGAGGGATCTGCTGGCTTTGCTTTAGGAGGGACCTGCTCACTGTTCTTGAGGAAGGATCTGCTGGCTTTTCTTTAGGAGGGATCTGCTGGCTTTTCTTTAGGAGGGATCTGCTGGCTTTTCTTTAGGAAGGGTCTGCTGGCTTTGCTTTAGGAGGGATCTACTGGCTTTGCTTTAGGAGGGATCTGCTGGCTTTGCTTTAGGAGGGATCTGCTGGCTTTGCTTTAGGAGGGATCTGCTGGCTTTTCTTGAGGAAGGATCTCCTGCTTTGCTTTAGGAAGGATCTGCTGGCTTTGCTTTAGGAAGGATCTGCTGGCTTTGCTTTAGGAAGGATCTGCTGGCTTTGCTTTAGGAAGGGTCTGCTGGCTTTGCTTTAGGAAGGATCTGCTGGCTTTGCTTTAGGAGGGACCTGCTCGCTGTTCTTGAGGAAGGATCTGCTGGCTGTTCCTGAGGAAGAGTCTGCTGGCTTTGCTTTAGGAAGGGTCTGCTGGCTTTGCTTTCTTTAGGAAGAGTCTGCTGGCTTTTCTTGAGGAAGGATCTGCTGCTTTGCTTTAGGAAGGATCTGCTGGCTTTGCTTTAGGAAGGATCTGCTGGCTTTGCTTTAGGAAGGGTCTGCTGGCTTTGCTTTAGGAGGGATCTGCTGGCTTTGCTTTAGGAAGGGTCTACTGGCTTTTCCTTAGGAAGGATCTGCTGGCTTTTCTTTCTTTAGGAAGAGTCTGCTGGCTTTCCTTGGGAAGGATCTGCTGGCTTTGCTTTAGGAAGGGTCTGCTGGCTTTGCCCAGTGTTCTAGTTTCACATCACCCTGGAGAAGAACAAAGAGACCTGTTTATGTGTTTGAAGCTTCATATGTGAATACATGTCATAGGACCAGAGACCCATATATGTAAGGAAGGAGATGGAAAGAAAATAAGAGTTAGGAGAAGCCTAGGTTGGGGTTAATGAGCAGCCAGGAAGGGGGATGCCCTGAGTGTCTGCACCGTGCTGAGGGCAGGGCCACATGTGGAAAGGGGGTTAATGAGCAGCCAGGAAGGGACGCCCTGAGGGTCTGCACCGTGCTGAGGGCAGGGCCACATGTGGAAAGGGGGTTAATGAGCAGCCAGGAAGGGATGCCCTGAGGGTTTGCGCTGTGCTGAGGGCAGGGCCACACGTGGAAAGCAAACAGGCACCCGGGATGTCCATGCAGAGCAGACGCACGATGGCCAAATCAGAAGACGGATCCACCTCATGGCCAAATCTGAAGACAAAACTGCCGGCACACTGAGCCTCCTTCCTGTGTCTAAGCGTCTGTGCATCAACCACAGAGATGGTCATTTTACTAAGAAAGTGAGCCTGGGTTGTCTGTGCTGGAAGATTCCCCAGCCGTATTTCCTGTGTGAAGGCGGCTTTTATCTGCTCTCCCTTCTGTGTGTACCTGTGGGGTTTTGTTTGCTTTTCTTTTCCTACATATTTTAATTTGTGAACTGGCCCATACCCACCTGTAATATTGAGAAGGGGAGGACACAGCCTGATGGGGCCTGTCCCCAGAGGTCCCAGACCCTTGGCGCCTCCTTGTCCCTGTCGATCCACTCTCAGACTCTCCCAGTGGCCGGGTGGGGTCTGCTGTGCAGGCGGCCGGGCAGAGCCAGGTTGCGTCCCATCCTTGGCCGTGGCACCTCATCTGTTGACTGTGGGTTTTTGTGTGTTTTCTTTTTCCTTCAACATGCTCTCCCCTTCCAGGCTCTCCCAGAGACTTCATGCCGAGCTTAGATAGTCCTGGAAGGAAGCCTCTGGGAGTTTCTCCATCCCGGGCTGGCTGGCTCCCTTCTTAACACAATCTTTTCCAAGGCTAGGTAGTGGACGGTGAGTGGCACGGTGAATGTAAGGAGCCGGAGGGCCCGCTGTCCTTGCCCGTCTTGTCTGGGAATCTCAGGGCATGCAGATGATGTGGCCAGTTGGCCTCTTGCAGCATGGAAAGCAAGCTCCTTTCTCTTCACACTCATGTAATTCAGAGACTGCAAGATGAACCCTTTCAGAAATGAACGGCGAAGGTTCAAAGGCATCCCTTGATTCATACCCTGAAGTTATTCAGAGTTAATTTTCCACATTGGACGCTTCCTCTGTGAAAACAAAAGTCTCTAAATTCTCCTGACAGTGGGGAGACCAGAAGGAAGGCTGCACTCTGGGCCACAGTGGCAGTGGGGTGTGCATGGTGTATGGCATCTGAGAGAGAAGGAATGTGAGGAAGGTCCCCCACTTTGTGCATTAGCCTTAAAAGCAGAAGAGAACAATCAGCATCCCCACAGGGACCCACAGCCCAGGGCTCTGGGATGGGAATCACCTGTGCAGGCGACAGGACCTCCCGCGGCTCTGGAGTGTCACCAGCCCGTGGAGGGAGACAAGAGAGGCCCAGCTGGCCGATGTAGGTGGAAGAGCACCAGGGGTCACGGGCGCTCCGGAAAGCCGTGTTGGTGACTCCGGTCCTGAGCTGCTGGGTAAGATGTGGGTAGGATGGCCACACATGATTGAGTTTGGATGCCTTTCGGAACAGATGAAACATTGAGTTTTAGACATCTCTTGGAGGTTTTTTTCTTCTTAAAATATACCTCCATGGAATTTTTTTGGTGCATGCAAAGGTGATCATTTCAGTGTCCAGCCAAATTTTCAAGAAGCTTTTACGGTTTTCGTGAGGGAGGCTGTTGGCATTTGGGTGAGATAAGCCTTTGTCGTTGAAGCTGTTTGCACATTTGGAAGGTTTGTGAAACCAGAAATGTCCTTCACCCCTTGGATTTCTCAAATCCCCGTGGAGGGCAGCACCACGTTCAGCCTGAGGAGCACAGATCTCTTCGCGTCTGATAACAGCGAGGGCTTATTGAACAGCAGCCGTGTGCGGGCCTGTTCTCAGTGTTGACTGTTGACCATCCCAAACCTGTAATGTCAGTTTACTGCTATTCTCCCCGCTGGACGGAAGCGGAAACCAAGGCTCAGAGAGATGCAGGCACCAAGGGCTCAATCCTTCCAGGCTGCTGCAGACTCATGTGCCGCAGCATTCCACGCTTGCCTCTCAGCGCGTTCCATGTAATTGCCATGCCGTTCTGTGCTCTCCTCTTAGCGCGTTCCATGTGATCTGTGCTCTTAGTCATACAGCAGTCCCTGTTCCAAGACCCTAGCGGACCCCTGAAACGGCTGATAGTGTGGAACCCCAGACGTACAGTGCTTTTTCCTGTGTGCAATACATACGATAAAGTATAACTTGCAAATTAGATGCAGTAAGAGCTCAATGCAGTAATGGCTAATAAAATAGAACACCTGTAACAATAGACTGGACTAAAGGTTCTGTGAATGTGGTCTCTCTCTCTCCTTGTCTCCCAATATCTTGTTGTACTCACCTATTTTTAGACTGTGGCTGACCTCAGGTAACTGCAACTGTGGAAAGCGAAACTGGATAAGGCAGGACTGCCATATGTATGGTGTGTGTGTGTGTGTGTGTGTGTGTGTGTGTGTGTGTGTGTGTGTGTGTAGTTTTCAAAATACAGCTTAATCCTGAAAAGTCAGATCTTCTTTCCTCAGGTTAATGATTTGTGGTTTTTTCTGGACAGTTCTCCTCGCCCTCCCCATCTCCCAGGTGGACCTGTGTGGGGATCACTCAGTCTAATCCCTCCCTGGGTGCGTCTTTGTGTGCCTTGTGAGGAGCTGTGGCGGCTGCTGCAGCCACCGTAGGAAATCACAGCCACCCGGCTTTGTTTTTCTCGTGTGTTAACATGGTACAAATCAGTATAGTCAGCAGCTTTGAAGGTACCAGATAGTGTTGCCTTAGTCCTTTTGCCTAATGGTGATATTGAAGCCAACAAGCTTCCTGAAAATTGTGAGCTTTCAGGCCACGTGCAGACCTCAAGATACTGAGTCAGCCCTTGGTTGACTCTCAGCTCTGCCATTTATAGCTTTTTAATTTGGGGCTGGTCACTCATCTTTCTGTGTTTGTTACCTCATCTGTACAATAAGGAAGAGCGTAGGAGTCACCTCCTAGGCTCACAGTCAGTGTGAGAAGGAGAATGCTGTCCAGGTAGCCCAGGGCCTGCACCGAGCAGACGCCTTGGGTGCCACCTACAGTGAAGCTGGCCCTCTGGGATCCTGTCCTGAAATGGTACCTGGCCTGCCTGGTCTTGCCCACGATTGCGTCCCTTCTGTTCCCTGGCCCGAGTTGTGTCCTGCCCTGGCCCTGTAGTCACCTTTCTCAGGTGTGGTTTTCAGCCAGGTCCTTGGGCATTGCTCACAGATCCCCATGTCCTCCTCCTGAGTGAAGTCATCACCTGGGCTGAGCTCTCATGGCTGTCATCAGTCCCAGCCTCTGCTCATGTCCCTGGGCCAGGCAGCGAGGGACAAGGATGAGGACTGGGATTTGTTCCTGACTTGCCAGAGATGCCATGTTGGCCAGGTTCCTTAACAGAACTCTCTGAGCCCAGTTTCCCATCTTTAATCATTGTTTTCCTGCGCAGTTCATGCTTTTTCCCACATATTCTTGGTGGATATAACAGTATTCTGTAGACTTTAACATACAGTACACGTACGGCGATGTCATGACAGCCTCCCTGCCTCACAGGGTTGTTCAGTTCTGTGCTGCGGGCTGTGACTGTTCATTTCTAGGTGGCGGGAGAGTGGTGTGGTGCCAGCACCTTCATGCATGTGGAGGCGCTCTTAGCATGTCAACAGGAGTGCCCGGGTGTTGATGTTGCTCTTACCGTGATTACTAGTGCCCATTTGGCAAAACCCACTTTTCTCCACCTAAGTCCTGCTCCGAGGGTCTCACTGGGAGGGAGAGCTGTCGTAAAGCTCCAGCTTTCATGCAGAGCTTAGGATGCAATGGTCAGGTGATGGGTGCTAATTTGGGGCATTCTTTACCTCTGGACCAAGTGCTGACATGGGTCAATAAATACCAGGAAATCTGATTAATAACAAGGAATTATTGCTCAAAGAAAAGGATTTTGATGTCCTTTCTGGTAATTTTGTTCATTTGTATTATGTGATAAGCCTTTAAAATCCTGCATTCTATAATAAATGTGTGGAATCTTAAAATAAGTTTGGCAAAAACTTAGAGTTGAATTAAGTTCATTTGAGACTTCTTCAAAGAGCTGTAATTGCAGGGGCACCACAAGGTTTCCACGCTTGTCGGGTGCTTTGAAAAATTAGGCAGTGCTGTAGCGTGGACCTGAAGGACCTGGCCCACTTGAGCACTTGCCAGTCACCTTGGGAAGTCGCTGAGAGCTCTGGCTATTGGGGGGTGTGTGTGTGTGTGCGCGCACGCGTGTGTGTGTGTGTGTGCGCACCCGCATGCACACATGTTTGTGTTTCTAAAGGAAACCTTTGGTAACACAGAAGCCACCCACTGCTGTGCAGATGGTCATAGCTCTTATTCTTCAGATGAAGGCCGGTTGAGGCCAAGAAGAGGGAGGAGCTGAGGGGATGTGACCTATTCCTGTGGCTCCATGTCGGCGTCACCTTTTTAAGTCATTTGTAGCACTCATCTGGCTCATACATCTTTGAAGAGGGTAGTGAGTGAATAACAGGTAAGCAGCCATCAGAGGTTGTCATTTTCTTTTTCCTTTTCAATTTGCATCTTCCAGAGTTTTTGATGTGCAAGTTTGCATGTTAGTCTGAAACTGTTCTAACTTGCCGGTGGAAAACACACACAGACTTAAAAGGCAGGATAATTACCTTGCTGAAATTCTTTTCTCACCTTTTATGAAAGAGAAAGCTATTTTCTTGAGGAGTCAAGTTCCTATCCCAGCAAGGAAAAACTGATGACAGATTAGGGATGTGGCCACAGGCCCGGGACCAGCTGGTTAGCTAAACTCTCTGGAGTGTCTTTTGGAGGCCATGGCCTTGTGACCTCAGAGATGAACACTTACTTCAAAGCACAGGATTTTGACACTCAAGAGAGCAGGTCTCTTGTGCAAAGTAGGAGCATCTTCCAGTGCAAGGGCAGGGCTTGGAGAGAGACTGCAGAGGCTTCCGCGGAGTGGGGCTCAGTTTTGTGAATGCTGCCGCTTGTAATTCAACAGCGTCCCGCACTTTTACAGTGTGTGCTGTAGTGACGCAGGGGCTGCAGGGGACCCCAACAGGAGTGAGGGATGAGACTTTCTTTTTCCCCTTCTATCAGGGTGTTGACCGCCACGGCCCTGGGCTCTGGCAGCCTGGGTCTGGTCTTATTTATTGTGCATTCACCATGTTGGGCCTCCCCAGTGTGGAGCGTCGTGACACAGGGCCCTGGCTGCCGGAGCCTCGATGCGATGTCCTCCCACGTGGGTGTCCCCAGCCGACACGGAGAACTCCTGCCTGCTCTTGGGGACTCTTGCCTGTTGTTAAAGATGGAAAAGGTAGAGAAACAAGAAGGAATTCTGAGTGGTTCAGTCAGACATGTTTAAAGCAAAAAGTTGGCTTTTCAGTTTCAGAATTTAAGCATGCGATGTATTAGGTATTTTCAGCCAGTGACATTGAGCGACACAAACCACAATTTATTGGTAAAAAAAACAGCAAAATACAAGACATGCCAAACACATGTGCCCTCATTCCTGCAAGTTTTTTGTTTTGTTTCATTTTTAATTCTAGCAGTAATATGGATCCACACCACGCCCTCACTCTGTGGCCCTGGGCCTAATCCAGCCTGCTGCCTGCTTGTGTAAATAAAGTTCTGTTGGATCCTGGCTGCTACCCTTTGGTCATATATTGTCTGTAGCCACTTTTATGTTACAGTGACAGAGCTGAGTAGCTCAGAAGCCTGACCTGGCCCACAAAACTGAAAATACTTGTCATTGAGCCCCTTATAGAGAAAGCCTGACACCTGCTCAGGGTGCTGAGAACTTTGACTCCTATCTTTGAGATTTTTAAAGTTCTAAGGGAAAAGTAAGTAACTTCTCTATTGCTGTAATTCTTCACCCACTTAGGCCTCAGCTCACTGGACATTTTACCCAGATGGAACTTTGATGAAGAACAAGTCAACAGACTTTCCTTTGAAGGCTCCTTAGCTTGACTTCCAAAATAGATGCAATGAATGAAGAAGCAATTCACAGATGTGTGAGAAGCAGCCAGTACACACTTGACGGGTGGACAAACTTCCTAGTTGTTAGAAAACGCAGATTAAAGCAGCGAAGACATACCCTGTGAGGTTGGCTTGGGGAAGGGATCAGCACGGTCATTATCACAGTTACGGCTGGGATCCAGTGTCCCTGAGAATGCCGGGGGAAATGCACATTCTAGGAAGACAATTTGGGAAACATGTCTGTGTTTTGGCCCAGCAATTATAGCTCTAAGCACTTACCCTAAAGTGTGCCAAGAAGTCTTTCTCCAGGATACTTACTGCTTCATTGTATGAATCAATTGTGTGAAAAATTGGAAACAACTGAAGTGGCATACATGGGAATTGGATTAAAAAATTATGGAAATTCACACGATAGAATTCTGTGTGCCCTTTGGAAAGAATTATATCTATTTGATATGGAAAGTTACCCAGGATATATTTTAAGTTAAAAAAAAAAGCAAGTTGCAGAATAACATTAATAGCCTGATCACATGTTTGTAAGTAATGATTATGATTGTATTATACATACCACTGTATGCATAGAAAAGACCTGGAAAGCTGCATATCAATCACTTATTAACAGTAGTTATCATCTGTGGGTGGGAGTATGAGAGACTTCTACTTTTCTAAAGTTTTAAACTTTTTAATGGGCATATATGACTTTGCGTTTACAGTGTAAAGTAATACAGCTTAACGTGAGACTTCGCAAAGGCAAGAGGCTTCTTGTGTTTTACTCAGAGGAGAACTTCTTTAATGCCCACTTAGGGCTATTTATTATTTTGTTAGCAAAACTCGTTACATCTAAGTGTATGTGCTTTTCAGGGTGGTTGAGAGAGGAGAGAAGCCAGTGCAGACAGGGACACACACAGAAACAGAGACGGAGTAGATAACCATCCACGGGGCTGCTGACTAAATTTTCATAAAAGCAAACCCTATTCAGGCCTATTCAACATGGGGGAACCGGCTCTCTCCCCTGAGAGGAGAGTGAGTGTGATGCTGTCCTAACAGTGTTGAAATGGGTCATAACTGGCCTGTGCTCAGTGAAGCAGGCAAAAGACGGATGATGCACCTCAACGTAAATTCTAGCCAAAAAGCCTAAAATAACTAAAAAGAGACCAACATTGAAACAGGAGATCAAAAAATATCTTAAGGCAAATGAAAATGGAGCCACAACATACCAAAATGATGGGATGCAGCAAAAGCAGGTCTAAGAAGGAATTTAATAGCAATAAATGCCTACATGAAGAAAAAAAGAAAGATCTCAAATAATCAACTCAACTTTATACATCAGGGACTAGAGGAAGGAACAAACTAGGCCCAAAGTTAGCAGAAGGAAGGAAATAACAAAACCCAGAGCAGAAATATATGAAATAGACATGAGAAAAGCAATTGAAATATCAAAACTTAGAGCTGCTTTTCGAAAAGATAAAGAAGTTGACAAGCCTTTAGTGAGGCTAAAGAAAGTGAGAAAACACAAACAAAATCAGAAATAAGAGACAATATAAATGGTTCCACAGAAATACAAAGGATCATAAGAGACTACTGTGAACAATTATGCGTAAACAAATTGGATAACCTAGAAGAAATAGAGGAAACATACAACCTACCAAGACTGAATAAAGACGAAATAGAAAATCTGAATAAATCAACAATGAGTAGAGATTAAATCAGTAATCAAAAATCTCCCAACAAAGAAAAGCCCAGGACCTGATGACTTCACTGCTGAATTCTGCGAAATATTTTAAGAAGAATTAATGTTTGTTCTTTTCAAATTCTTTCCACAAAATTAAGAAGAGGGAACACTTCCAAACTTATTTTATGAGACCAGCATTAGTCTGATGTTAAAGCCTGACAAAGACACTACTAGAAGAGAAAATTACAGGCTAGAACATCTGATGAAAGTAAGTGCAAGTCCTCGATAAAATATTAGTAAACCAAATACAGCAGCACAGTAAAAGGATTATATACCATTATTAAGGGGGATTTGTCCCTCAGATGCAAGGATGCTTCAATATACCCACGTCAGTAAATGTGATACACCACATTAACAAAATAGACAAAAACCATACAAGCATCTCAGTAGAGGCAGAAAATGCATTTGACAAAATTCAACATCTTTTCATGATAAAAACTCTAAATAAATTAGATATAGAAGTAATTTACCTCAACATAATAAAAGCCATATATGGCATGTGTGTTAGCCAACAACTAACATCTGAAAAGTTGTAAGCTTTTCTTATAATATCAGGAACAAGACAAGGATGCCCACTCTTGCCACTTTTATCCATCATAATAACTGGAAGTTCTAACTAGAGGAATTAAGCAAGAAAAAGAAATAAAAGGCAAAAGCATCCAGATCAGAAAGGAAAAAGTATTTGTAGACAACATGATCCTAATATAGAAAACCCTAAAGATTCCACTAAAGCATTGTTAGAATCAGTAAACAAATTCAGTAAAGTTGCAGGATACAAAATCTGCATACAAGAATCAGTTGCATTTCTGTATACTGACAATGAAATATCCAAGAAAGAAATTAAGAAAACAGTTCCATTTACAACAGCATCAAAAAGGATAAATTTCTTAGGAGTAACTTTTACCAAGGCAGTGAAAGATCTGTACACAGAAAACTATAAAACATTGGTGGAAGAAATTGAAGAAGATGCAAACCAATGGAAAGATGTTCAGTGTTCATGGATGGGAAGAATTAATATTGTTAAAATGTCCATACCACCCAAAATCATCTACAGATTCAATGCAATCCCCATCAAAGTTCTGATGGCATTTATCCATAGAAACAGAAATAAAAGTCCTGAAATTCATATGGAACCCCAAAATACCTTGAATAAGTAGACTTTGAGAAAGAAGAACAAAGCCCAAGACATTCCACTTCCTAATTTCTTATATCATAAGACTACTGTAATAGAAACAGGATAATATGAAATTACAAATTGACATATAGACCAATGGAACAGAATAGAAAGCTCATAAATAAACTCACACGTATATGGTCAACTAACCTTTGAGAAAGATACCAAGAATACACAATGGGAAAAAGATAGTCTCTTCAATAAATGGTATAGTTGTGTCTCTGTGATCTGAAAATTTGAAATCCTATATGCTCCAAAATCTGAAACATTTTGAGCATGAATATGATGCCACAAGTGGAAAATTTTACACCTAACCTCATGTGGTGGATTATAGTCAAAATGCAGGCCCACAACACACAGTTTATTCAGCATCCCCGATGGGAAAAGAATCCTCCCACCCCCTTCAGCTGCAGCGTGTCTTTTCTGCACACGCACAGATTTCCCCACACACACCCACAAAGAGTAAGAAAATGTCATGTGTGCAGGCTGGATGTGCCAATGGCAGTTTCCCTACAGTGTTCCACATGGCCAAGACGTGTGTGCGTTACTCACCATGTTTTTTGGTTATTCGTTGCATTGCTATATACTGACAATGAGCTATCCAAGAAAGAAATTAGGAAAACAGTTCCATTTACAAATAAAAAAAAATAAAATTTTCAGGAATAACTTTTACCAAGCCAGTGAAACACCTGTACACTGAGAACTATAAACCATTGATAACAGAAATTGAAGAAGATGCAAACAAATGGAAAAATGTTCAGTGTTCATGGATGGGGAAGAATTGTCTTCTTATGTGATGTAAAGATAGTGTTGAAAATGTCAAAAAGGTCAGCAGATACCCCTGTGAGTAACAGTGATAAGAAAAAAAGGAAGGATTTGTATTTATCTATAGCACAGAAAGTCATGCTGTTGGAGAAACTGGACAATGATGTAAGTGTGAAACAGAAGAGTACCCTGTTGGAATGACCACCATACATGAGCTGAAGAAACAGAAGGATAAACCGTTGAAGATCTGTGCTGAAAGTAATGAACAGACGTTAATGAAAAATAGAAAAGCACCGCATAAAGCAAAAAATGAAGATCCTAATTGTGTATTGAAAGAGTGGATTCATCAGCATTGCAGTGAACACCTGCCACTTAATGGAATACTGCTTATGAAACAAGCAAAGATCTATCACGTTGAACTGAAAATTGAAAGGAACTGTGAACATTCAACAGCCTGGTTGCAGAAATGTAAGAAAAGACACAGCATTAAATTTTAAAAGATGTGTGGTGATAAAACATCTGCTAATCACGAAGCAGTGAAGAAATTTATTGGCATGCTTGCCAAGCTCAAAGCTGTTGAAAATCTCATGCCAGAATGAGTCTGTATTGCTGATGAAACATCACTGTTTTGGTGTTATTGCCCTGGAAAGACACCAACTTCAGCTGATAATACAGGAATTAAGGATGTCAAGGAGAGAACAACTGTGTTAGGATGTGCTAAAGCAGCAGGCACACGAAGTGTAAACCTGGTTGTGATAGGCAAAAGCTTGTGCTCTTATTGTTTTCAAGGAGTGACTTTCTTACCATTCCGTTATTCTAACAAAATGTGTGGATCACCAGCAAAATCTTTTCTGGTTGATTTTACAAATATTTTATACCAGTGGCTCATGCTCACTTCTAGGAAGCTGGACTGGACAACAACTGCAAGATTTTGTTATTCCTTGTCAACTGCTCTGTTCATTCTCCAGCTGAAATTCTCATCAAAAATAATTTCTGTGTCATGTACTTTCCCCTAAATGTGACTTTATTAATTCAGCATTTGACTAGGGTATATTAGTCTGTTCTCATGCTGCTAATAAAGACATACCTGAGACTAGGTAATTTATAAAGGAAAAGGGCTTAACTCACAGTTCCACATTGCTGGGGAGGCCTCAGGAAACTTACAATCATGGTGGAACGCAAAGAAGAAGCAGGCACCTTCTTCACAGAGTGGCAGGATGGAGTGAGTGCAAGCAGGGGAAATGCCAGATGCTGATAAAACCATCAGGTCTCATGAGACTCACTCATTATCACAAGAACAGCATGGGAGAAATTGCCCCCATGATTCAATTATTTCCACCTGGTCCTGCCCTTCACATGTGGGGGTTGTGGGGATTATAATCCAGGATGAAATTTGGGTGGGGACACAGCCAAACCATATCATTCTGCGCCTTCCGCCTCCCAGATCTTACGTCCTCACATTTCAAAACACAATCATGACCTTGCAACAGTCCCCCAAAGTCTTAACTCATTCCAGCATTAACCCAAAAGTCCAAGTCCAAAGTTTCATCTGAGACAAGGCAAGTCCCTTCTGCCTATGCATCTGTAAAATCAAAAGCAACTTAATTACTTCCTAGATATAATGGTGGTACAGGCATTGAGCAAATACACCCATTCCAAATGGGAGAAATTGGCCAAAACAAAGGGGCTACAGGCCCCAGGCAAGTTGAAAGTCCAACAGAGCAGTCATTAAACCTTAAAGTTCCAAAATGATCTCCTTTGACTCCATGTCTCACATGCAGGTCATGCTGATGCAAGAGGTGGGCTCCCAGATTCCTTGGGCAGCTCTGCCACTGTGGCTTCACAGGGTACACCCGACTGGCTGCTTTCATGGGCCGGCATTGAGTGTCTGCAGCTTTTCCAGGCACACAGTGCAAGCTGTTGGTGGATCTACCATTCTTGGGTCTGGAGGATGGTGGCCCTCTTCTCACAGCTTCACTAGGCTGTGCCCCAGTGGGGCACTCTGTGTGGGGGCTCCAACTCCCTAGCAGAGGTTCTTCATAAGGGCTCTGCCCCTTCAGCAGACTTCTGCCTAGACATCCAGACATTGTCATACATCCTCTGAAATCTAGGCAGAGGTTTCCATACCTCAGTTCTTGACTTCTTTTCACCCACGGGCTCGGTACCATGTGGAAGCACCAAGGCTTGGGGCTTATACCCTCTGAAGCAATGGCCTGAGCTATACCTTGGCCCCTTTTAGCCACAGCTGGAGCAGCAGCAGCTGGGATGCAGGGCAGCATGTCCCAAGGCTGCACAGAGCAGGGGGGCCGTAGGCCTGGCCTGTGAAACCATTTTTTTTCTCTTAGGCCTCTGGGCCTGTGATGGGAGCAGCTTCCATGAAGGTCTCTGACATGCCCTGGAGAAATTTTCCCCATTGTGTTGGTGATTAACATTCGACTTCTTGTTACTTATGCAAATTTCTGCAGCAGGCTTGAATTTCTCCCCAGAAAATGGTTTTTTCTTTTCTATTACATAGTCAGGCTGCAAATTTTCCAAACTTTTATGCTCTGCTTCCTCTTGAATGCATTTCCACTTAGAAATTTCTTCTGCCAGATTCCCTAAGTCATCTCTCTCGAGTTCAAAGTTCCACAGATCTCTCAGGTGGGGGCAAAATGCCACCAGTTTCTTTGCTAAAGCATAGCAAGTGACCATTACTCCAGTTCTCCATATCGGACCACCTCAGCCTCGACTTTATTGTCCATATCAGTGTAAGCATTTTGGTCAAAGACATTCAACAAGTCTGTAGGAAGGTCCAAACTTTCCTGCATCTTCTTGTCTTGTGAGCCCTCCAAGTCTCCAGGTAGGAGTTCCAAACTTTTCCACATTTTCCTGTCTTCTGAGCTCTCCAAACTGTTCCAACCTCTGCCTGTTACCCAGTTCTAATGTCACTTCCACATTTTCGGGTGTCTTTACAGCAGTGCCTCACTCTCTGCAGTACCAATTTACCGTATTTGTCTGTTTTCATGCTGCTAATAAAGGCATAACTGAGACTGGATAATTTATAAAGAAAAAGAGGTTCAATGGACTTACAGTTCCACAGGGCTGGGGAGACCTCACAATCATGGGAAGGTGAAGGAGGAACAAAGGCATGTCTTACATGGCAGCAGGCAAGAGAGCATGTGCAGGGGAACTGCCCTTTATAAAACCATCAGATCTTGTGGGACTTATTCACTGTCATGAGAACAGCATGGGAGAAACCTGTCCCCATGATACCATCACCTCCCACCAGGCCCCTCCTCCAACACTGGGAATTACAATTTGACATGAGATTTGGGTGAGAACACCAAGCCAAACCTTATCAGTATTGGCCTTGGCAATGATCTTTTGGATAAGACACAAAAGCACAGGCAGCAAAAGCAAAAATAAACAAATGAGAGTGCATCAGATTTAAAAGTTTCTGCACAGCAAAAGAAACATCGGCAAAATGAAAAGGCAGCGTACAGAGTGGAAGAAACCATATATCCAATAAGGGATTAATATCCAAAATACATAAGGAACTCATACAACTCGATAGCAAGCAAACAAAATAACCCAGTTTAGAAATGAGCAAAGCACTTGAATAGACATTTTTCTAAAGAAGACATACAGATATCCAATAGGCATATGAAAACGTGCTCAACGTCACTAACCATCAGAAAAATGGAAATCAAAACCGCAATGAGACATCACCTCACACCTGTTAGGATGGCCAGTATGAAAAAGACAAAAGATAAGTCTTGGGGAGAATGTGGAGAAAAGGAAACACTTTTATATATTCAAGGTGGGAATGAACATAATGGAAAACAGTTTGGAGGTTCCTCAAAAATTAAAAATAGAGCTACAACCCAGCAGTCCCATTCTGGGTATATATCCAAAGGAAATGAAATCATTAGCTCAAAGAGATCCCTGCACCTCCATGTCAAAGGCAGCTTTATTCACAGTAGCCAAGATGTAGAAAATACGCAATTGTCCATTTGACAGATGAAGGGATAAAGAAATTGTGGTAGATACATATAGAGTGGAATATTGTTCAGT
Organism: Homo sapiens; assembly: GCF_000001405.40. NCBI lineage: Eukaryota > Metazoa > Chordata > Mammalia > Primates > Hominidae > Homo > Homo sapiens. The sequence goes on along the minus strand of NC_000002.12, from coordinate 3,225,981 downwards.
CTTTACAAAGAAGGCCGTCCTGCCGTTTGAAACAATATGGACGAACCTGGAGGACATTATGCTAAGTAAAATGAGACAGAGAAAGACAAATACTGCGCGATCTCACCTGTGGAGTCTGAAAAAGTCAAACTTCTAGAAAGGAAGAGTACAATGGTGGTTACCAGAGGCTGGTGGGAGGGGTTGGAAAGTGGGAGGTGCTGGTCAAAGGTTAGGAACGTTCAGCTTATAAGATGAATACATTCTGGACACCTCATGTACAGCACGAGAACTGTAGTTAATAATAGTGTATTGTGTACTTGAAATTGGCTAAGAGAGTGCATCTTAAGTGTGTGCATGACAAAAAAAAGGGAGTTAACTATATGAGTTGATGGATATGTTATTAGTTAATTGTGGCAGTCATTTCACAATGTGTGTGCATATCAAAACATCACATTGCGGCCAGGCGTGGTGGCGCATGCCTCTAATTCAAGCACTTTGGGAAGCTGAGACAGAAGCATTGCTTGAGCCCAGGAGTTCGAGACTAGCCTAGGCAATGTAGGGAGATCTTGTCTTTACAAAAAATTTAAAAATTAACCAAGTAGGGTGGCATGTGCCTGTGGTCCCAGCTACTTGAGAGGCTGAGGTGGGAGGACTGCTTGGACCCAGGAGGTCAAGGCTGCAGTGAGCTGTGATTGCACCACTGCCCTCCAGCCTGGGTGACAAAGCAATACCCTGTCATACACACACACACACACACACACACACACACACACACACACATATCACAGTGTACTACCTAAATATACACAAATTCTATTTGTCAAGGACACTTCAATAAATCTGGGGGGGAAAAAGCCAACAGTATGATCTGAAGCAGTATTTTCCAAATTTGTTTTGATTGGACCTATAGATAGTTTTACATAATGACTTCCCCCACACATGTAAATAGATATGCACGTAACTGAAATAAACTGTTTACAAGGGAGTACTCACATTGAAAACCTGTGGCACACTGTGCTTCACTCCAGCCTCGTGCTGGCCCCGGCACCCTGATGTGGCTTCATGGCCGGTCACAGGCTGCAGCCCCCAGTGGAGGAGCTCCGGTGCTGGGATTCAGATATCTCATGAACTCTTAGGCAGCCCTTGGAGTAGGCAAGTTCCTCTTCAGATGTAACAGGGGTTCCGGCAGGTTGTGGCATTGCCGGTGGCATTGCCAGCAGGGACTCAGGTGAGCCCGATGTTCAGCTCGGTAGGTGCAGTGCTGTTACTGAGGGAGCTTGCATTTGAATTAGGGAGATGTCCATGCTGGGATGTTGAAGGACTGCGTGTGGTGGGGAGGTCTTGTTGGAGCAGTTATCCCTGGGCAGCTCAGCCTCTGCTAGAGTGGCAGAAAACTTTCACACGGGGCTGCCTCTTCCTGCCTGTGTATGGGGCAGGCAGTGTGCCTTGATCATGGGGCCCTGCAGCAGAGCCTGGAGCCTTGTGATAGAGTGTCCAGTCAGGCACCTCTGGTCCTTTGAGGTGAAACCTGTTTGGCAATCAGGGCTGGTTGGATGGGCAGGTGTGTATCACCCAATTCTGAATCTTTCTAGTTGAGCAACCTAAGGTGTAAAGTAAGGCGGATGTGACTATTAGAGGTAAAGCCGGGCGCATGGTAGGAGCTGCGTAAGTGCCGGTTGCTCTTACGGCAGGGTTGAAGCTGACTTCCTGTTGGAAGTAGCACTTGAGCCTAAGACTGTGTCTGGATGGTGAGTCCTTAAAGTAAGACACTGTATGTTTTCTTGTTTTAATGATGGAAAACGGCAAATACAGGCCGAGATGGGACCAGGCAGAGACTACAGGGAGACAAGTTTAGCCGGTAAGGCGGGAATCAGGCAGGCGGTGTCTCCAGACAACCTGGAATGAAATAAAGTCATGGCCAGATCTTAGGTTAGATTGAAGAAAAGGCAACACAACAGACATTAAAAAGTACAATTCAGTGAGCTTTGTTTTGCATTTAGAGTTTGAGAATGATAGAGAGGTGTAACTACTCTGAAGCGTTTGTTCCCGGGATGGTTCTCTTGGTTGGAAGAGGTGGGTGCCACAGAGGAGCACTTTCTGCTTGATACATGGGGAGTTTAGGGGTCACATGGGACATGTGGTCGGAGCTGGGGAGTCCACTGGACGAATTGGTTCTGGCTTTGTCCACAGGCATGCCGCCATGCCGTTCCAGCCCTCAGAATGGGAGTGAGCAGTTTTGGGAGGAGGAGCATAGAGAGAGCAGAGGGCAGGTGTCCACCCTGGGGGCCACCTACAGGGCTGCACCTTGACCTGGCCCCAGCAGCCCCTTGTGAATTGATTCACAAGCAAAGCCTCTTTTTTAGTGGGGCGCTTTGGATACTGAGTAGCAAACCCTTTCCATGGGGTTCTAGGGTGAACCAGTCTTCACTGACTTGTACTTGATAAACAGACTTTTTCTAAGTTTATTTTTTATGCATTTAAGAACGCGCAAAACATCCTCACATACTCAGAGGGGGCGGGATGAATTCTTCCCTCCTCCTTCGTCAGCACACAGTTTACTAAAGGCCTCTTAGGTGCCTGTCACAGCCTGAGCTGGCTGCTTGCATATTCCCATGAGTGGGAGGTGTGAGCTCGTTGCTCATACAGTTGAGAGTCTGGCCAGGAACCCGGGTGCCGGTGGTGATCAATGTGTTGCATGTGTGGGGGGAGTGCAGGCTGCCACGGGAAAGGACCAGGGAAAGTCCCAGCGACCTTTGTGGATCAGTCAACTCCGTGGGAGGAAGTGGTGTTTCGACCAAGGCCTGAGAATGTGCAGGCCAAGTGATAGGAAGTAGGCCACATCTCTCTTCGTTGTCATCTGCAAACTACGCATTTTATTGTAAGCTATGTGCCCTTCCAGCTTCAGTCCTGGTCCTGTGAAGAATAATCCATCTTGCCAGTCTCAGGCTTGGGCAGTTTGTAGGACCCTGAGGCTCCTGGGCTCAGATTCTTCTGAATTGTCTTTCTTGACCCTTTCCCTCTTTGCCTTGACATTTATCTCTTAACAAGAAAGACACACAAAACCGTGATTGGTTAGGGAACCGCCCGTCACTACTCTGCAAACATGTAGCCACCACCCATGGCTGTGTTTCCAGAAAGCCACGAAGCTTCTGTTTGTGTAGTTGGTTTCCTAGACTCCTAGCAAGATGATATCTCGATCTGGTCTCTCTGAAAGCGAATCCACGATGTCATCATGCACCCATCTACCCAGGTGACAGGTTTTCAGTCTGGCAGTCATTCTTCAGGGCCCTCCACGCCCAGGCCTCCCTCCCACAGACTCAGTTGGTACCGAGGCTCAAGTGCCATGTGACCTTCCTTCATTTCCCTGTGCTCTTTGCAGACTTCATCACAGCCTTACAATGTTCCCTGTGATCTTCAGAACCCAAGAAGCATTTCTTGAAAGCTTTACCTGTGAGAACTCGAAGCCAGTTATTTTCTAAAGCAAATCAATATTACCTCCTGTAGTCTTTAAGCCTTTTTTTGCTTCTTTTTGAATTATATTTTTTCTTCATAGATCTAAAAAGTTACTTATACAGCCACTTGAAACTCATTTTATTGCTTCCTCTGATAATATGACTGAGAAATATGAGCTTTTTCATAGAGAAGTATATCCCTTGGCCCACGCCAAGGCAGATATAAAATCAGTCGCATGCAGAGAAAATGAGTGGAATAGCACACCACGATTTCCTGCAGGAAATACAGTCCTCTCCCCCACTTATTTTATTCCACACCTGGAGCAAAACTAGGCTAAGATGACCCATTTTCTTCTAGCCAGGGGAAGAAGGCGTTGCAGTGATATGTCTGCAGGGAGAGTGTCTTTTAGAGCACATGCTGCTCTTAAGTGCAGGATGCTGTGCTGCTGGATGTGCATGTAGAGGCAAATGTTTGATTCGGCTTTGAATCTCCACCACTTTGGAATTGGTACCCATTCAAATGCATACATAAGTGTCTTGTGAAACAAACAAAAAAAAAACCGCGAGGGGATTTGGGAAACAAGTTTTCAGGAGCATTGATTATGACCATCAGCTCCTTAGGACGTGAAATGGATGCTTCAAAATGTGTCCCAGAGCTGTCTGTGGCCATCGTGTGCATGTGCACCTGACTCTATAAATGCTCTAGAGTGTATCTCGGCCATTGTGGGCTTGTGTCCTCAACTGACTGTGAATGTTCTAGAGTGTACCTCGGCCATTGTGTGCATGTGTTCCCGACTCACTGTGAATGTTCTAGAGTGTATCTTGGCCATTGTGTGCGTGTGTTCCGGTCTCACTGTGAATGCTCTAGAGTGTACCTCGGCCATTGTGTGCGTGTGTTCCCGACTCACTGTGAGTGTTCTAGAGTGTACCTCGGCCATTGTGTGCATGTGTTCCGAACTCACTGTGAATGCTCTAGAGTGTACCTCGGCCATTGTGTGCGTGTGTTCCCGACTCACTGTGAGTGTTCTAGAGTGTACCTCGGCCATTGTGTGCGTGTGTTCCAGACTCACTGTGAATGCTCTAGAGTGTACCTCGGCCATTTTGTGCGTGTGTTCCCGACTCACTGTGAGTGTTCTAGAGTGTACCTCGGCCATTGTGTGCGTGTGTTCCCGACTCACTGTGAATGCTCTAGAGTGTACCTCGGCCATTGTGTGCGTGTGTTCCCGACTCACTGTGAGTGTTCTAGAGTGTACCTCGGCCATTGTGTGCGTGTGTTCCCGACTCACTGTGAGTGTTCTAGAGTGTACCTCGGCCATTGTGTGCGTGTGTTCCCGACTCACTGTGAGTGTTCTAGAGTGTACCTCGGCCATTGTGTGCGTGTGTTCCCGACTCACTGTGAGTGTTCTAGAGTGTACCTCGGCCATTGTGTGCGTGTGTTCCGGACTCACTGTGAATGCTCTAGAGTGTACCTCGGCCATTGTGTGCGTGTGTTCCCGACTCACTGTGAGTGTTCTAGAGTGTACGTCGGCCATTGTGTGCATGTGTTCCTGACTCACTGTGAGTGTTCTAGAGTGTACCATGGTCATCGTGTGCATGTGCACCTGACTATAAATGCTGTAAAATGTACCATGGCCATTGTGTGCATGTGTCCTTAACTGACTGTGAATGCTCTAGAGTGTACCTCGGCCATTGCGTACGTGTGTTCCCGACTCACCGTGAATGCTCTAGTGTGCACCTCGGCCATTGTGTGCGTGTGTTCCGGACTCACCGTGAATGTTCTAGAGTGTACCTCGGCCATTGTGTGCGTGTGTTCCGGACTCACTGTGAATGTTCTAGAGTGTACCTCGGCCATTGTGTGCTTGTGTTCCTGAGTCACTGTGAATGCTCTAGAGTGTACCATGGTAATCGCGTGTGTGCACCTGACTATAAATGCTTTAAAATGTACACATGCACAAATAGCCATTGTGTGCATGTGTCCTCAACTCACTGTGAATGCTCTAGAGTGTACCATGGTCATTGTGTGTGTGTGCACCTGACTCTATAAATGCTCTAGAATGTACCACGGCCATCATGCACATGTGCACCTGACTCACTTATTTCAGCCATTGTGAGTGTATGTACCTGACTCTATAAATGCTCTAGAATGTACTACAGCCATTGTGTGCACGTGCACTTGACTCTATAAATGCTGTAAAATGTACCATGGCCATTGTGTGCGTGTGTCCCCGACTCACTGTGAATGCTCTAGTGTATACCTCGGCCATTGTGTGCATGTGTTCCTGACTCTATAAATGCTCTAGAATGTTCTATGACCATTGTGTGTGTGCATACCTGCCTCATTGTAAATGCTCTATGGCAGTGGTCCCCAATATTTTCAGCAACAGGGACCAGTTTCGTGGAAGACAATTTTTCCATGGACCAGGGTGGCTAGTTTTGCGATGAAACTTCCACCTCAGATCATCAGGCATTAGATTCTCATAAGGAGTGTGCAGCCTAGATCCCTCTCATGCACAGTTCACAACAGGGTTCCCGCTCCTATGAGAATCTAATGCCTCCTGATTTGACAGGAGACAGAGCTCAGGCTGTAATGTCACTTGCCCACTCCTCACCTCCTGCTGTGCGGCCTAGTTCCTAACAGGATATGGATTGGTACCAGTCCACAGTCTGGGGGTTGGGAACTCCTGCCCTAAGAATGTACTGGGGCCATCATGTGCATGGACTCACTGTGAATGCTCTAGAGTGTACCAGAGCCATGCCGGGTGTGCACCTGACTCACTGTGAAAGCTCTAGAGCATACCAGGGCCGTGTTGGGTGTGCACCTGAGTCACTGTGAATGCTCTAGAGTATACCAGGGTTGTGTTGGGTGTGCACCTGAGTCACTGTGAATGCTCTAGAATATACCAGGGTCATGTTGAGTGTGCACCTGACTCACTGTGAATGCTCTAGAGTATACCAGAGCCATGCTTGGTGTGCACCTGACTCACTGTGAATGCTCTAGAGCATACCAGGGCCGTGTTGGGTGTGCACCTGACTCACTGTGAAAGCTCTAGAGCATATCAGGGCTGTATTGGGTGTGCACCTGACTCACTGTGAAAGCTCTAGAGCATATCAGGGCCGTGTTGAGTGTGCACCTGACTCACTCACTGTGAAAGCTCTAGAACGTATCAGGGCCATGTTGGGTGTGCACCTGAGTCACTGTGAATGCTCTAGATTATACCAGGGTCGTGTTGAGTGTGCACCTGACTCACTGTGAATGCTCTAGAGTATACCAGGGTCGTGTTGAGTGTGCACCTGACTCACTGTGAATGCTCTAGAGTATACCAGGGCCATGCTGGGTGTGCACCTGACTCACTGTGAAAGCTCTAGAGTGTATCAGGGCCGTGTTGGGTGTCCACCTGACTCACTGTGAATGCTCTAGAGTATACCAGGGCCATGCTGGGTGTGCACCTGAGTCACTGTGAATGCTCTAGAGTATACCAGGGCCGTGTTGGGTGTGCACCTGAGTCACTGTGAATGCTCTAGAGTATACCAGGGTCGTGTTGAGTGTGCACCTGACTCACTGTGAATGCTCTAGAGTATACCAGGGCCCTGCTGGGTGTGCACCTGACTCACTGTGAATGCTCTAGAGCGTATCGGGGCCGTGTTGGGTGTGCACCTGACTCACTGTGAAAGCTCTAGAGCGTATCAGGGCCATGTTGGGTGTGCACCTGACTCACTGTGAAAGCTCTAGAGTGTATCAGGGCCGTGTTGGGTGTGCACCTGGGTCACTGTGAACGCTCTAGAGTGTATCAGGGTCGTGTTGAGTGTGCACCTGACTCACTGTGAAAGCTCTAGAGCGTATCAGGGCCGTGTTGGGTGTCCACCTGACTCACTGTGAATGCTCTAGAGTGTATCAGGGCCATGGTGGGTGTGCACCTGACTCACTGTGAAAGCTCTAGAGTGTATCAGGGCCGTGTTGGGTGTCCACCTGACTCACTGTGAAAGCTCTAGAGTATACCAGGGTCGTGTTGAGTGTGCACCTGACTCACTGTGAATGCTCTAGAGTATACCAGGGCCCTGCTGGGTGTGCACCTGACTCACTGTGAATGCTCTAGAGCGTATCGGGGCCGTGTTGGGTGTGCACCTGACTCACTGTGAATGCTCTAGAGCGTATCAGGGCCATGTTGGGTGTGCACCTGACTCACTGTGAAAGCTCTAGAGTGTATCAGGGCCGTGTTGGGTGTGCACCTGACTCACTGTGAAAGCTCTAGAGTGTATCAGGGCCGTGTTGGGTGTGCACCTGGGTCACTGTGAACGCTCTAGAGCATATCAGGGTCGTGTTGAGTGTGCACCTGACTCACTGTGAAAGCTCTAGAGCGTATCAGGGCCGTGTTGGGTGTCCACCTGACTCACTGTGAAAGCTCTAGAGTGTATCGGGGCCGTGTTGGGTGTGCACCTGACTCACTGTGAATGCTCTAGAGTGTATCGGGGCCATGCTGGGTGTGCACCTGACTCACTGTGAATGCTCTAGAGTGTACCAGGGCTGTGTTGGGTGTGCACCTGGCTCAGTGTGAACACTCTAGAGTGTACCAGGGCCATGCTGGGTGTGCCCCGGACTCACGTGTATTTAGCATAGCTTATGAGGGGTTGGGGAGTGAAACCTCCTTTACTGCCTGGGAGTGGCAATGGGGGTTTCTCAGCTAAGGTGACACTCACACTCTGTGGGGTGTATCAGGGTAGCCAGTGGGGCCTCTGAAGATTCTCGGGTGGGGCCCAGGAAGTGGTATATCAGACTGGTACCATGCGGGGTCTTGCTGGTTGCAGCCTTTTTGTGATGCGTGGTTTCTGAATATCTGCCATCAGATTTGACCCGTGGTACTGGTGTCTGCCTCTCTCTGTGGAGCCCATTGCTTCACAGAGGGCGGCTTCTCCACTAATCTGCAGTGGGATGTGACGAACATCTCTTTCTACAGTGCCTTTACGTGAGTTTAACTCAATTTTTTTAAAAAATTTGGATTAAAATCTTAGCTATGTGAAATATTTAGGGTTATTCTTTTTAATGTTTTTATTTGTTAATTGACAGATTGCAATTGTATGGGGTTACTTTCTTGAGTTTTACGAAGTACCTATGTTTATTGAAGTTAAACATCAAACTTAAAACATTTAGATGAAAACCTTTCAAAACATATTTTGATGTTTACTACTTTTTAGCTAGAGCTTACTGCGGGTAAACCCCAGTGATTCTTGGCGGTGACTAAGAACAGCTCCTTACACAAACTGTAATACAGTGTTGCTCTTATGGCTTTGTGAGTACATGCTAGTGTTTCAAATTCCATCCAAAACGAACTGCCCTAGGTTATGGGGTCTTATTAATTCCTGTATTTTTGCTTCCTTCTCCCCAATCTATTTTGCTCTGAATTAATCATCTTTTATAGCTTGCTGAATCACCTGCATTTCTGTTTAGAGCCACCCCTTTTCTCTCCTCATCCACAATTATGTTCTCTTGTGGATTTAGAAACCAGATGGTGACACAGGTTGGGACTGTGGGCAGTTGAAAGGGCACACTTGTCTTCCGAGGAAGGGCTTGAAGATGCTGCTCTTTGAAACACAGTGTTCGAAGCTTCAAAGTTGTTCAGAGGCCTTTAAAACATTTCCTCATTCTAGAGTTGTTGACTATTTTCCAAATCCAAATGTACTAACGGTTATAACTAAATTTATTTTAAAATAGTGTTATTTGTTAATATGACATCTTCACTCTGACCTGGAATTCTTCACTCTGACTTAGAATTCATCAACAGGTATTAAGTGTGTGCCCCAAAGGTTGCCAGTCATTGTGGGGAACATAGAAGAGTTTTAATAGATGGGGTGTATGATTCAGAAACCTTTAATCTGTTTAGAGACACTGTAGTCAAATATTTATGGCACCAAAGGAGGTAGCCAAGATTAGTGTTTGTGCATTATTAAAATTGGTCTGTGGGAAAGTGTGGATAACTTATAGGCTCTTAGCTTTGATTCATAATTAGGTAGTCTTTGACATCAGATTGGCTAGTTCTCATCCTGTGATGTGTGAGTTAGTTGCGAAGGGAATCTCTGCCTTTCTGGAGCTTCTACTAAAACCCCAAGTGTCTTGGTGCTGACGTACACTGCGTCTTGCTGGTACCATGCTGAGAAGTCACTGTCACTGCATTGTTGGCATAGCCCACACGGATACTCCTTGCTCCAGCCTTTTGCTTGCTTGTTTTTTGGTGGGAAGCACACGTGAGTTATAAGTGAGATCTGCTGGGGAGCTTATGAATCCATGGAAATTTACTGCCCGTCATATAGAAAATGTCCCGCATGGGGTAAGTGCATTACTCCACCAGCACGAGATCTGTGGGCTGCCCGTTGCATCCTTCTCTCCCTGCATTGCATTTGTTCCTTGGAATTTACTATCAAGCTGTCCGAACTCTACCTATGTTTACCTGCAGTAACTGGGCTACGGAGAGAAGTGTGATCATTTTGCTCCAAACAAGTATCTTCACCATTAGAGTCAGCCATTGTCTTAACTGGACAGGAGCAGTGGGTTTTGGAGCAGGTTTTTCAGCATCCTAGCTTTAGAGTTTTGGTCTTGTTTACTACATATTATGTGTTTATTATGAATAGATAAGATACAATAAACTCTTGGTCTAATATAGACGTGATGTGCCTTTGATCACAGTACTATGAGCTTTCTGTGTGTTCCTTAAACTATAAATGAGAAAGAGATTGTGGTTTTGAATGATGTTAATGTTGTGATTACAAGTAATAATAGCTCCATAGACAGTCTTGAGATGACGGTGTAAGGGAGGTATGCTTGAGGGTGCCCCCAATCAATCCATATTGTGTTCTGTTTAAAAAGAAATAGTGTAGTACCTTATTGATGTCTTTAATTACTCACAAGTTAAAGCACATGGAATGAAATTCCTTTCTTTATAAATAAGCATTTAAGAATTTCACCAGAGAAAACAGACATCCATATTTGCGACCATGTTGAAAAATTCTTGGTCCCTTTATGGCTTTATCGCAGAGGTGAGAGCATTTTGGTCTTTGTTGAGTAACTGAATAGCATTGTATCATTTAGGATGGCTTTGGCTGCAGATGATGGGAAACGGTGGCTCCAATTGGCTCAAACATTAGGAAATGGCTTAACATCACCCCTGAGCCTGGTGTGGCCGGTGGCAGCTCCTCTGCCCTGCTCTAAGCTCTGTCCTCCCATCTCGTCCAGTACTTTGCCATTATCCTTGAGTGCCTAAGGAGATTGCTACAAAGGATGTGGGCATCCTGTGCAAATCATCTTCTCCTCTCTGCCTCCATAAGACTCTCCACCCTCCAGCCCCCACAGGCCTCCCTCACGTCTCATTGGCCACTGCTGGTCAGTGTCCATTCCTTAGTTACTGATGAAGCCCACGTTGGTGAGTGTCTTAGCTTGGGCTGCCATAAAAAGCGCCACACGCTGGGCGGCGTCAACATGAAAATGTGTTCCTGGGGCGGGAAGTCCAGGATCAAGGTGTTGGCTGATTCATTTCCTGGTGAGGGCTCTCTTACTGATGTGTAGACAGCTGCCTTCTCACTGTGTCCTCACGTGATGGAGAGAGACAGGAAGCCTGCCCTCCAGGTCTCTTCTTATAAAGGCATGAATCCCATTGTGAGGTCCCCACCCTCATGACCTCCTCTAACCCTAATCACCTCCCAAAGGCTCCATTTCAAGTACAGACAGTCCCTGACTTATGGCCTCTCAACTTTACAATGGCATAGAAGCACTATGCATTCGTAGAAATTGCATTTCGAGTCCCATACAACCATTCTACCTTTCACTTTCAGTGTGATATCCAATACGTTACATGAGATATTCAGCACTTTCTTATAAAGTACGTCTTGTGTTAGATGATTTTCCCAGCTGTAGGCTGATGTGAGTGTTGTGAGCCTGTTTAAGGTAGGTTAGGCTGGCTCTGACGATGAGTGGGTTAGGTGCATCCACTGCATTTTCAGCTCACGGTATTTTAAACTTACGACGGATGTGAGGACATAGCCCCTGTGTACATTGACGAACCTCTGCAGCATCACACCAGGTGGGGGGCTAGGACTTCCACACATGAATCTGGGGAGGGGGGCACAATTCAGTCCATAACAGTGAGACAACAACAGTGTTGTCAGGCATTGCCGGGTGACAGTGTAAAAAATACTCTAGTGACTACAGGCCGGAAAAGATTTCCTGCGTCATGAAGAACATGTATCACAGCTCTTACCTACCAGCCTGGGTATCTCAAATGTTTATGTTAACATTTGGTACTTCTCTTTCTCTTAGTGTCGTGTGGGAGCCAATGGGAGATGGGAAGAAAATCATTTCCTTGGCTGATAACCATATCCTGCTGTGGGATTTACAGGAAAGCTCGAGCCAGGCTGTGGTAAGTAAAAGCAACAACACAGCGTTTGTTTCTGTATTTTTAAACCAAACCCCGCATGTTCTCACTCATAGGTGGGAATTGAACAATGAGATCACTTGGACACAGGGTGGGGAACATCACACACCAGGGCCTGTCGTGGGGTTGGGGGAGCGGGAGGGATAGCATTAGGAGACATACCTAATGTAAATGACTAGTTAATGGGTGCAGCACACCAACACGGCACATGTATACATATGTAACAAATCTGCACATTGTGCACATGTACCCTAGAACTTAAAGTGTAATGAAAAAAATAAAAAAATTAATAAATGGGACCTTTGGGCTAAATTCAGAATGTAATTCTTGATTCACAACAGTTTAGAATTTTGACCTTAGTTAATGAACAGACTGAATCATCAATCAAAGAACTGACTGATGGGGTCTTTCAGGTGAAAGCCGTTCAGATGTCACTCAGGGCTTGTGAGATATGACATGGAACCCAGTGGCTTGCAAAACATCTGCGTTTTGCTGCACTTTGAGCAAAGGAGGGAGTGGGATGCCCAGGAGTATTTTCTACCGTTTCAAGCGTGCTGTCCTTTTGACGAATGGATTCTTAAAATATATTTGGGTAAAATCATAGTTTTAAGTAGGAGCAATTATAAAATTTTAATTTCATAGTGGTGCCTAGCTCTTGTAATGTATTTGCATGAGTTATGAAAATAACTTTTAGCGCTTTCTTTGGGTTGAGTTTTGCTTTTAAATATGCATCGTTTGAATACTTTGTCTCTCACAGAGTAAATATTAATATATATTTTTCATATTTGATTTCTTAAAATTTTCTCCTTTAAAATGTGGTTTTTACATGCATTCATAATTTCATTGCGTTTGTTTATGTTAAAGTAACCACTTTAGAAAAGAGGAAGTGGAAGAACTTTGAACTGATAGCACTTACAATGTCATTTATACCTTGGGGGCTGCGTTGCCGGCACACAGTCAAAGCGATTGCGCAAGCATCCATTGGATAGATTTCTCCAGTGATGGCCTCATCTTATATTTATTTGTTCCTACCATGTTTTTTTAGCTCTTCTCCCTCATGGTGCCTTAGAATATTAATAAGTCCTTTCCTCAGCCCTCTAGGCTGACGAGGTGGTATGAATAATGATGCATCATTATTAATAAGTGGCACAGAAGTAAGACTTAAAAATATTAAGTTTCCTGTTAAAGCTTTAAACCTCTGAATGGACAAAAGGGAGTCTCACAGCCTTCACCGCGGAATTAAGTGTTGGGCGTTCACCCAGAGCATCAATGGTGTTTAAGGAAGAGAATTATTATTTTCATGACAAACTTTAAATATAAGGCATATCTTCATATCTTGGAGTAGAATGCAAGTTTCACACAAACTTTTAAGATAAAACAGGAAACGAATGACATTTCATGCCTGAGATTGACCCCCGTGGACCACACCTGCAGGCTGGGGATATATGTCCATAATCTCCCACCTTCCGGGAGATTTGGCAGAGTCCTGGTCATGGTGGAAGGCGATGCCTTCCTTGTCCCTTCCCTCCCTGTGTTTTTGCGGGGCATTCCTACATAACTATAAACCTCCAGGAAGAAGGAGGAAAATACTTTCCTATTAAAATGCCAGGCTCACGGTAGGCTTTGGGTGAGACACTTGGGCAGAGGGCCCAGCTCCCGGTATAGACACTTGGGCAGAGGGCTCCATTCCTGGTATAGACACTTGGGCAGAGGGCCCAGCTCCTGGTGTGGGAAGAGCTGGGTGGAGCCTTCTGCACACCTACTGTGCTCGCTGTCTCAGGGAGGATGCCGGGGAGAAAGGAGACCCCACACGTTAGGATGCGGCAGGTGGAGACCTATTCTGTAATCAAACTGTGAACACATCTTCAGAGCCTCGGTCATCTCAAATGGATTTCATGGTAGGGTGATTAATCTGTAACTTATTTTCTGCAGAGATCAATTTAGTTTTCTCTCCCCCTTTTTTATCCACTGTCAGCAGTTCTGTCAATATTACTTTGTGGCCCTCCACTGTGGTATTTAATACAGAAACCTCCTATCGATTCAAGCCATCTTCACACCCAGCTTCTCAATGTCTTCTTATTGTTTGAGGATATTGCCTTCTGTGGTGAATCTAATCTCATGCTCACTGCATCATTACCTTTTGCAATTAAATTGGAAATTCCGTGCCATTTATAATCATTAGCAGAACTCAGGGGAGGCCTGGAGTGGAAGGTTCCGTGGGGGCCACAGACCCCGATGAGGGTAGAGGGATGGCCGTCCTGTGTCTGTGTGTGCTCATTCATCTTCGCCTTTCCCAGCTTTCACTCGCCACGAAATAAATAGCTTCTGTCAAGGAGCCGACAGTGGCGGAGCGAGAAGGAAGCTTGCGTGAGGATTCGCTCCACCTCTGCCTTCTGTTCACGCAGGAGAGCAGGAGCTCCTTGAAGGTGGCCATCTAGAGAGAGCCATCTGCTTGGCGTGACACACACAGTACCTCTTTGAAGGAAGGGAGTATGCTTCAGGAACACAGTGTTTCCATTGGAAAGTTTCTAATCAGAGGTTTAAAATGTACCACAGGAGGATCAGATAAACAAACATAAGCTGGGGGGCACTCCTAGCGACAGCAGCATGGTCCTTGCAGCCAACGCCATGTCCAGCGTGCCTGTAATGCAAATAGCGTTTGTGTTTTGGGGACCAAGAGAGCAGTGGGCAGAAGCCGAGCTTAATCTCAGAGCTCGTGGGGAGGGGCTGGGAACTTTGTGGGCGGTCGGTGGGTTCTATGGCTCCTTGCCGGCGCACCTTGGAAAGCCTGTTCTGTTTTCATCTTTCTTGTTCTCCAAACTGGAAGAGACGTGGTACAGAGGAAAGAGGCTTGTTTCGTTAGTGTTAAAGTGGAGAACTTCATGCGTGGAACCTGACTGCTGGTTCCAGCAGCGACCCTCCTGTTCACTGCGGCGTGCCCATGGGTGGATTCATTTGCCCTTTTATTTCTGATATTTTATTAAAATTTTATTTACTTATTTTTAAACTTTCGTTTTAGGTTCAGAGGTGCATGTGCAGGTTTGCGACGTAGGTAAATTGCATGTCACAGGGGTTTGGTGTACAGATGATTTCATGAGCCAGGTAATAAGCACAGTACCGATGGGGAGTTTACAGTCCTGTCTCCTCCCATCCTCCACCGAAACTATGCATGTTCTCACTTAGTAGTGGGAGCTAGGCCAGGGGCAGTGGCTCACGCCTGTAATCCCAGCACTTTGGGAGGTTGAGGCGGGTGGATCACCTTACATCAGGAGTTTGAGGCCAGCCTGGCCAACGTGGTGAAACCCCGTCTCTACTAAAAATAAAAATAAAAATAAATTAGCCAGGCGTGGTGGCACGTGCCTGTAATCTCAGCTACTCAGGAGGCTAGGGCAGGGAGACTTGCTTGAACCTGGGAGGTGGAGGTTGCAGTGAGCCAAGATCACGCCACTGCACTCCAGCCTGGCGACAGAGCGAGACTCCGTCTCAAAAAAAAAAAAAAAAAAAAAGAATTGGGAGGTAAACAGTGAGAAGACCTGGACATGGAGAATGGGACAGCAGCACCGGGACCTCCTCGACTCGCCTGCGGATGTTGCTTTCTTGTCTAGAAACCAAGCGTGCTCATCCCTGCATGTGGCTGTGATTGTCGTGGGGGTGTTCAGGGACAGCTCCTTGTCCCAATGTCTGTCCATTGTCCTCTGTGGCAACACAGACTAGGACAGGCCTCACTCCCCAGCCTCTCTGCAGCCTGGTGTGGCCGTGGGACTGAGTTCTGGAAAAACAGATGTGGGTGGGAGATGCGTTCACCCTGAATGAGGAGTTGTTCCCTTCGTGTTTTAAGTCTCTGCTCCTGAAACGTGGAGGTGGCTGGCAATGCTCTTTCCTATTCTGTCACTTTTCTTTTCCTCTTTTTAGTAGGGTCTTTTTCAGAGCAAAAGTTTATCTCTTTTTTTTTTTCTTTTCTTTTAGAACAGTTTTAAGTTCACGGCAAAATTGAGTGGATGATACAGAGATTTCCCACAGCCTCCCTCACTCTCAGCATATCCCCTGCTGGCGTGGGACCTTTGTTATCACTGATTAACCCATACGGGCACATCACCGTCACCCAGAGCCCCTCGTTGACATTAGGGCTCCCTCTTGGTGCTGGATGTTCTGTGGGTTTGGACAAATGTGTCCTGACACCTGTCCTCTACCGTGGTGTCACACAGAATTGTTTCACGGCCCTAAAAATACTCTGTGCCCCAACGATGATTCTTTCCTCATGCTCTCTCTCCAAGCCCCTGGCAAGCCCGATCTTTTCACCATTGCCATTGTTTTGCTTTTTCCAGGATGTCACAGAGTTGGATCCATACAGTATGGATGGTTTTTAGATTGGTTTCTGTCCCTTAGTAATAAGCAGTCAAGGTTTCTCCAGGTCTTTTCATGGCTTGAAAGCACATTTCTTTTTATCACTGAGTAATGTTCCATTGTCTGGAAGGTTCTCCATGTCGATGAAGTTCAGTTTGTTGGTCTTTCCTTTTATGCATTGTCCCTTGTCCCAGGGCTGAGAGCTGAGATGACTTGGATGCTGAAGATCGTCTCCTGCTTTCTCCTCAGGGGGCTGATCGCTGTGCGTTTGACAGTGACGTCAGGGTCCACTTTGGTTAAGATGCACAAGGTGCCTGGGCCTCCTTCCACGCACCCTCGCCATGCGGGGGACACGGAGTCCGAGCTTCCCTGTTGTAGGGGGCAGCGAGGACATGGTTTTTTCTGGGCTGCTTGTCTGGAGTACGTGGTTTCTGTCTAGAGGTTTTGTGTCCTACTTGGCTGCCCCTTTTTGAAAATGTGGCTTTCAGTGGGCTCTTCTGGGGCCTTATTTGGTGGTGTTTCCTGGCTTCCAGCTTCTTCAGCTCCAGGTCTGGGGTGAATGAGGCAGAAGGAGACCCCAGGGAGCCCCACTGCGTGTCTCCTTATGTGCCGCGTGGGCCTGCCCTCTCTCTCCAACTTTCAAATCACCCTCTGTTGTATGTGCAGTGTCCAGGCTTTCGTTGTGCTTAGTGAGAGAAACATGGAACGGGTGTACACCCTGCCTTCCCACCAGCAGGCGTCCCGGAAAAGATGGTGCTGGTCAGCCACCTCCACTATTGTTCCCGCTTCTGGCGACCTTGATAATATGAGAGCTCTTCCCTTGTCCTATTAGAGGGAAGAATCTGAACATTCTGAAGGAGCGTGCACGGACCCTGTGTGTGCCATCATTCCCAGGCTGGAGGCCTTGTGGGGAAGAGGAACACTGGAGTCGGGGAACAGGGATGGCCCCAGACACCTGCACCTGCCACGGGCCTCACTCACAGAAGGAGGACCTGCCACGAGCCTCACTCAAGGAAGAAGGACTCGCCACGGGCCTCACTCACAGAAGGACCCGCCACGAGCCTCACGCATGGAAGAAGGACCCGCCGAGTGTTTCCTGGGGGAATTGGGGTTGAGTTATGACTGCAAGAAGTCAGCCATATGCCAAGCATACCAGAATGCCATGGCCAAATTCATTCAACAGACACTCAGTGAGCTCACTTTGGAGAGGGTAATAAGGACTTTTCCCAACAAATGGTCATTTCTCACTATTTTTAAGTAGTCCTTTTAATCAGACACAGACCTCCTCATCATATAATTGGGCCCCCTCCCAACTGACAGATGAGAAGAGGAAAGCTAACGACGGAAGCAGAGGAAGTGTCTGAAGGTGACGTGGTCTGAGTGCCAGATCTGGGGCTGTGGGTCAGGTCTGATGCCCTATAAATGAGTCCCACCCGGGCACAGAGGTGCTCACGGTGGCTCCTGCCTGCCCAGACCTCTCCTGTCCTCCTTCAGGTCTGTGAGGTTCTCAGATAACTTGCTCTTATTTGAGTATCTTGAATGATCAATAACATTTTGTCCTATGAGCATGAATTTGATTTTTGGAAAAAGTTAATTGGAACAAAATCTGGTAAATAAAATAGGTCAGCAAGCTTTGCAAAAGCTGATTAGTGGAAAACGGGTTAAAACCACATGAAAACTGATTTCCTTGTAAGACTCATAAAAAGACATTCTGAAATATTTTGAGCAGAGACTGCATCATTAAAATAAATGTCAGCTTTATAGCCAGGGATTTCAGACAATGGCCAGTGAAATTTATGTTTTGGATATTTGTTTTGAAAAAGCCATTATCTTTAAGAAAATATGTAGTCAGTGATTTACTAAGTTGCATATTTTAATATCATAGTATAATTTACCAAGTTGCATAGTTTTAATATCATAAAACTACATGTATAGTTTGATTTTGTAAATATTGGAGCTCACTAGCATTTTCTTATTAGTCTTCCACTCAGATTTTGAATAAAAGTCATTAAAAAACAAAAGTGGCTAGGTGCTGGTATCTAGCAACTGAGCGTCTTTTTCCCAAGCTCTTAAAAGACTTCTTTCTGGTAATACAAAACAAATTATATATTTTTAGAACCAGGCGTCTTTAAGAAAGAGGAGCTGCTCACCCTGGGGAGCTTCGGCACAGGCTCCCCATCAGCACCCTGTTCTGAGTGCCTGCCATGTCCAAGGGCCACCTGAACTGTGACATGCTGCTGGAGCTTTGGTGGCCAACACAGAGCCTCTGCCTTTTGTAATGTGCCATGCGGTTATAGGGCCTGCAGTATCTAGATGATGCATTCAATGTAAGACTTCAAGTTTTGCTGGAATAGCTGGGACAGGCACGGGTGAGTGGGAAGGTGCACAGAGTACAGGACGACCTGAGCCGGGGGAGGCCCGGAGGCAGTGAGTCCTCCTGCAGCTGGGGCAGCAGTGCAGCCTGCAAAACGAGGTCCCCTTCCTGCCACTCCTTAACAGTGTGACCTGAGACATGTTCCTTGGCCTGACCAAGTGTCCATTTAACAGTGGAATTACAGGTTACAGGAGAGCAGCGTTCCTCACAGCAAGCTCTTAGTGTGTGCCTGTCAGGTAGATGGACGGTGGGTGGGTGGACGCGTGGATGGGTGTGTGGGTACATGGATGCGGATGGAGCAGCTGTAATACATGATCTCCAACACTGGGCCGTGGGTGAAGGTTACCCAATAGGAGGGTCACCAAGAAGACCCTCGTGCAGAGGCAAGACAGAACTTGAGGTCCCAGAAAGCAGTCTGTGTCTCCTTCATAATTAAATGACTTTCCCCAAAGCCAGCGAATGATCATTACAGTTCAGACATGAGGGATCCGGCGTGCTTTCATGACGCGCTGCTCCCAGTGTTTTCTGCCCTCATTATTCTTTTTAAAAGATCTTTTTCCCTCTCCCAAGGATTGCCTCTAATTAGACCCACCTCTCCAACAGATCACTAATGTCTAATTGGGGTTGCAGAAATATTTCTTATAGTCTATCTTGGTAAAAAAAAAATAATTCTGATCTGTACTCATGGTCTTTCCAATTTTGAGTGTGTAAAACTGAGGTCACATCTGCATTTTGGGGTTTAAGACACAGTTTTTCTCCAGAAACAGAGCTTAGATTTTTGTGTAGCAAAGGAGGAGTGAAAAGACCCTTTTAGTTCTATTCTTCCTACAAATAGAATCCTTTTAGAAATAAACTAAAAATAAGTTTAAAACGGCACATCCTGTCACCTAATGGGGACAGCTGATGCCCTGTGTACATTTTCTGATACAGGAAGGCTCTACTCTTCCAGGAGGCCACAATGCAGACTCTCATGCGGGTCAGCTCTGTGCATCTCAGACTTCGTCTCCCCAGGGGATGGTACCCTTGGTGGTGTGTGGGAGCCTGCAGCCCACTGGGGGCTCTGTGTCCCATTCAAGCTGGGTGTGCAGAGCCTCCCTCAGGGCTAAGGGCCTACCTGCCGTGTGACCCTGGCAGGACAACCTCCACCCTTTCTCTGTCCCCTGGTGCTACCAGCTCCTGCCATCTGGAAACAGGAGCCCTGGCAGCCAGGTATCCCACCACAAGAGCCTGGGTGTCCCGCCAGGAGAGCCCAAGTGTGCCACCAGGAGAGCCCAGCCCTCCCAAGATCCTCTTCCTTTTCTTTTTCTTCTGCATCCTGAAGGTGGCACTGGGCCTCAGGGACTCCAGCAGATTTCATTTCCATCGCCTCCATCAGACCATAGTGCTCCAGAAGGCAGCATCAGTGTTCGCCCCACATAAAGACCACTCAGAGCTCTTCTGAGTGTTCCAAGGTGCTGTTTTTTGAGTCATAGTAAAGATGAAGAAAAACATGTTTAAGATGCCTGCCACGTGCTAGGCACTGTCTGGACATTTGACCTGTATTATCTCCTTTAATCCTTATAACCCTGCAGCGTGGGTCCTTTAATATTGTCACGTGCGTGAGTTATAGGAGCTGGAGCCAAGCCTCAAAGAGACTAAGTAACCTGCCAATGATGGCTTACTCGGAAGCAGAGCTGGGGTTCAAGCTCGGGGCATTCACGTTCAAAGCTGGGACTGGAATTCCCAACCAGAGATAGGGAAGGGAAGTTTCCATAGGTGTCATCGGCATTCTCAAATGGGCACTAGAGGTGCCACAGTTAGGTTGTATTTGGCTGCAGGACACAGGGAATGACTTAAACAATGAGGAATCTTTATTATCTGCTATAACAAGAAGCTTGGAAATAAAGTGATTCAGTGTCTCCACAGCATGAAGGCCTCAGCTGCTTTGCATCTTTCCACTCTGCCATATCCACATGTGACTGCTTTCTGCCTTCATGACTGCAAGGCAGCTGCAGCAGTTCCAGCCATCACATGCAGACTCCCACGGTTCCAGTGCAGAGAAAGCAGATTTCTCTGCATCTCTGTTTGTAAGGAAGGCCTTTGTTAGAGGTGCCTCTGTCCAGTTGTCAGACATAATGGCAAGTCATGTCTAAACTAGTCATTGGCGAGAACAGTTTCCTCCTGCTCAGCTCAGAGCAGTGTCAGTCCCTGAGGATGGGATGGGAACGGGCTCAGGGTGGGATGGTCATGGCCGTTTTGTAAGCCAGCCCCTCCCGCTTGCCGTGCAGCCCAGGGTGCACAACCTGGGACACGCCTGCACCAGGTGCTTCATACGTCCTGCGCCCTAGACACCACAGCCTTGCTGTTTCTTCACCCTGCTGTTCTCTGTCCAAGGTGAGAGGGTGGTGCGTGCTTCCCTCTGCTGGTCCTCCATTTTCCTTGGTATTGGTCAGCGTGCATGTAGTAGGGTCTGCTGTGAGTGCGGCCTGCAAGTAGTAGGGTCTGCTGGGAGCACAGTCCTACATGTAGTAGGGTCTGCTGTGAGCACGGCCTACACGTAGTAGGGTCTGCTGGGAGTGCGCCTGCATGTAGTAGGGTCTGCTGTGAGCGCAGTGCTGTGTTCTCTGTAGTTTTCCTGTCCTCCAAATCAAGCCACCCTTGTCAGCTCTGTGGCTCTTGATGGCAGGAAATACAGCTTTTTGTCTCTCAAAATCTTCCGCTGAGACTCTTCTTAGATATGCTCCACATGAACTGCTAAAGACGATGCCAGGCACGTCATTTTGCTCGTTAGGAGGTGTATTCTTTTGTTCACATTCTGGCATTAGTAACATCTCCCTTGAAAGTTTTGTGGGCGCCTTTAATCATTCCTTTTGGACCAGGAAGCACTGAATATTCTTCTTTAATGTCGAAAAACAGATTACTGCATGCATTGCACCCTGTGGAGTTCTTGCTGAGTGCTGTCTCCATGTCCCCAGGAAACCAAAAATTGTGATTGATTAACCTTACAACTTACACTGCACCGTCTGCCCTGAGTAGACCCTCAGAAATTGATGGTGAAATATCTTTCAGGCTTTTATTAAAATTTACCTTCCAGGCTTCTCTGCACCTGTGAGTGTGAAGTTTTCAGGGCCTGGGAGTACAGGCGTTAGCATGACCAATGGAGTGGAGTCAGGTGACAGATCCTGTTTCTGCCTCCAGCTGGCTGTGGCCACAGGCAGCTCACCCACTCTCCCTGGGTTCTAGTTTTCCCAGCTGTGCAGTAAGGGGGGCCACAGCCCGCCTCTGAGCTGCTGAGATCCATCAGGGTCTCCCCTTATCTGGGGGCATCTCCCTTTCACCTCTGGTCAGTGCCTCGTGTTAGTCTGTCTGTTGCTGGAACAGATGACCTCAAAGTGCTCAGCACGGCCCACGTGTGTGACCTCAGCTTTTGTGTGGATAACCTGGAATCCAAGCACACCTCAGCTAGGTCCTCTGCTTGAAGCCTCCCTCGCATGAGGCTGTGGTCTCAGGGTCAGTGGGGCTGGGCTTGCTGCTGGTCGGATGTGGCTCCTTCTGGGCTGCTGGACTGAGGGCCTGGATTCCTCCAGCTGTTGGCCAGAGGCCGCCCTCAGCTCCTGGCCGTGTGGCCCCACAGTGTGGAGCTTGCCTCATCCCAGCCAGCAAGATGAAGCCCAGATCTCTTCTCATCTAATCCGCTGAGGGACCCCGCCCTGCGGTGCTGGTCAGAGGCCAGCCGCTCTGGGGCAGGGACTCCATAGGCCACCAAGTCCGAGGGCCATCCCAGACGCTGCCGACCATGGGCCTCTTCTGCCTCCGGCTTCCCTGGTTTTCAGCCTCCTCATGTCACAGCTTCACCTCTGCCAGCTCTGCTTTTTTTATCTACCCTCCAGCTGGAGGAGGCGCCCCGACTGCGGGCTCTCCTGTCCGACTCAGTGCTGTGCTGTCCCGGCCTCCTGGCCTGGTCTGTTTTGTCGCTGACTACCGGCACGTGGTTCCCCTTCAATCAGGTTTATTTACGTTACCTATCTCTCTGCCTTGGTGAGGCTTTTGTTTTTGCCAGGAATGGCTCACTCCTGTGTTTCACTGATGTAGGTTCTGTTCAGTCTGTAACGCCCATCGCAGTTCCTAAGCCTCATGAAAGCTTTCCCTAGTTACTCTAACCTGGATGAGTTCTACTTTATTTGAAATCCCTCTCAACGTACGTTATTATCATTCACCCTGGCTCTGTCACTTGTTAGCTTTTAAAACATTGTACAAGTATTTACTTGTTCCAAGCCTCAGTTTTCTCATCTGTCAAATGGTGATATTCACATCTACATCATGTGACTTGTGATAATTTCACTAGGAAATGAGCATAAATGCTCCGCACAGGGCCTGGCATTGAGTAACTGATAACGAGTTGTATTTGTTGAGTGATTTCTTTTCATTGCACACATTTACCTCGGCAGCCAGACACCGAGTGTGAGAACAAAAACCACATCTGCTGTCATGGCACTCGGCACGGCTGAGGAGCTTGCTCAATAAATACTTGTTGATCAGCTGCAAGGCTAATTGGTAGTTGGTTGATGGCTTAATTAATTAACTTACTCTTTCAAAAATCTAGACGAGTCCTTAAGCTGAAGGTTAGGATGTGTTTTATCCCGTGGGTTTTGGACGCAAGCGGTGCTCCATTTTGCTGACTGAACTTCTGCAAGGAGCACTTACGGAGTTAGAAGTTGAAGTGCAAGAGCTTGGGATGGCAGAATAGCTCTGTTGGGGGCTCAGCTTGCATTGCTCGGCTCAAGATTTCGGGCCTTCCCCTTCTGGAATGGCCCTGTGGTGTTTCGCACACACGAGTCATCAAGAACTTGTCCAGGCCACTCTGCCGAATTTGCATTACCTTCTAAAGGTGTGACCTTGTGTTTCTGTCTTCTAAAGAGTTTCATAATGAACCAATATAGTTAGTAGAAAGTTAACTGGAACACAGTATCGATTAGTTAGAAACAATATCCAGCCTTTTCATTATATCTGCTAGTTGGTCTTTTTTACTGTATTCATTGTCATCAATGGATAATCATTAACCTGATAAGTAGGTCTTCAGAAAGCTGAAATAGTACCTGTAAAAAATTTCACTTGACTTTTTTCTGTTTACCTAAAGGGAATACTACAAAGGTATTTCTTCATTCATATTGTCCATGTGGAAGTTAAGACATTGAACCTAGGCCGGGTGCGGTGGCTCACGCCTGTAATCCCAGCACTTTGGGAGGCCGAGGCGGACGGATCACAAGGTCAGAAGATCGAGACCATCCTGGCTAACATGGTGAAACCCCGTCTCTACTAAAAATACAAAAAATTAGCCGGGCGTGGTGGCGGGCGCCTGTAGTCCCAGCTACTCGGGAGGCTGAGGCAGGAGAATGGCGTGAACCCCGGGAATTGGAGCTTGCAGTGAGCCGAGATCGCGCCACTGCACTCCAGCCTGGGTGGCAGAGTGAGACTCCGTCTCAAAAAATAAATAAATAATAAAAAATAAAATAAAATAAAAAGACATTGAACCTAACTAACTGTAAGTTGCCAAAGTTAAAGCCAAAAATTAGCTCACCCTGTGTTTCTGAAATAATGTGTACACTCGAATCATTGCTAGTTTTTGACGTAATGTTGCTACCAATTCTTCTCTTTAGGAAACTGTATTCCATCATTGCTGTTGGCAATGTTTATTTTGACCTACTCCCCAACTGGCTTTTACTAAAGGTTTTCTTGTGGCTTAGCGTTTAGGGTCGTGAATTTTCCAGCTCTGTTTTCTTCCTCGGTAGCTTTGCAAGGGGGACCCTCTCCTTGGCTCCTGTGTGTCACCCTGCACACTATATGGTTCCTTGGAGCTTGCTGTGGGAGCCACGCTCTCCCTCCCTGCAGTGCCTGTGCCCCCGCTCTGTGTCTGGGTCCATGCTGAGTGTATCTGGGAGCCCGCCTCCCGCACCAGCTGGAAAAGCTGCACCCTTGCCGCAAACGTAATGAGAAGGAAGAGATGCTGTAAAATCTGATGGAGTGAAATAGGAAGGTGGGAGGCGCCTCTGATTTTATGCGCAGAGCACTCCCCTCTTTTGTTAACATCCCCCCTCCGCCATGGTTGATTGTTCCTGGCGAGTGCCTGGCCCGGCTGTGCCAGTCTACCTCCTTCTCCAGGAATTTGGGGTGAGGTCTAAGGGTTGGCTCATCTTTGGGTGCCTGATCAGGGGGATGTCAGGCCCTGGTGTTCCCGGCGCTTTTGCCTCCTGCCCTGTGCACATACGGGAGCCAGGCCGGAGTGAGAGAAAGAGAAACGGAGCAGGTGTGGAGAGAGGGGCCCAGCTCAGGGTGGGAGCACGTGCCTGGGGCTCGGCAGCCCCAAAGCCCAATGTGGTTCCTACCTCTTGGTCCCGAGACACCCCAGGCTCCTCAGGTTCAATTTCCCTTTGCTAGCGCTAGTTTGAGTCCAGCGTCCGAGCTGCTGCACATGCTGCCGTCACCATGCGGAGTGCCCAGGCCCTGCCACCTCCCTGCCCATAGCCCAGACCTGCCCAGCCTTTCTGGTTCGGTCACTCTGTCCTGCTGACAGCTGGCCTGGACCCTGGCTGTCCTCACCAAGTTCAGTGCTTGGTTCCAGCCCTGCCCCCACTGTTCTGCCTGGTGCTGTGTCGGCTGCCTTGGTGAGCCTACCAGACTCACCGCGGATGCCTTGGCCTGGTGTTCATGACTCAAGCTTAATCCTGCCGTGCTCACACGTGCTTGTGCGTTCTGGTGTCTGCCCCTGCCCCCCTCCCTGCCCCGCCCCTGTGTCCACCTTTCAGTTCTGGACAGGCTTCCCGAGGCCCCACACGTGGCGGCTGCTCCCACCTCCTCCTCTGTGTGCTCCTGGCGTTTTCCTGCTTGGTCCGTGTGTGGGATGCATGCCTGCCAACTGTCCCCACACAGCAGGAATGCAATTAACATTTCCTGCACGGAGCAGAAATAGCCCTTCAGCTTACTGTGGAGAGAGGATCAGTAAGTCACCCTTGGCACATACGACAGTAGAGCGGATAGTTTACCAGGGATATCGTAAAACAAAAGCCCCGCGCTTTTCCTAAGGAGACATCCTTTGACTTCCTGAAAGTCACTTGGTTGTGGGGATGAAAGTGGTGGGCCAGGCTGGGCAGGGACCTGGGCACAGGGGAGCTGGGCCGGGGGCACACAGGAGGCTCTCCATAAACAAAAGAAGGAGCCCATCGGCAGCCATCCGCTTGGGGCTGGGAGGGAGCGGACAGGTCCACTCCTCGGCAACACCCAGCCTGCTGGTGCCCCTGTCCAAGCGATTCCTAGAGAGCTCCTCTGACTATCACCATGGCTATTCTTCTCCCAGCTCTTAGTGAGGCCCCAGGTGCCACCTCAGCCCTAACCCCCTTGTCTGTACCCAGATGTGGACACATACTCTCCCCATGCATGCCCAGATGCAGACACACCCGTCACCTCTACCTAGATGTGGACACACCCCCCAATGCGTGCCCAGATGTGGACACCCCCCCATGTGTGCCCAGATGCAGACACACCCCCCATGCCTGCCCAGATGCAGACACACCCATGTCACCTCTGCCCAGATGCAGACACACCCCGTCACCTCTGCCCAGATGTGGACACCCCCCCATGCGTGCCCAGATGCAGACACACCCCTGTCACCTCTGCCCAGATGTGGACACACCCCTCCCCATGCGTGCCCAGATGCAGACACACCCATGTCACCTCTGCCCAGATGTGGACACAGCCCTGTTACCTCTGTCCAGATGTGGACACGCCCCCCATAGCTGCTCAGATGCAGACACAACCTCCTCGCTTCTGCCCAGATATGGAGTCATGGGTACCCTGTCCCCCCAGTGGGTCTCTTGTGTCCCCACCTTCTCTTGACCTCTTCTCACCACCACAAGGTGTTGCAGGAAGTCAGGGACTGCGAACAGAGGGACCTGCTGAAGCCGTGACAGAAGAACATAAATTGTGAAGATTTCATGGACATTTATCACTTCCCCAATCAATGCTCTTATAATTTCCTATGCCTGTCTTTACTTTAATCTCTTAATCCCGTCATCTTCGTAAGCTGAGGATGTATGTTGCCTCAGGACCCTGTGATGATTGCATTAACTGCACACATTGTTCGTAAAGCATGTGTGTTTGAACAATATGAAATCTGGGCACCTTAAGAACAGGATAACAGCAATTTTCAGGGAACAAGGGACAATCGTAAAGTCTGGCTGCCTGGGAGCCGGGTGGAACAGAGCCATATTTCTCTTATTACCAAAACGGATAAGATAAATATCGCTGAATTCTTTCCCCAGTAAGGAATATTAATAATTAACAGCCCGGGAAAAGAATGCATTCCCGGGGCGGGGGGGGGGCCCTCTAAAATGGCCACTCTGGGGGTGTCTGCCATATGCAGTTGCAGATGAGGGATGAAACACACCCTGGCCTCCTGCAGTGCCCCCAGGCTTGCTAGGATTAGGAAATTCCAGCCTGGCGAATTCTAGTCAGATGGGTTCTCTGCTCTTGAACCCTGTTAAGATGTTTATCAATGACAATGCAAGCACAGTGGGACATGGAAGTTCATTAGTGGTTGTAGTTTCGCCCTGACCTTGTGATCTCACCCTGACCTTCTGCCTTGTGATCTTCTGTTGCCCTTGGAGCATGTGATCTCTGTGACCCACACCCTATTCGTACACTCCCTCCCCTTTGAAAATTGCTAATAAAAACTTGCTGGTTTTACGGCTCACGGGGCATCATGGAACCTGCTGACATGTGATGTCTCCCCCAGACACCCAGCTTTAAAATTTCTCTCTTTTGTACTCTTTCCCTTTATTTCTCAGACCGACCGACACAGGGAAAATAGAAAAGAACCTACGTTGAATTATCGGGGGTGGGTTCCCCCGATAACAAGGCTCTGCAAGGATGGTGGCTTTCAGTTTCCAAAAATGTTTCCTAAGCATCAGAGCAGGCTTTCGGAGTGGGAGGTGAAGATGTGGCTCTTCCTGGGCCCGAGGCCTCTTCTCCCTGACTGAGCGCAGTGTCTGCGTCTCTCACTGATGACCGCCTTTCTCGGCTTCTGACCAGGACTGTTTTGAGTTCTCAGTCTCTCGCACAGCCCATTTGCATAGGACTGGGGGGACACCAGGTCTTGTAGCTCACGCCTCCCAGTGGCCACCTCTGAAATTGGGAGGCCTCTTGCTGGGAGACACCAGGAGCATCTGCAGCCAGTGCGCTCTTTCCAGAAAGCCCTTTACCTGTGGCTTAGACGGTGCCCTATTTCTCACTGGGAACTGCCCGTCTTTCTGTTCTGAGTGGTGGTTTCCAGGCAGAGCCCCTGCCTGTCTATGCAGTGGGCACTCACTCTGTGGGGACCTCTGGGACTTGTTCACCCCGAGCCTGGGTACCCAACCTGCCCTGGCCAGCAAAGCCCCTCGGTAAATCTTGTGAGATGCTGAATAAACTCCAGCACCAGCTCGGTCATTGGGCCTCTCACGGCCTGTCTAGCAGCTCGTTTGGACCTGCCCTCAGCCTGGCCAGGCCCGCCTCACCAGCCACCTGCCTCAGGCTCCTCTCAGAGGGCTCTGAAGAGCACAGCTGGTTTGAAAGTTAACGGAATTAGTGGTGGGAACTGTGTCCCTCAGGAGGACTTGGGGGCAGGTGTGACAGAGGACCCTGGGGCAGACCTGGATGCTTCCTGCCTTTAACAGTCATCCTGTGCATTGAAATTCAACCCCCAAATTGAAATAACGATGCAGCCAACATGCTCAGCCTTTGTGCATGAAATCCTAGGCGAGCAGAGAAACGAGCTGGGGATCTTCTTGCAGGCTCACAACTGGGCCCCACCCTCTTTTAGGCAGGGGGAGGTTTTAGCCCTAACACCAGCCCCAGAGGGCCTTGCTGAGGCCTTCATGGTCAGCTCGCTGGCTTGGGGTGGTCTGATTAAATGCCAGGCGAAGGCCGTGTGGGCCTCGAGACGGAGGGAGGGAAGAGGGCGTGCACTGGAGACAGCATCTGACCAAGTGAATGTGTTTGTCCCTTTGTTATTCCGGAACCGCTCAGGTGGACCTGACTTGTTTTGTCGCTTTCTTTGGGGAAAGCCAGATGTTTGAGTTGTTTTGTATTGTTTTCCTTCAAGTTCGAGTTGATTATCTCTAATCACATACTTGCAAGCAAACGCTCTTTAATAGAGGCCTATTAATATGCTTTCTATTTTTTGCTGTGCTCAGTTTTATAGATTTCCCCAAGTAAGGTTCATTTTTGCCATTTAAGGAAAGGAAACAAAGACAGAGCTTCCTAATTATCCTCAGTAATTATTTTCAATAATATCCTTGAGTATACGATATCCTCTCGCGTTTTCTGAACAGACTTCACATTCTTCTTCTTTTCTTCTTCCTTTGGAAAACATCGTGACACTCCCAGCTGGCCAGCTCAGCGTCCCTGGAAGGGAAGGGACAACTGAAGTTCACCTCAGGACGGTGGAGCCCACATCATAACTGCACCCAGGTGGCCACAGCGAACGACACCACCCTCCGTGGCTGGGACACCCGGAGCATGAGGTCAGTGAGCCCACCCGGCGCAGGCCCCACTTCCTTTCCTCCCTCACCGAGCAGAACCGGGATGATGGTGGAGCTGATGGTGAGCCACATGCCTTTGGGGGCGCATGGTTTGTCTTTATCTCGTTTTTGTAGGAAATCATAAATCTTCATCTTGTTTCTTCACCCCAAATTAAGCTAGCACATCCACTGCAATGGAACCGGTGCACCTCGGTGGCTGTTTAATGTTCCATATTGATATCTCTGCATTAGCAGGAGTTTATTATGAAAACTAGGAATTGGGGCTTTTGTAACACTGAGCGAGATGGGGACCACAGGGTGCCCGTGTCTGATGAGCCGCTGCAGGCTGACAGCTGCAGTCCCCAGGTTAAGTCTCTCCTGGGGTCGTCCTTGACCATAGCTGTGCCTTCTGGAGACACACCTATAGGGCAATCATATTTTGTCATTTAAGTAATTATACCCAACAGCCAGCAGCTCTAATGGAACAAATAAGAGCGAGTTTTCCGTTCCAGTTGTGATTTTGATAGGCAAAGGAGTGATGGTAGCACGTCTGTTGCTGTGGCAACGGAAGCCCACACAAGCTTTTTTAAGATACAGTTTATCCCCTCAGCACACCATAATTTATCACCGAGCTGAAAAGACGGATGTCATGCAATAACTCGTGTTGATTCCAGGGTGGGGGCACAACTTTAGGTTTAGTTCCAAGGCCCCTCTGAAAACTCAGGGGCTAATAAAGAATCACTTGCCACTTCCTCCTTTGTGCACGTCCGTGCAGAGGGCTTGTTTGGTTTCCTAATCAGAAGCTGGAAACCACAGACTCAGCCCGTGATGAACGTCCTGCTGAAATCCATTTCTCCATGTCCTGTGGTCATCGTGTCCTTTGTCTGCATGGTTTTTTGAAGGATGTGAAGAATTTCAGTATCTGAAAACAAGAAACTCAAAGACTGACGTTACAGACCAAACAAATAAGCAAACAAAAAGATGCCCGTGGCTTTGATGGGTGACATCTGGCAGTGGCCTCATTTTGCCCGTGTTGTGTCTGTGGTGAGGACGTGCCAGCGCAGCACAGAGGGTCCTGGCGCCTTCTCATTGACTGTCATTTCTCCTTTTGCAAGCAGCTTTGGTTTGCATGGAGCCAGGATGCCTTTGGTGCTTTTTTAGGTGGTATGATGCTTTTGTGTGACAGTTACTGGTGATGGAGCATGCAGTAACCTTTAGTTAATACATCGTGCACGTGCGACTGTCCATCTAGTTCCCCGGGAATTTGCCAAGTTTTAAATTTTCTACCTTTGCCTGTTTCCCTTGAAAGATTTAAAAGTTTAGGTATTATATTTTAGGGAAGAAATATTAAGATATTGCAAAGGTGCAGGATATAAAAACCAGAAGATTTAAAAGTGGTTTAGGGCCGGGAGTTCTAATGTGAGAGAAAAAGATGAAAGGAATTGAGTTCCTCTACTTTGGAGAGCAGAGAACAATGATGGTCTTCAGATAAAGGAAGCAAATTACAAGGCACAGAAGTTTCCCATTGCTCATCAGCCCCATTGAGGCCTGCGGTGAGGAAGGTAAATGATGCAGGAGTGATTTCAGTCCCGCCCACGGCAGTGCTGGGGAGGCCGTGCAGGTAGGAGCTGCTGGGCAGCGCCAGGCCATGGGTTCTTTGCTCTCCTGGGCGCAGCCTTTTGTTCCAAGCCACTGTCCAGCCTCACTGGATGACCTGCCCTCTGGGATTCATGACATCAGGGCCATAGGCAGGATATTATGACTTCAGACCCTGCGAGGAGCAGCCAAGGACCATAGGATCCAGGGCAAAGTGAGATGTGTGAGTGCGTGTGTGCGTGTCTGCCCTCTCATGCATAGATGTGTGCATGTGTGTGTACATACATGTGTGGGCGTGCACACAGATGCACGCGTGAGTGTGAGAACGCACGCACTGTGAACAGCCGTGTGACTCATTTCAAACAGTCCCCTTCTCCCACCCTGGAGCGAGTGGGTTGCACTGGCCACCAGCAGTGTTGGACCTGGAGCTGGTGTGGACAGTGGAATGGCAAGCCCAGCTGGCATGGTCCTTCCTGCTTTCATGGCCTTCCCCACTGCTCCTCCCTTTCTCTCTCTCTCTCTGTATATATCTATAGATAGATAGATAGCCGGCCCCTTCCTGCTTCCATGGCCTTCCCCACTGCCCCCCCCTTTCTCTCTCTCTCTGTATATATATAGTTCTATATATAGATAGATATTTTGTGTTGTATGTGTATGTATGTATATATATATAAAATTTCCCAACACTATATTCTACCTCAACTCCCTGTCTTTTTCTTTTCCTTCTTCACTGTGTCCTTCCAGAAATGTGTCAGGCATCCTGTCCAAATGTCTGGCTCAGTGTCCCCATGGCTGTTGCAGCCCCTCTGGCATGCTTTCATTCTCAAGATGATACCAAGTCACATTTTTGACGGCTACAAAGCAAAAATTCCTTCCACGGCTCGCCCAGAGGGTCACAGATACGCTTCTGGAGAGATGAGCGTGGTGCGACCACACAGGGTTGCTGGGATGGAGGAGGTGGCGCCAGCCTCTTCCTGCAGGGCAGGAACGCCGAGGGGATGAGAGCACCCTGGGCCGGGGGATTAGACAGGGTCCCGGGAAACCAGTGTGTGCCCGCAGCACGCAGTGGCTTTTCCTAATCCATTTACTATTTTCCTTTGCTGTTCTTCCTTCTCCCTCAGCCAGATCTACTGCATAGAGAATGCCCACGGACAGCTGGTGCGGGACCTTGACTTTAATCCCAATAAGCAGTACTACTTGGCCAGCTGCGGAGACGACTGTAAGGTGAAGTTCTGGGACACCCGAAATGTCACCGAACCCGTGAAGACCCTGGAGGAGCACTCCCACTGGTAGGGCCGCTCCTGGCTGCTTCAGGGAGGAGGGGATTACGCAATTGATTTTGCTAATTACTTTACCATTGGGAAAGACACAAACCAGCTTAGTTTGTGCTGCTGTGAATCATTCAATCAACCCAGTTTTATTTTTCCTAAAGAAACACTAATTCCAAATCTGAATGTTTGTGATTTATAAACGTAGGAAAAGAAGAAAAACATTAAATTCTGTTTTCTCTTGAAACAGTGCTGGTTCAAGTATACAAAAATAAATGTGCACAGATGTTCACGCAACATTATTTGTAATGCCAGAAACCTGGAAACCACCCAAATGTCCATCACTAGGGGACTGGTTAAGTAAATTAGGTGACATCCGTGCAGTGGAGATGATGCAGCTGTCGGGAGAATGTGGAGCATCTCTATGTGGCTGTGGGAAGATCTCTGAGGTCACTCATTCTCCCTAACATATTATTTGAATGTTTTTCATGTGCTGGGTACTTTTTGCTAAGTAAGTAAAAAGATCAAGTTGTACAATGGCATGTATAGCATGAATCCATTTTTATGCAAATAAAACGTGTGTGCACACACGGGTGTACACAAGTGTGAGTGACACAGGTATGTGGAGGAAATGTCTGAAAGAGTAAGAGCCAAAATCTCATCAGGAATCCTCCCCAAGTCAAAGAGGGGCATTCACTCCCTATGGCCTGCATCTCTGTATTGTTTGAATTACTTATCTGAAGCTGTATGTTAAAACCCCGGATTGGTAGTGCACACTTCTGATAAATTCAGTGACTTGCTGGAATTTCCTGTGGTCTGAGTGGCTGGGCCTCCCTGTGCCCCTGGCCATGCTGGGTGCACCTCCTAGCGTCAAGGGCCTGGCACTGTCTGCCACCTGGGCCCTGGAGCTTGTTTTGGCCTCAGCATGACGGGAGGCAGAAGCTCCCAGGCTCTAGGACCCACGCCAGCAAGAAAGCTGATCCCAGTAGCCAAAACCAAGGACAGCCCTTGTGCCCCGGGAGGCCGCCATGCCCTGGTCTCAGGACCCACAGTCACTGCCAACTGGGAAGATGCCGTGAGACTTGTTTGATATTACAGGATATCGCTAATCCACATGTTGCTTCTGGGACAGTATTTTTTTTTTTTTTTCGAATTTTAGAAAGCTTGTCTGAAATGTTGCGTGATAAGCCTTCTCCTCCTGTAGGTTTCAGCCAACATTTAGTCTTCCCTGTCTGTCTCTTGGGACTTAAGAGAAACCTGCAGTAAACCCAACCTCAGCGGAAAACTGCCTTATGTCAGGCCCTGTGACTGGGGGCCGATTGCCTGGCAGTGCCTAACGTGAGCCCCAGCCTAGTGGGGCCCTCAGAGCCGGTGTGATCCATTGTTGGTGTTGCCTGCGGGTGACAGTTCATTTCAGCAGCTGCCTTGCCCTTTGCAGGGTGTGGAACGTCCGCTACAACCACTCTCATGACCAGCTGGTCCTCACGGGCAGCAGTGACAGCAGAGTCATCCTTTCCAACATGGTGTCCATCTCGTCGGAGCCCTTCGGCCACTTGGTAGACGACGATGACATCAGTGACCAGGAGGACCACCGTTCTGAAGAGAAGTAAGGGCACGCACTGCAGAGTGGCTCACGCTGTACCAGAGCCTCCTGTCTGCACAGCCATCTCCCGAGCCAGGCTGTGTATGTAGAAAGTTTCCAGGAGTGCATTTGGGGGACACTCTCCTTACCCACTGCAGCTGTGGGGACTCACAGTTCCAGGGGTGCCGTCATTAGCAGCCCAGGTGGGAGGCACTGCAGGTGCGTTAGGGTTAGGTGCGGTTTTAAAATAGATCTATTTGTGTTTGTATTCTTATTGAATGCCATCTGTAAGATTTAAAAGACTCACTGGTCTTCAAACTTGAGCATGAATAATAATAGAACGAATATATCCCAATCCTCACAGCACTCCCTGTAAGAGACGCATCACAGTCAGTGTCTTCACTGGCGTGGATTTGAGCGTGTTGGGGTCGGGTTGTTGGCCATCAGCTCACGGGCCTTCCACTGGCTGGTAGCAGGGCGGAGACTCCAGGCCAACCTTCCCAGTCTCAAACCCGGGTCCTACTTCACTTCTAGATACTCTACAAAATGTGGTCAACCATGATGTGGGTTTTCTAGTCACACCATCATGGTTCTGGATTTTCCCAAAGCTTTTTCCTATGCACCTTGATTTCTGATCCTAGGTGAGATGGGAGATCGCTAAGGGCAGCCTCTTCATGCCCGCCTCTGGTCAGCGGTGCAGTGCCAGGGCCCCTGTGTCCTTGAGCAGTCCACCTTTAGAAGTGGCAGCCGCTTCCTGGGGGGTGACTAGATGCAATTCAGTTGCAACCGCAGAGATTCTTGCCCCAGGTTCCAGAGGAAGGAGGTTCTGGAATAAAACCTTGTGAAGTTGGACAGAGCCCTTAGATACGATGGGGTCTGTCACTCTGTTTTGGGATCCTTTGCACTGTTTTTTGTCTGAATTCTCCCCCTACCCACCTGAGCTTGGTCTAAAATTCCTCTGTGAGAAGACCTCTTTCTTCAGACCCTCTCTGCAGTGGCGATGGGACCATCTGATTGTCTCTGTCTTCGGACCCTCTCTGCAGTGGGGATGGGCCCATCTGATTGTCTCTGTCTTCAGACCCTCTCTGCAGTGGCGATGGGCCCATCTGATTGTCTCTGTCTTCGGACCCTCTCTGCAGTGGCGATGGGCCCATCTGATTGTCTCTGTCTTCAGACCCTCTCTGCAGTGGCGATGGGCCCATCTGATTGTCTCTGTCTTCAGACCCTCTCTGCAGTGGCGATGGGCCCATCTGATTGTCTCTGTCTTTGGACCCTTTCTGCAGTGGCGATGGGCCCATCTGTTTGTCTCTTGACTCTGTTGCCTTTGTTTTGTTTTTGAGACAAACAAAAACAAACAAAAAAGTCACCCAAGCTGGTGTGCAGTGGCACGATCATGGCTCACTGCAGCCTTGACCTCCTGGGCTCAGGTGATCCTCTCACCTCAGCCTCTCAAGTAGCTGAGACAACAGGCCCATGGCACCATGTCTGGCTAACTTTTTGTAGAGACAGAGTTTTGCCATGTTGCCCAAGCTGGTCTCAAACTCCTGAGCTCAAGTGATCTGCCCACTTCAGCCTCCCAAAGTGCTAGGATTACAGGCATGAGCCAGACTCTGTTGTTTTTCTGTTCAAACCTTAGAAACTCGGTCTGCCATAGAATAGTATTTAAGCACACGCACGGTAGCATCTGCCCAGTGGTCTCTCGGTGCCTGTGGGCCTGGCTCCCTTTACCGTCCTCTCTGCCAGTGGCCCAGGGAGTCTGCACTTCCTCACCATGTCTGTCCCTGTTAGGGGAGGAGCCTGATGGGCCCGTTGGTCGGAAGACTGCTGGCGTTGTCTTCTGGGCGGCAATGTCATGGGAGCAAGATAGGAAGGGAGGAGGTGATCGGGGCTACGCAGACTTCTTAGGACATCCCTCAGTCCTGATGTCCTGCTGCATTCAGGAAACCATGATTCCTCCTAAGGATTTGCACCTGGCATTTGTCCCACAACAGCAGTTGACCACTGGCAGGTCCACTTTGTGGGAAGCCAGCTTCCCAGAGACCATGCGAGTTCTGGAGGGTCCGTCTTGCTGGGGGGGTGAAGCATTTTCCTACAAAGAAATGCAAAAGCAGTTAGAATGCGGTACACAAATTATGTGGGAATTTTTTTGTGAAATGGGAAGTAAAGTGCCAGAGAAGCCTGTGTCCACCGGAAAGTGGCCGCTGTGAGCCGGGCAGGGCCCCCTCCCCATGCACGCTGTGCTGAGGAAGTGGTGCTTCTTGTGTGAGGATCCCCTGGTCAGGGCTCCCAGTGAGGGTAACTCACAGTCAAGGGAGGCGAGGTGGGAAACACCCTGGGGGAGGCCAGGCAGGTCACGCCTCTGCTGCTCCCACAGGGCCAGGGCGTCTTCCTCTTGGTGTCCTGGGGGATCCTCAGCCCAGCCCCACTCCCATCCTAGCAAGGCTCCTTGTGCCCCAGCCTCTGACTCCTACACAGCCAGGAGCTGGACCCGCTGCTTCCCAGGGTCCTTTCTGCTCAAGCAATAGGGGCGTTTACATCCTGTGTTACCCAGACACGGTGACTACTTCCCCCAGTCTTTCCCCTGAGCTAAAGGAAGCCCTTGGAAGACCTCCAACAAAATATCAACCCAGGCACCCGGGGGCCAAGGACAGAAGAAACCAAGACACCATGTGCCAATGTCGCCGATTTCCATAAACCTTTTGAGAAATGCCCACTCCTCACAGTGACAGTGAGGGTTTCTGGGCTTCTGCAGGGACCACCCCACCGTCCTCGGTGTGGGCTCCTCTAATTCTTCCCATCCCACAGCGGAGAAAGCTGAGGCCCCAGTACCTCCCGTGTCTCCCGATGTCAGCGCTCGCGTCCTCCCTGCCCCTCTCCTGCCCGCCCCGCCGGAGCTGCTGCGCTCACGTCTGCCTCTGTTGCATTGCAGGAGCAAGGAGCCCCTGCAGGACAACGTGATCGCCACCTACGAGGAGCACGAGGACAGCGTCTATGCCGTGGACTGGTCCTCGGCTGACCCGTGGCTGTTTGCCTCCCTGAGCTATGACGGGAGGCTC
This sequence comes from Homo sapiens, assembly GCF_000001405.40. Taxonomy (NCBI): domain Eukaryota; kingdom Metazoa; phylum Chordata; class Mammalia; order Primates; family Hominidae; genus Homo; species Homo sapiens. The sequence continues at coordinate 3,189,381 of NC_000002.12, read as the reverse complement.
GTGATCAACAGGGTGCCCAGGGCCCTGAAGTACCACATCCTGCTATGACTCCCGGGCCTGGGTTATCCAGGTCCCATTGAGTGGTTTTCCTCTTGGCAGATTCTCAAACAGTCGCAGCTCTTTGGAGGTGACTCGTGTTCCAGGTGGATCCCTCTCTGGGAGAGCCGCTGTTCCCTTCCTGTAGCAGCAGCATTTATGAATGGGGTGAATGGGGCTATTGTCGACGGCACAGCTAATGCCCGAACCCAGCCCCTGTCGGCAGAGACAGAGCCCCACATTATTATGTGAATAACAATGTTTTCTGTTTTAAGGGTGTCAGGAGTTTCGCTTTTTAAAAAAATGTCTGTTCCTGCAATAGTAACTCTTCTTTCTCTTGAGAGTAAAAAATGAAATAAAATAAATCCACGCTGCACAGGTGCTCGGCTCATTCTTTCAGGAGCTCTGCCCTGTGACCCCATCTCCTGGGTCTTTGTCCATTTTCTCTTTCCTGACCCAGGGAAAATGCAGATGGACAGACGTGTGCTGTCTACGCCGCCCTAGCATGGAACTCCCGGGAGCCATGCTGGCTGCTGGTGGGCACCTGGCTCGCGCCCTGGGCTGAGCTGGTGTGATGCATTTTCACTGCTGTAGACGCAGGCTCTGCCCGCCCTGGGCCTCCCCTGGTCTCTGCAGCCCATCCTGTGCTGTGTCCTGCCCACCTTGTGAGCCGGGCAGGGCCTCCTCCCCACGCGCACGCACTGGTGGCCTTGGAGGTGCCGTCCTCCCTCACCTCGGAGCTTGGGGTTGGGCTCCCGCGTCTCAGTTGTCGGGGACCCCTCACAGGCTCCTACACTCATCAGTGCTTATCCTTAGGAATCCTCAAACACTGACCTCGCAGCCTCTGTTCGTGGTTCCTTTGGGTGTGCGGGGTCTGTTCTCTGTGTCTGGTGCGTGTTCCCACTGGAGAAGCCACCTGGGCCCTGGACTCTGGGCTCCATCTCCCTTAGGCCTCCACCTGGCCAGGTGTCCCCGCAGGGGCCACTTCTGCGCTCTGCTGCCCCGATCACCTCATCTGTAATGATGGGGAAGGATGGGCTGAGCTCACAGGCCCATCAGCTCTGGGGTTTGACGATTCTAGGACAAGTCTTGCCCGACCTGCAAAAAGGACACGTTCCTGCTGCAGCGCCCCCGCCAGTAGGTGTACCGTGCTGCTAAGGACGCTCTGCACCCAGAGGGCCGCATCCTGGATTTTCCTTTCATAGATGAGAGTTCACAGCGAAGTGGAGGCCATAGGGGGAGAGGTGAAAAGGTGGGGTCCTGGGCGAGGGGACAAGTATGGGGGGGTCCACAGGTGGGGGCTGTAGGGAGGGGTGCACAGCTGGGTGGGGCTGTTGGGAGAGGCAAGCAGGTGAGTGGGGAGTGGGGAGGGGAACGCAGGTCGGGGGGCCGTGGGAAGAGGCACGCTGGTTGGGGGGCCGTGGGGAGGGGTGCACAGGTGGGTGAGGAGTGGGGAGGGGAATGCAGGTGGGTGGGGCTGTGGGGAGGGGCACGCTGGTTGGGGGGCCGTGGGGAGGGGTGCATAGGTGGGTGAGGAGTGGGGAGGGGAATGCAGGTGGGTGGGGCTGTGGGGAGGGGCACGCTGGTGGGGAGGCCGTGGGGAGGGGTGCGCAGGTGGGGAGTCAGGAGGGGCGTGCAGGTGGGGGGGCCATGGGGAGAGGCATGCTGGTTGGGGGGCCATGGGGAGGGGTGCACAGGTGGATGAGGAGTGGGGAGGGGAATGCAGGTGGGTGGGGCCGTGGGGAGAGGCACGCTGGTGGGGAGGCCATGGGGAGGGGCACGCTGGTGGGTGGGGAGTGGGGAGGGGCGCACTGGTGGGTGGGGGGTGGGGAGTGGGGAGGGGCACACAGGTGGGTGGGACCGTGGGGAGGGGCGTGCTGGTGGGGGGGGCATGGGGAGGGGCAAGCTGGTACGGGGGGCCTTGGGGAGGGGTGTGCTGGTGGGGAGTGGGGGTGGACAGAGACAGGTGTGTTGCAGACCCTCCAGCATTTCTGCTTCCAGGTAAAACCTGCACGTGTGAGGAATGTGTGGCATTGTAATGTCAGTCCTCCCTTCAGTTGCTGTCACTTGAAAGAAAATGTGTTTGTTTAACAAACATAAATTGAGTGCCTACTGTGTACCCACACTTCTAGATCCTGCTGTTGCTGCAGCCACAGCTGTGATTAGGGCAAGTCTCAGCTCCCCTGGAGTGAGTGCTCCTGTGGGCCATCAGGTGACATGGGGACAGATGCCACAGGGGAGTGTAGAGGAGGGGCCAGGGAGCGCTGTGGGAGCGAGGCTCTCTGAGAAGGCGATGCGTGAGCCAAGGCCCAGGGTTGGGGTGGGGTGGCACCTGGGTGAGTGGATCAGGTAGGGAGGCAGCTGGGCTGGCATGGGAATGAGGCAGGAGGCCCAGCCATGGGGAACTGGAGGTCCTGCCTTTTTGAGACGGAAGCCACTGAACAGGTGAGGACTGAAGTTTAGAGTTTGGATGGTTTACTGCCTTTGATTGGCACACAGCCGCCAGTGTGTGTGCGTTGTGTGTGTGCAATGGTGAGGCCACTGTGCACCCGGTGGCTGGCTTCTCATGAGTTTAACACACACTCACCACACCAGTCAGCCCTCACGTCTTTACCCTGGATCCTTTTCGAGAAAGGATCTGGAAAGTAAACATTTTAGACTTTGAGGGCCACAGTCACTGTCCATGTTCCTCTCTGTGGTTGTCCTGCCAGACACACACCATGAGTTTACAAAGACAGGCGGTGGATGGATGTGGCCTGGGGCCTGTTTGCCAATGCCAGCCCCAGAAAATAAAACTTATGTTTGCATAAATACCTATACACAGATATTTCTACCCAGGCATAATCACCAAGTGCTGGAAGCAACACAAGCGTCCTTCAATGGTGAACGGATGGCAGGGCCCCCAGAAGACCACAGGAAAGTCGTGTAGAGAAGACGTTCAGGTGAGCTCTGGGACGAGGAATCTTCAGAGGAGGCGAAGATTCCTCTGAATCCTCCTTCAGAGGAGGCGAAGATTCCTCTGAATCCTCCTTCAGAGGAGGCGAAGATTCCTCTGAATCCTCCTTCAGAGGAGTCTGGGGGTGGGAGGGCACAGGGCATGGGGTATCCAGGAGCCAAGCAAAGTGTTGGTTTCCGGGAGAAGGACTGAGGCACCCTCAATGCTGCAGATGGGGCGTCAGATGTGGGGGAGAACGAGCTGGAGATGGACACGGACATGGAGGTGTGGATGGCCCTGGGGAGGCCCCCTGGCAGCTGGTGGATGGCAGGAGCGGCGTGGACAGCAGGAGCAGCATGAACTGCAGGAGCGGCACGGGATAAGAGAGGTAGGAAGCTGGGAGCGGGAGGGGCTGTGTAAAGGAAACAACAGGAGGAGTAGCCCCCCAGGGCCTGTGACCACAAGGAGCTTTCTATTTCTTTCTTTTTTTTTTTTTTTATTGAGACGGAGTTTTGCTCTGTCGCCCAGGCTGGAGTGCAGTGGCGCAATTTTGGCTCACTGCAACCTCCGCCTCCCAGGTTCAAGCAATTCTCCTGCCTCAGCCTCCAGAGTAGCTGGGATTACAGGCATGCGCCACCACACCGGGCTAATTTTTGTAGAGATGGGGTTTCACCTTGTTGGCCAGGCTGGTCTCAAACTCCTGACCTCAGGTGATCTGCCCACCTCAGCCTCCCAAAAGTGCTGGGATTACAGACGTGAGCCACCGCGCCCGGCTGAGGATCTCTCTCTTTAAGAAGGAGAAATATCTGTGTTTCTGAATGCGGATAGACTAGTCCAGTGGAGAAGCACAGAGGGGGGAGAAGGGATATCCTGGAATAGGAAGGCGAGGGTGTGATCTGGTGAGCAACTCCAGATGAACAGGGTGAGAGGTTCCGTTAGAGAAAGCGAGTGTGCCCCAGGACAGCACCACGTGGGACCCAATGCCATCATCAGTGCGGCCATCGTCAGTGTGGCCATCGCCAGTGCGGCCATTGCCAGTGCGGCCATCATCAGTGTGGCCACGGTTTGGGCGTCATCAACAGTACTTCTATTTGTAAAATGCACACACATTCAAACACAGGACATAGTTTTATCTTAAGGACCCCTTGTAAACAGAGCAAGCATCCCCCTTCTGAGGATTTTGAAACAGGCTAGGGGCACCTTGCCCGGCTCTGTCCACCGACCGGGGCATAGGCCATGTCCCCTTCATGCAAGTCTCTCAGGCTCTGCCTCCAGCAATTCTTACCCATAGGCAGCCCAGTGACCTCTAGGTGACTGGTTGGACAGCTGGAACAGTTAGGATGCAGCCATGCAGAGACTTTGGGGTTCATCACCAGCATCCTTTGTTGCCCATGCCATTTTCAGAGCTAAGCCTGCATCCCTGTGCGTGGGGTGGTGGAGGGGCTGCACTGGACACCCCTGCGCGTGGGATGGTGGAGGGGCTGCACTGGACACCCCTGCGCGTGGTGTGGTGGAGGGGCTGCACTGGACACCCCTGCGCGTGGGGTGGTGGAGGGGCTGCACTGGACACCCCTGCGCGTGGGGTGGTGGAGGGGCTGCACTGGACACCCCTGCGCGTGGGGTGGTGGAGGGGCTGCACTGGACACCCCTGCGCGTGGGGTGGTGGAGGGGCTGCACTGGACACCCCTGCGCGTGGGGTGGTGGAGGGGCTGCACTGGACACCCCTGCGCGTGGGGTGGTGGAGGGGCTGCACTGGACACCCCTGCGCGTGGGGTGGTGGAGGGGCTGTGCTGGACAAGCCTCCTGTATAGATGGGGTTCTTCCCTCCTTTACACAGAAGCTGTGTTGAAGGTGATGGGATTACATGTGGACCTTCTTTACCAGGACCTGGGGGGCTGGGAATATGGGGAAAGAAGTCAGCCTCGACCCGTCCTCCTGGCCCCTCTGTGCAGTGTCAGGTGCTGTGCGGTGTCGCCTGTGGCTGTGGACGGCAGCGTCAGTGCCAGAAAAGATGAATGTCATCCATGGTGTGCCCTGGCCGGGGCCTGACTTACCTCGGCACGTGTCCAGCTGCACAAAGCAGGGTCATTAGTAACCCACTTTCCCCGCAGGCGCCTCTGCAGCATGGGCCTGGCAGGGCTAAACTGAGAATCCAGGAGCTGTGTGAGATTGGGAGCAATGGGAGATTTTGGATTTAACACTTTTCAGGAGCCCCTTCTGGTGTGGGCTGCCCAGTGAGTTGGCGCTGCTCTTAAATGGCCGGGCTGTGGCTCTCCATTCCTGCTCTCTGCCTGGCCGGGTGATGGGAGGGAGGGTTGGCGCTAATTGAGAATCATCTTCTGACACCAGCAGGCGAAGCCCTGCCAACCCACAGCAAGCATCACGCAGCATCCTCAGGGTGTCCTGGTGAAGCCCTGCCAACCCACAGCAAGCATCACGCAGCATCCTCAGGGTGTCCTGGAGCTGGAGCCGGAAGTCCCCCTCCCCACACCCGGGGCACATGCTGCATACTGCAGGGACACACTGTGTGGGCTGCACCTGCCCCATAATGTGTGTGGCTCGTTCAGAAGAGCTGTGGCTGCTTCCTCTGGGATGTGAAAAGCTGCGGTGTTGGGGGCAGGGTGTGAGAGCACTGGATGGGCTCCTAGGGGTGTCACCAATGACATGAGGACAGCCCTTGTTAGTGGGAACTCCAGAGGGCCAGCTTTAGTTCAACAACAAGGACCCCAGACAAAGGTCTTGGGGGACGGAGTTGGGAGGAGCAGGCCTTCAGCAGGGCGGGTGAGCCTGCTGGTGTTCTCCCTGAGACACTGTGCTAGGCCCTGCAAAGGCATCTCCTGTAGCCAGGGAGGCAGAGACTGAAGACACCAGAAATGGGGGGTGGGGGATCAGAGGAGGGAAGGAAGGGGTGAGGGACAGAAGGCAGAGACCAGGTCAAAGATTTGTGGGCCCCTGAGGACCTCAGGGCTAGAGAAAGTGGGTGCCAGGCAGGGGACAGTCAGGCTGGGTTGGATAGGTGGGTGGGTAGAAGGGTGGATGGACAGATTGGGTGGGTGAGTGGATAGTGGATGGGTGGGTACAGGTGGGTGGATGGGTTGATGGATGAATGGATGTGTGGATGGATTGGTGAATGGGTGGGTAGATGGGTGAGTGGGTGGATGGCGGGCGGGTGGGTGGGGGGTAGGTGATGAATAGTGGATGGGTGAGTGGATGGGTGGATGGACAGTTACGTGGATGGTGCATGGGTGGCTGGATGGGTGGGTGAATGAATAGTGGGTCAGTGGATGGGTGGGTAGATGGATAGGTAGGTGAGTGGGTGGATGGATGCATAGGTGGGTGGATGGATACCTGGGTGGGTGGATGGTGAGTGGATGAGGGTGAGGGGTGGGTGGGTAGGTGGATGGGTGTGTAGATGGATGGGTGGTTGGATGGGGTGAGTGGGTGGGTGGTGGTTGGATGGGGGTGGATAGGTGAGTGGGTGGCTGGATGGGTGGATGGATGATGGGTGGGTGAGTAGGTGGATGGATAGGTATGTAGGTGGGTGTGTGGTTGGATGGGGTAAGTGGGTGGGTGGTTGGAAGGGGATGGATGGGTGGGTGGGCAAGTGGATGGGACAGTGGTTCGTATCTTAAAACACTAGTAGGCGTCATTGGGTCTGGTAATCTTACCCCTAAAGGCTGAATGAGGAGATGCCGAGTTTGGAACATTTCTAGAATTGGGTCCTCACTTTCAGTAAATAACCCAAAGCTCTTAGTCTATCTCAAGATAAAGTGCTTGATGGAGAGACGAAAGGATAATTGAAATACTGCCTTGTATATTTGTATGAAATATGTGAAAAATGAAAGTTCTTAATTCCTTTGAGACATTGAAAGCCATAAGCTGGGTCATTTAAAAGCAAGATCCCCTAAATAGAGATGGATTAAAATGGAACTTCCAAAGGTATTCTGTGCTACCAGTGAATTCAATGTGACTATTTTGCAAATAGAAAGCAGTACATAGAAGGCCATTTCCTAAGAATCAAGAAAAATGGCTCCGTAACTGACTGCACCCCTCCGTTGACAGGTTTTGTCTTTTTGACTTCTCCTGATACTCACTTTTCTAATGTAAGATAACCTTAAAAACATGTCCCATGCACCAGTAGAGTGGCCGAGCTTCCAGAACAATGCAGGGGCTCGGAGCCTATCACAGATGCCCCAGCAGTTACACCGTCATGCGCTTTATGGTCTCAGGAAGTGACGATGAGGATTGTGATTGACTAGTGTTTACTGAGCCTTGCTGATTGGATTTCTGCATGGCTTATTGAAGAGGCACTAAAAATCACATAGGGAACAGCCTGCGAGTTTCTGGTTTGAAATGCTGCCTTATGTGTAATAGCAGTTAATGAGGGTTTATTAAATCAATCAATCAACTAACCATCAATCACGGTCCTCTGACCCAGCCTGGCTTTTCATGGACATCCCCGCATCTCTGTCATAGCTGACATTCTGATCAAACAGATGAGCGACCTTTCCTAACGACGCGTCAGATCACCTTTGTCTAGATTGGCTCTTCTTTGCAAATCCTTTGGAAGTCCTCCTCCACCTGGTGAAATTCTGCTCATTCTTGAAAGCCAGCTCCAGTGTCATAGCCTTGGGGCCTTTCCCTGTGTCTCCTCCTTCCCTTACTGTGTCCTGGAATCCAGCCCCCGGGCTGCCTGATGGAGGAAGGAGCCCCATTTCCTGGTTTACATGGGCTTCCATGTCAGTGCTGGAATACTGGAGAGCATCCCCGTGTCAGGAACGCTGGAATAGCGCTGAGCGTCCCTGTGTTGGGAACGCTGGAATAGCGGTGAGCGTTACTGAGAAGTGAGTGTTCCCGTGTCGGGAACACTGGAATACTAGTGAGTGTTCCCATGTCGGCGCTTGAATAGTGAGCGTCCCCATATCGGTGCCCCTTGTCCGTGCTGGAATAGTGACCGTCACTGTGTCAGTGACCCGTGTCCGTGCTGGAATAGTGAGCATCCCTGTGTCAGTGCTGGAATAGTGTGCATTCCCCTGTCAGTGCCCCTTGTCGGTGCTGGAATAGTAAACGTCCCCGTGTTGGTGCTGGAAGGGTGAACGTCCCCGTGTCGGTGCTGGAATAGTGAACGTCCCCGTATTAGCGCTGGAATAGTGAGCATCCCTGTATCGGTGCTGCAATAGTGAGCGTCCTCATGTTGGTGCCCCGTATCGGTGCTGGAACAGTGAGCGTCCCCGTGTCGGTGCCCCGTGTCGGTGCTGGAATAGTGAGCGTCCCCGTGTCGGTGCTGGAATAGTGAGCGTCCCCGTGTCGGTGCCCCGTGTCGGTGCTGGAATAGTGAGTGTCCCCGTGTCGGTGCTGGAATAGTGAGCGACCCCGTGTCGGTGCTGGAATAGTGAGCGTCCCCATGTCGGTGCCCCGTGTCGGTGCTGGAATAGTGAGCGTCCCCATGTCGGTGCCCCTTGTCGGTGCTGCAATAGTGAGCGTCCCCGTGTCGGTGCTGGTAGAGTGGGCGTCCCCGTATCGGTGCCCCTTGTCAGTGCTGGAATAGTGAGCATCCCCATGTCGGTGCCCCTTGTCGGTGCTGGAATAGTGAGCGTCCCCGTGTCGGTGCTGGAATAGTGATCGTCCCCGTGTCGGTGCTGAAATAGTGAACGTCCCCGTGTCGGTGCTGGAATAGTGATCGTCCCCGTGTCGGTGCTGAAATAGTGAACGTCCCCGTGTCGGTGCTGGAATAGTGAGTGTCCCCGTGTCGGTGCCCCTTGTCGGTGCTGGAATAGTGAGCGTCCCCGTGTCGGTGCCCCTTGTCGGTGCTGAAATAGCGAGCGTCCCCACGTCGGTGCTGGAATAGTGAGCATCCCCGTGTCGGTGCTGGAATAGTGAGCGTCCCCATGTCGGTGCTGGAATTGTGAACATCCCCGTGTTGGTGCCCCTTGTCGGTGCTGCAATAGTGAGCGTCCCCACGTCGGTGCTGGAATAGTGAGCGTCCCCGTGTCGGTGCTGGAATAGTGAGCGAGTGGGCTCACTCCTTCTCCCACCCTGTGCGTGGTCACAAGAATAATTTTCCTTAAAATCAAAACGTGTGGAGATGCTTGCCCACCCTTGGCTCCTGCACTTGCAGGTCAAGTCCCACCTGTTGCAGCCTTGTGTTGAGGCACTCAACAGACCCTGCTTCCTGGGTGTTTCCCTTCACACTCCTCCAGATCAGGCACCCATGGCCTGTCTCCGGGCTCCAGACACTCCCTGCAGCTTCCACTTCTCACATCTTACGAGGCTTGCCCCGACTTATATTGAGTTGACGTGGAAAGGAATTGATAAATGTGCAGTCCTAGACCTGACTGTGATCCGGAGCAATCCAATACATGTTTATTGAGCTGCTACTTTGTCCAGCATGGTCCTCCGGGGAAGGAGGAAGAGACAGGGAGGGCGTGGTCCACGGGGTGCATCTCTGGGAGCTCCCTCCCTGCGGTCTCTGCCTCCTACCTGAAAGCCCACAGGGCTGGGCTGGGAGTGTGAGGCGGCCCCATGAAGGGGCTGATTTCTGGTGAGGGGGACACACGGGCTAATCCCAGCCAAGGGGCCGTGGCGGCTCCGTGCCCCCTGTGTTGGGAAGGGCAGGAGCCCAATCCCTCAGTGTAGGTCAGACTCTGTAGGCTGCTCTGAGAAGGGTGGAGGTGGAAAGGGAGAGCAGGAAGGGGCAGTGCAGGGGTGGCCCCAGGCCCCAGTTAGGCAGCCCCCAGGGCATCGGGCATCAGCCCCAGAGCTTCAAGCTTGGTGTAAGTTGGTCGTCTTCACCTATTTCTATAAATTCATTAAGAGGAAAGCGTAACGATGTCTTTCTGAATGATGGACACTTTGCAGATTACAAAGGGTTTTCGAGAACGCTTTGCTTTTGATAGTAGCATCGAATACAATTCCTGCAGATACAGGAGCGCAAGTTTGGCAGGTGGCGCCCTCCTGAGGCCTCACGGCTCCCTGTGGGTTCGGGTTCGCCTCTTCCCTCCCTCGTTCCTGAGTCGGTTTCTGGGCTCTTCCACTGCATAGACGTCCCTGAAGTGGCCACCTGGCTGCCAGGGCCCCTGTCCCGCCTTCAGCAGGGAGCGTGTTCCAGCTCCAGCTGTTGTCAACAGGGCCCACGAGATCATGGCCCAGTGTCTGCCCACCCAGCTACCTGCGTTGGGCAGTAGCTGGCTGTGCAGTAAGCAGCTCTCACCCTCTCTCTGTGGGCACTGTACTACGGGCACAGCACCCACCCACCCACTCAGTCCCTCCATGCCAGATGGGAGGTCTGGGGAGCCCCTCCCACAAACATGTACCCTGCCTAGAGGCCTGGGACGGGGAGGAAACGCATTGCCAATAACCTCTAAGCTCACAGAGGCCAGCCTGGGACAGAAACATGCAGCTCAGTATGGGGCATCTGCCAGCACAAGTGGGCGGTGAAGAGAGGATGGCTCCCCTGAATCCTGGAGGGGTGGGGGCGCCAGCCAGGCAGGGAGCTGGGTGGGCACGGGAGGGCACGGGTGTCTGAGTGGTGGGACTGCAACAGCAAGAATCTGGCCTGGATTTTAGGCTGTGCTGGGCCTGCACGTGGAGGAAGAGCCGGCCCTGCCGGCTCTGAGGCTGCCTCTGCCCCTAGCAAGGGTAAGGGAGACTCTCAGGGCAGCCTACCAGTGGCCCTGGGGCCATCCTTAGCTTCCCAGGAATGGGTGGCCACAGAACCCTGAGCTGCTCCCACCTGGCAGCAGGAGAGGGTGGGGAATGAGGGCCAGTGGTGTGCAGCAGGCCTGGTCAGGGAGCAGCCCTCAAGGGTGCTACTGGTAGGGTCCACCTGCCTCCCAGTGGTCTTTGAGATGCACCTCTGCAGGCTTCTCCTCAACACTCCTTATCCAGCATGTCAGCCCCACAAAGGAAGGCCTGGGGACCTCTGTCCATTGCTGGGTCCTCAGGGCTTGGCACAGTGCCCTGCACAGAGTCGAAGTGCGGTCACACTTGCTGATGAACCAGCCTGGCCAACCCCCTGGAGCCGCATGGTTCAGGGCTCACAGCTGGGGGCCCTCCAGCGGCGCCATCACATGACAGACCTCAGACTGCTGTGTGCCCTCCCACCCTCCTGATGTGGCACCCATGGACCAGCGGGGTCTTCAGGCAGCCTATGCCCAAGGGGGCTCACCCGGCCCCACAGGCCTTTCCACTGGGCAGCTTCCTTTTCTGCTTTTTTTTTTTTTTTTTTTTTTTGGAATAAGAAGCAGGGTCTTTATCATCATCACCAGTAACAGACTCTAAACCTAGAGGAAAGCATTCAAGAGGTTTTCCTGCTCAGCTGCTGGTTTATTTTAAACTGTCGGAGTTGATAGCCCAATCCACTTTTTGATGTAACTATGATGGTTTTAGAAGATTTAGACATGATTTTTTTTACAGCGTGAAAAAGAAAAATAGAACTGAATATATGATAATGATGAATCCTTCGACTTTTGTGTCTGCAATGGCTTCTAGGCATGAGTTACTGCATAATAATTCATGCCCTGTTGTGTCTTACTGCTTAATAAGCGTGTGGAAAATGGTGATGTTGGAATTGCCTTTCTGTTGTCATTTTGGTGCTGCTGAAATTGTGCTTGTGTGGTAGTTGAGGGGAGAGCTAAGGGCCCTGACTGATGAAGCCATCAAGGGCACCCTCAGGAGAAGCCATTCACAGGCCACCTACCAGAGGCCGGGAAAAATGAAAAGATCTGTCGGCATCAACTTCTCCCCCGAGAAACCACGGGATTTCCTACTAATACGGCCGCCAGCTTCTCTCTCTTCAGGTATCTCAGCCACAGAGACGCTGATTCAGTCCTGGACACGAGTCTGAAGTTGACATTGCATCTTAGGTGGAAACAGCCATTTGCATTTGCGTGGGTGTGGATTTGCTTGCACCCGAGGCCTCCATCACAGGGCATATGGCTCGTGACGTCCAGCTCAAAAATGGCAGGGAATCCTTAGGGCCGCTGGTCCCATGTGGCGGGCCCTGGTGCCTTCCTTTATCATAGTTTCGGGCCACGACTCACCTTCTCACTAGACCGTGAGCTCGTGGGGCTCAGACCCCAAATGCTCTCACCTCAGAACCCACCAGCAAAGGCCTGTGGTTGAGCCAGTCACTGTGAGCCAGAGTGGGATCAAAGCAGGTGTGCAAGGAGTGTCCGCGTTAGTAGCGCAGTCTGCACAGTTTCACTAGTGGGGAATCTTTATTCTGAGAAGTTAATCCAATATGTGTTTTCTAAGCAGCTCAGGGCAAGGACCGTGGTCCAGGTGTTTCTCCCACCACAGTGACGCCTCTGATGCGCACTCGGGCATCGCGAGAATGCTTCGCGAACACGCGCACCCGGCCACTGACCCGTCGCACAGCGAGCCCCAGTCTACGCTGCAGGAAAATGGCACTTGGGGAGGGAAGAAGCCCCGTGGCCAGGAGCAGCCTGGGCCATGTGTGTTACACGCAGCAATAGACGGGTGCTCCCGCCCCTCTCTCTGTCCTCCACTTTCCGGCCAGGAGACGTGGGTCGAGTCCCTTCTCCCCTCTGGGCCTTCCTGTGCAGCTCAGGGAGGCTGACCTGTGACTGCCAGGCTCTTTCAGGTCTGGGCAGTTCCTGTGCCCCAGGGCCAGGCATTCAGGCCCATCAGGCCCTGTCCTCTTCCCAGGGCAGAGCCAGTTCTGTCTGCAGGCTCCCTGGGAAGAGCGCTGGGAGTCAGGGTTAGTGAGGACAGGGCACAAGCTGAACCCTGAGGGCCGCTGGAGGCCACAGAGTCCTGTCCACACCGTGACTGTGACCAGGGCCCATCCACGGATTTCCTTTGTTCTGGTGGGCAGGCCACAGAAACTGGCTCTGGCAGCCAGCGGAGCTGCAGAGTGATCAGGCGACTGCTATCGAAGGCGGTTCCGCTGCCACCACTGCCCTGGGGACCCTCTCAAGGCCTGGGGACCCCTCAGCCTGCATGGGAGGCTGGCTCACTGGTGCGGCCAAAAGCGACCTTGTTTTGTCTTTAGCCGGCTGCTTGTGCTCATGTATTTATACACAGGAGAAAGTTCAGTTGGCTGCGGGAGAAGTTCATTTTGTTTAATTTTTAATCAGAGACCACTGCAGAGTGGCACTCGACAAATTCTAGTGCAGAGGATGGCTCATTGCATGGGGCTCCTAAGCTCACCGACAGAGCCCTGGGCCGCCGCCTGACCCTCCCAGCTGGAGTCAGGCCAGACTCCAGCGACAATTCCGGCATGCTCCACACAGCCCGCCTCCTGCTTCCCCACCTTGGGAGCACCTCACACGAGTGTCCTCGGTGAATCTGCATTTTTAATTCTGCCCCCGTTTTTGTTTGTTTGTTTGTTTTTGAGACGGAGTCTCGCTCTGTCGCCCAGGCTGGAGTGCAATGGTGCGATCTCAACTCGCTGCAATCTCCACCTCCTGGGTTCAAGCAATTCTCATGCCTCAGCCTTGCAAGTAGCTGGGATTACCTGCATGCACCACCACGCCCAGCTAATTTTCGTATTTTTAGTAGAGATGGCTGGTCTCAAACTCCTGACCTCAAGTGATTCACCAACCTTGGCCTCCTAAAGTGCTGGTATTACAGGCGTGAGCCACTGTGCCCAGCCCCCGCTTTAATTTTGTTTGGCTTTGTTTGTGGCATCATTTAGTGGAATGAGGTCACATGGGTTTTGCAGCCAGAGGTCCTGAGTTGGAATCATGGTTGGGCTACTTCACTACCTGGGGCAATGACCCTTCTTCTTCTGGGCAGCAGCGTCCTCATCTGTAAACAGATGGTATTAATGGGCTCCTCCTGAAGGTGCAGGTTCCATGGCAAGATGCACATAAGGTGCCTGGTGTGTGACCAGTATTCAGGCGCTGGTCCCTTCCCTCCATTTCCAAAAGCCCTTGTGTGTTCGTGCCTCCCCAGCTGACCGGAGCATCACACCTCAGGTCTTCCCTGGGCGGTGTTCTGCTCTGAATCCTTCTAAGCATGACAGAAAGTGGACTCAGCCTGCCGGGCGGGCAGATGAATTGCACGAAAGTGTCTGCCTCAGTGTCCTCCTCAAAGGCATGTAGCAGATGCCCTTGGAGTGAGGATGAGCCCTGCCACAGCCATCAGCTGTCTGTGCATCATTCTGAGCAACACCCTGCAGCCTCCCTGGAAAGCTGGTGTTCTATGGCCTCTGCAGCTTGTCTCGGCCTCGCCAGGCAGGGTGACAGAGTGACCTCCTGGCCGGGTGTGATTGTGGTACTGGTCAGCTGCCTGTGAGAGCAGGCAATCTAGCCGCCCTCTGTGGACCTGCAAGGTGACCTCCAGACACCCACGAGGAGAATGTGGTGATGTGGGGAAGGAGGGAACCCCAGGTACTGCAGAGGGAACAGACCAGCCTGGACTCCCCTGTGGATAGAGCCCCGGTGGGTGAGGCACCCTGCTTCCCCACCTGCCTCCAGCATGCAGCTGCAGAGCAGGGACCGTGTAGATCAGTGCACTGGGATGAACAGCCGGGCAGTGTGCAGACAGCGCTGCAGACCCGAGCTGGCCACGTGATGCGGGGGCGCCCGTATGCCCGAGAACTGACAGCTCTTGGAGTCTGCAGCCACACAGCAGGACCTGGTTCGCTCCTGACTTCCTGGTGCACACCCTGGGCACCTTCCCTGTGTGGAGCCCACCTGTGCTGCCCACTGCCCCCACAAAGTTCCTCCTGGGAACGACCCTCTGTAACCAGGACTCATGGGCCATCGTGGTTACAGCTGTGTGCTCGGCCCTATCACATCCCACCAGAGATCAGAGGCCCCGGGAGGCACCTGCAGTGCTGGGGTTGCAGAGCAAATGAGCTCAGAGCCGGGATTCGAGGCCGGAGCTGAAAGGCAGGGCTCAGCTGCCTCTTGTGTGTTGACATTTAGCACGATGTTTGCAGGACTGTGCGTGTCGTTGTGCCTGGGTTCATTGTGGATTTGGATTTCTACTTCATTTTTAATATATTTAATTTAAAGCAACTATCTGATTTCTGGGCTGATATTCAGCAGTCAGAGACCAAAACATGGAGAGAGGGCAATGTAGTTCATGCTTATCTTTGAATTCTTTGTGTCTAGCATGGGGCCTGGGCCATAACCTTCGCTTAGATGTTGCTAATAAGTAAATAAAAAATCAAATTCCATAAATGGTCTGCATCTTATGCAAAATAATGTAAAAGTGTTAAGAGGAGACTATCAAACAAAATGGCAACCATTAGACTTATTTTTAAAGCTTGATCTGTCCCAGTGTTTAGAGCAGAGTGGTATATGATCTGTCCAATGGGGTCGTGGTAAAGTAGTATTTGAGGCCATTCATTCAGCAAACATGTACTGGGCTTCAGATGCTCTGCTAAGTACTCAGGATAGAAAGCAAGTAAAACACGCTCTCCTGCTTGGAAGGGCCTACAGCTTAGTCCATTCATGTGAAACAGTGGAGGTGGGACGTCAGGAAAGGGCTGTCCACAATGCAGGTGCAGAATCCGAGTCCAGGGACCCCATATTCCCCCTTGAGAGGCAGCTGGACATGGGGCAGGGGTTGTGCTCCTCTTTCAAGCTGGCTTGGGCCCCATCTGAGGCAGAGGCAATGGCCTGGCAGCGTCGGGAAAGTTCAGAGGGCTGGTGCTTGTGGCCCCTGTCTCCTGCACAATTAGGATCATAGCCCTAAGTGCCACGCACAAGCCTGAGAGGAGTGAAGGGTCTCCTAACCTTCATGCCTCTACAGTCAGTCCAGACCCTCCCAAGGGGGAACTGCAGAGACCCTCTCGGGGCATCTGTAGCAAATAGAACACTTTGTCTTCACGACAGCCAAGCAAAGTTCTTCCTCCTGCTGAGAGAACAGATCCTGTGTGACCTTCACACCTTCATTATTGGAAACTGCTAATGTGTGTTCCTTTTGAAATGTGCAAGATGTTGGACGTGATAAACTGAGGGAAGATTAAGGTGAGTAACTCCTTTGTTTAAACTTTGGCTTCATGGGTAGTCTTATTAAAGGAAGGGATTTAAAGTGCTTAAAAATTCAATAGGACAAAGGGCATGTTGTGGTTCAAGAAGTGACGTATTGCCATACAGGATGCGATCTGTTCCAACGACCATAAAGCAGTCATCTGAGCTCGCTGTGGTTGGAGCCGGCCAATTATAACACCTCCTGAAGACACAGGGACGCAATCTGCACGCTCCTGCAGGTCCCTGGGACGGCTTGGCTGGCAGCTCGGACAGCTGGGCTCCTCCAGGCACTGCTGAGCCCCCTTACGTCCAGTCAAGGTCATCCTAGCCATTCCCCCGTGGCCGTCTCCCCAGCCAGTGGCTAAAGTCACCGGCAGACCAGCCATTAAAGATGGGACGCCACTTGCTTCCCTTCAACATCCTCTTGGCTTTTTGCAAAATCCTTATCTTAGACATTTCTCCTTATGCTTAAGACACGTCGTTTGGTGGGGTCCTCTCTCAGGGCGAATCCATTCAGGGCTCACAGCAAGAGGGGAGCACACAAAGGAGAAGGGCTGGATTAGGGGACAGGAGCATTGGGAGGGTGTCAAATTCTCCACCTCTGCATTGTGTGGCTTCTCTGAGTGTTTCCTCGTGGGCACTGGGAGGATGATGTTTGCTCTGGGAACCAACCAGTGTCAACATGAGAACCAAGCGCTGCTTGTTGGGCGAGGCCCGAAGAACTGGAATCTGGAGTCAGACAGGCCTGGGCTTGTGTTTCACATCTGCCACTCACTGTGGGGCCAAGGTGGCAAGGACTTACCTTCCTTGTGCTTCGGTGCCTGCATTTGTTAAGTGGGGATAACAGCATCTAATTCATTTTGATGAGGATGTTCTCAGGCTTAATGCTATAATTTATGGAACTAGTGCTTGGCCCAGTGCAGAACCTCAAGGAATGGCAGCCGCTTTTAAAGTTATTACCACGACGATAGTGTTATTATCACTCTTACTCCTACTTCCATTACCATTACTACAGCGCACGGCGCAGAAGCCCTTCAGAAAGCGCGGAGCCCCTTGCAGGTGTGAGGGCTGATTCCGGGTAACGTCCAGGCTCACCTGATGACGGCTGTAATTACCCAGAACTTGCTGCTGGTCTCTCCTGCCGGTAACTCTTGCAGAACAGCCACCAGGAGCCTTTTATATCGTGTGTCATAACACAACTCTGGGTTCTTAGGAAGTTGGGTGTGTAACGGCCCCACCCGTCACAGAAGCAGAGTGCATTTCCAGATTAAAAACGACGAGGACTCTTGCTCCTGTGCGGGCGAGCTGTGACCTGCACTTTGTAGCTGCACACACTGATGTATCTTTGTGCACATAATGACTGCTTCAGGCCAGTGTGTGCATGTGCAGATGGCACTGCCCTTCCCTTCAAGCTGTGCTGGTGGAATACCTCTCACATCCGCCCAGTGAGGCCCAAGCCTCCTCCTGTCTCAGCCTTCGTCACTCTCATCTCAGCCTTTTTCTTCCTAGTCACCTAGAGGTGTTGATGAGTTAGTGCAGTCACTCATTCACATCAACAAACATGTATCTTGGGCCTGCGGTATATAGCAGCACTGGTGATACCAGCCAGGAAATCAGCATGTAGACTGCCCGCTCCGTGGGGCACATGTGTCGGGGCCTCAGAGAGCAGGAGGAGCTTGTGTGCTTTCTGCTTGGCTGGGGAAACCAAATACAGGGACAAAGGGACAAGTCACCCAGGCATCACAATGTGCTCACACACCTGCAGATGCACCGCAAGGGTGGACACCGTGTGGGGCCTGGCCTGTGCCCAGCGCTGGGTTAGAATGTGGCATTGTCCCTGTCCTAGTGAGCTCACGCCTAGATGAGGGACGCTCTGGTGAACACACAATTTAACCTTCAGTAGAATCCAAGCAGGTAAATATCAGGTTTTAGAAGAAGAGAAAGACCACGTTTGGCAAAGAGGCACATGATGGCTTTGAAGATCTGGGAAACGTGGAGCTAGAGGTGAGTGAGGCCTGTGCTGGGATGAGAAATAGGGGTTCAGCCAAGGGGGCTCATGAGATGCAGCCAGAGGGATGGCGCCGTGGTGCACACACACGAGGATCCCCTGCCACGGTGGACACACATGGGGACCCCCTGCCACAGTGGACATGCACGAGGATCCCCTGCCACAGTGGACACACACGGGGACCCCCTGCCACAGCCCATACACAGAAGAGCCGCCTGCCGTGGTGCACTCACACAGGAATGGGATGCGAGTCAGGCAGTGATGAGTGATGGTCCCCCACGCCAGGCAGACAAGCTGAGGTGGAGCTAGGTGGCAAGAAGGATGGTGAGGGGCTCCCGTGTGTGTGCACTGTGGCAGGGGTTCCCATGTGTGCGCCGTGGCAGGCGATCCCCATGTGTGTGCGCTGTGGCAGAGGGTCCCTGCGTGTGTGCACCGTGGCAGGGGCTTCCTGCGTGTGTGCATTGTGGCAGGGGGTCCCCATGTGCGTGCCCCGTGGCAGGGGGTCCCTGCGTGTGTGCGCTGTGGCAGGGGGTCCCCGTGTGTGTGCCGTGGCAGGAGGTCCCCGTGTGTGCACCGTGGCAGGGGGTCCCTGTGTGTGTGTGCCATGGCAGAGGGTCCCCCTGTGTGCACCGTGGCAGGGGGTCCCCATGTGTGCGCCGTGGCAGAGGGTCCCCATGAGTGTGCGCCATGGCAGAGGGTCCCCGTGTGTGTGCGCCATGGCAGAGTCCCCGTGTGTGTGTGCCATGGCAGGGGGTCCCCGTGTGTGCGCCGTGGCAGAGGGTCCCCATGTGTGTGCGCCGTGGCAGGGGGTCCCTGCGTGTGTGCGCCGTGGCAGGGGGTCCCCATGTGTGCACTTCAGGGCAGCGGTTCCCCTGCATGCACACTGTGCGCTCCATGCACACAGATATGAAATTGTGGAACAGACCTCAACACCTATAACTGTGCCTGGAAAGGACAGACTAGCTTGGAAGCTGTTATAATAATTTCAGGTAAAGCGGTTTAGGCTAGATGGAGTGGCTGTAGAACCGGAGAGGAGATGCAGCTTTCATCCTGGGGAGGGAGTGGGAGATGACACAAAGGGTGGGTTTGTGAAAAGGAGAAACAGCTGTCAGGGAAGAACCCTAAAAAAGGCCCTTGGACCTGATCTCCTGAGAAGACACACCTCAGCTACTCTTGTGATCATTAAAATGTGACAGAGTGAAATCTTCGTGAGTTAGAATTTCATCCCAGCACACCCTCCCATCTGCAGAACACTGATACCTGGTGTTGGGAGTGATGGCCAAGAACTCCAGAGAAGCAAGTAAATTAGGTGCAATTGGATGTGGGGGTAAACTAGCATGCACCTGCCTTCCGGCCTAGAGGACTCGGAAGCTCCTGCAAGCAGGCGAGGTGACCCTCTACAGCCCAATCAGCCCAGCCCTTCCCCAGACATCACCAACCCCAAAGGGCTACACTCCCGCTTAAAATTACAATCACAAACCAATTCCTCCCGTAATAGAAGGCATTTTCATATATAAATCAATATATCTTCCTTTCTCTTTCTGTAAGGAAGACAGAGGATTGTAATTTATTTCTCTTTCCTTCTGTGTATAAACTAATTTTTTCTTGTTATAAAAGAAAGAGAATTCTAATTTGCTGCTTTGGAACAAGCCCAGCGACGGAGCCTAAATATGTGGAGGGAACTCTGGAGATTACAGAGTGAAGTTCAGCTGACCTGGTGCCACAAATTAAGCTGCAGTCCACTTAAGCTGCCAACAACAATAAATTAAGCTATTGTGCTTGGAGGACGTTGGGATCGGCACTGCATAGGATCAAGGCTCTATTAAGTGGAGGCACTTACTCCATCCCTCCTGCCGCCAGCCCTGGCCGAGGGGGCTTGGCGTCTACTTTTCCTTGAAATGTGTGATGTCTGAACTTCCATTTCAGCGCGCGTGTCATCAGCACGGTGCCCCAAGGTGCTGAGAGTTCACGTCGTTCTTGGTCTTTTGACAGAGTAAGGGTGATAAAGTCAGGAGATTCGCCTTTTACGAAATAACGTGAACATTCTCTAAAGTGAGACCTGTGCGTAGTAAGAGGTGGGCTGAACCACAGGACGCATTGATGAGGCCCATATTCTTTTCCTTTTCATCTGAGGTCATTCTGTCTGGCCCTTCCTACCCCCAGAGGCCAGTCATGGTTTTGTTCACAAAATGACAACAACGTAGCCTCTAGAAAGCTTGTTGTGGGATGACTCAGAGGTGATGAGCCTCAAATGAGTTTGAGGTTCTAATAAAGGGGTTGCATATTCCGTGCTCCCACAGCTGCCTTCAAATCTATGGAAATCTTAGAGAAAATGCTGATCTTTCCTCCAAGTAAATCGTTAGTTATTCTGAGCTTGTGGATAGGGCTAAGGCCATTCCTTTTCTCCTTTTCTCTGTCTCTTCCCCTTCTCTTTCTCTTATTCCTGTCCCACATACAGGCATTTGAGGTGGCTCTTAAATCAGTCACAGCACACAATGCTGCTGTTGGGAATAAGGGCAGAAAAGAGAATCCACGAATGGGCATGAGGAATTTGGGGTTCCCGGCGCGAGCGTCTTCTGGTGCTAAATCGTAGTCTGCAGATGCTGCGCTGAGGCACTTTCCCTTGCGCCTGTCACTGTGCCCTCCCCTCCCCCAGGGTGACTGTAACACAGCTCCGCTTCCTCTCTGGAATGTTCCAATGTTCCATAAATTAGTCAACGCCCATCCACCCTGAGGCAGGATGATGCAGCTCATGGCTTCACAGAAGCTTGGATTTGGTCACCAGGGCCCTGTCTGGGGCTCTAGCCATTGATTTAGCAGGTTCAGTGGGCGGCTTGTGCTGGCGGGGCTGATCCCTGCCTGCCTGACCACAGCCTGTTAGCTGCAGAAGACTGGCCCGTGGGGCTCTCCAGGGGGCATTCTGAGGCCCTGGTGAGTGCTCTGGTTCAGGCAGGGGTGCCTTTTTCCTGGCTAAATTCCCCCGGTAGAAGTGGCAGGCCTCCCCTGAGCCGCCGTGGCAGAGGGCTGAGAGCCCACCTCCTGCAGTTCAGCCCTGCATATCCACCTGGAAAGGCACAAGTCCCTGCGAGGGACCCTGTCTGGGTCCAAGGGTGGCTGGGAGTTGCACTAAAGCTTTCTCTTCTTTTACTCTTATCTGGTGAGTCTGCGTTTTTTGTGTAGGGACCCACTTCACTTGTTTAGAGGAATAATGATATATGCTTTTTACCTTTCCGAGAAGAAATTTAGTCTTTAATTAGATTAAAACATAGGGAAACATAAAAACACAAAAGCAAAACCGATTCTTTTGCAAAAATGAACTTATTCTTGGAACTAAAATGCAGTTCTCAAAATGAAGTTCTGTAATGACTTAGAGCGACACAGTAGACCCTACATTCAGCCCTGGTTTTTCTAAAAGAGATGAACACGCTGTTTAAATGACTGGTTTGTTGTTGTTGTTGTTGGGCTTTTTTTTTTTTTTTTTTTTTTGACGGAATTTCACTCTTGTTGCCTAGGCTGGAGAGCAATGGTGAGATCTTGGCTAACTGCGACCTCCGACTCTGGGGTTCAAGCTATTCTCCTGCCTCAGCCTCCTGAGTAGCTGGGATTACAGGTGCCCGCCACCATGCCTGGCTAATTTTGTATTTTTAGTAGAGACGGGGTTTCTCCATGTTGGTCAGGCTGTTCTCTATCTCCTGACCTCAGGTGATCCACCCACTTTGGCCTCCCAAAGTGCTGGGATTACAGGCGTGAGCCACTGTGCCCGGCCTAAATGTCTGGTTCTTATAATGATCCTTCACAGAGGGCTGAGGCTGCCACAGTAAGTCCCAACTCGATGGTGGGATTACTGAAGGGGTGAGTACGGAAATCAGATCTGGGGACAGGCACTTGGTCCGGTTCCATCTTTGACAGCACAGATAGAAAAAGCCAATGATATTAGCTACATGTACAGTGGATAATATATTTTTAAGACTTCTTGTCCTGTTCTTAGATTGCAGCCACCACAAAAACTTTTCAAAAATCCTGTCCAGTTGTGAAAAGGCAGACCGTGCAGGTCCTGTGCAGCCCGTCCCTAGCCACAAACCCAAGTCGGGGTAGAGAAAGAACGCTTGCATTTGAGCAGGTGCAGAGACCCTGTCAAAGAAGACGTGTAGCCCCTCAGCCCCACACCAGCAGCCCCATGTTCCAGCCTGGAGCCAGGCTCACCCACACATCGAGGTGGCCACTCCCCAAACCACCAAACTCATTTCCTCACAGTCCTTCTGGCCATACTGACAACCTGGGCTTTCTCCCTCAGGGCCTTTCTCTGACTGCTCCACCCACTCACAGACCCTCCCTGTTCCCTGCCTTGCCTCGTCTTGAAATTTGGGCCATCAATGAGCTGTGCTGCAGCCACTTGAGCACACGGGGTTCCACTCCCTAGACTATTTAAGCCACCATACTGCTGGCTGCATGCAGACGTCTTCACATTTATTTATTTTTTTAAAGATATCCAGGTTTTTGTTTGTTTTGAGATAGAGTCTCGCTCTGTCGCCCAGGCTGGAGTGCAGTGACTCGATCTTGGCTCACTACAAACTCTGCCTCCCAGGTTCAAGCAATTCTCCTGCCTCAGCCACCCTAGTAGCTGGAATTACAGGTGTGCATCACCACATTCGGCTGATTTTTGTATTTTTAATAGAGACAGTTTTGGTCATGTTGGCCAGGCTGGTCTTGAACTCCGGGCCTCAAGTGATCTGCCTGCCTCCCAAAGTGCTTGGATTGCAGGCATGAGCCATTGTGCCCGGGCAAAGATATTGAGTTTTAAAATGTGCATCCACTCTTTTTAGTGTACAATCTATGAGTTTTTGACAAATGCATACTGGAGCAGCCTCCACCACAATCGAGACGAAGAATCCACCCTGGCCATCTCCCCTGAGCTATTCCTTGCAGCTGAGTCTCCCCTCCCTCCCCCTTAGCCACCGACAACCTGTGAGCTGGTCTTTATCTCTGCATTTGCCTTTTCCAGAAGGTCATATAAATGGAATCATACATATAAATAATATATGATCAAACATGTAAATGGGGTCAAAAGTAAACATGTTTTACTAAACACAGTGCATCTGAGATCCCTCCACGCTGATGCAGGCGTCCACAGTTCCTTCCTCTTTATCGCTGATGAGTGCCCCATCGCATGGACGTACCACAGGTGATCCGTTCTCCGGGGCTGGGTATTTGGATGCGTATGAGGATGAGGATGAATAAGGCTGCTATAAACATTTCATGCAGATTTGTGTGTGGTCATAGTTTGCTTTACTCTTGCCTGCTCGGGAGAGACCTAGTCATGTGGTAAGTGTTTGTTTAACTTGATAAGAAACTGCCAGTTTCAGCCAGGTGCAGTGGCTCACACCTGTAATCCCAGCACTTTGGGAGGCCGAGGCAGGCAGATCACGAGGTCAGGAAATCGAGACCATCCTGGCTAACACTGTGAAACCCCATCTCTACTGAAAATACAAAAAATTATTCAGGCATGGTGGCAGGCGCCTGTAGTCCCAGCTACCCGGGAGGCTGAGGCAGGAGAATGGTGTGAACCCGGGAGGTGGAACTTGGAGTGAGCCGAGATCGCGCCACTGCACTCCAGCCTAGGTGATAGAGTGAGACTCCATCTCAAAAAAAAAAAAAAAAAAGAAAGAAACTGCCAGTTTCCCAAAGAGGTTATGCCATTCTGCATTCCTGCCAGCAATGGGGATGCATTATGGATGCCCACACCCTTGCCAGTGGTGATGTGATCTGTCATTTTAATGTTAGCCTTGCTGGTTGGTATGTAGAGGCATTTAATTGTGGTTTTAGTTTGCATTTCTCTAATGACTCCATGTTGAGTCTCTTTTCATGTATATATTTTCTATCCATACATCTCTGGCGAATTATCTATTCAAATTTTTGTCCTTTAAAAAAAATTGGGTGGTGGTTGATTGGATAAAGAAACTGTGGTACATAATCACCATAGAATACTACACAGCCATAAAGAAGAATGAAATCATGGCCTCTGCAGCAGCATGGACGCAGCTGGAGGCCATTATCCAGGTGAATTAACACAGAATCGGAAAGCCAAATACTGCATATCCTTACTTATAAGTGGGAGCTAAATCTTGGGTACACGTGGGCGTAAGGAGGGGAACAGTAGATACTGGGAACTCTAAAAGGAGGGAGGGAGGGTACCAAGGGCTGAACAACTTCCTAGTGGAAACTATGTTTACTGTCTGGGGGATGGGATCAATGGAAGCGGAAGCCTCAGTTGGGCAAACCTGCACATGCACCCCCTGAATCTAAAACAAAAATGGAAATTAAAAAACTGGATTGCATGTTTTCTAACTGTTGAGTTTGACAGTGCTTCATATATTCTAGATATAAGTTCTTCATCAGATATGTAACTTGTAAATATTTGCTTTTAGTCTATAGTTTTAAAATTTTTCTTAACAAAAGTTTTGAATTTTGCTGAAGTCTAATTTATTAATTTTTTGAACGGATCATGCTTTTGGTGCCATATCTAAAACCTAATTACCTCACACAAAGTCTAAATAGTTTCTTTACAGTTTTGCCTTTTACATTTAGACCTGTGATCCATTTGACTTAACTTTACGAGCTATGGAAGGCTCCAGGGAGGCTCATTTTGTTGCATATGCATTTCAATTGTCCAGCATCTTTTGTTGAAAAGATGATTCCTTGAATTGCCTTTGCAGCTTCGTCAAAAATCAATTAACTATATATTTGTGTGGGATTATTGGACTCTCTGTTTTGTTCCATTGATCTATGTATTTGTCCTCTCACTAATACCACATGTGATAAACTCATTTATTTGCTTGAGGAGCTTTCTTTTTTCCTAGAATACTTGGAATTTTTCAGGCAGACATTTATGTTTTATGCAAACCAGAAACAGTTTTATTTCTTCCTTTCTATTCCATATGCGATTTCTGTATGCTGCTGTATTGCAGTGGCCAGAACCTCCGTATAGTGTTGAAAAGGAGTGGTGAGAGATGACATCCTTGTTTTGTTCCTGATCAGAGGGGATAAATTTTTCAGTCTTTGACCACTAAGTGTGATGGCAAATTTTAGTATTTTGTAGATACTCAATATCAGGTTGAGGAATTCCCTTCTGTTCCTATTTATATGAGCATTAACCAGTATTGAATTTTGTTGAATGCCATTTTTGTGTTTATTGATATAATCAGGCTTTCTTCTTTAGTCTGGTAACATGGTGGATTACACTGATTGATTTTCAAATGCTGATCAGCCTTACATGAGGTTGAAGTCCCTTAGTGTTGATTTGCTATTCATTTTAAATATTGAGGATTTTAGTTGCTATTATTTTGTGGAGGATTTTTGTGTCTTTCTTCATGAGGAATATTGGTCTCTTCTCTTTTATTGTGGTATCTTTGTCTGCTCTTGGCATCAGAGCAATGCTGGCCTCATCAAATGAGTTGTACAGGCTTCCCTCTCCTATTTTCTGGAAGTGATTGCATAGAATTAGTTTTATTCCTCCCTTAAATGTTTGGTAGAATTTGCCAGTAAAACCTTCTAGATTCTGAGTTTTCTTTTTGGGAGGCTGAAATTGTCCCAGAAGTTTCTGAGACTATGTTCTCCACCCATCCTCCCACCTCCCTGCCACTCTTTTCCTCCTTCTCTGTTCTTCAGATAGGATAATTTATACTTTCTACCTTCAAGTTCTTGGGCTCCCCCCACCCTGTTATCTTAATTGTACAGTTGAAGCATCTTCGTGATTTTTTTTTTTTGCTTCTGTTTTATTTTTTCAGTTCTAAAGTTTTTATTTTTCTTCTATGGTTTCTATTTCTTTGCTGCAATACCTGTCTTTCTCTTTGTTTCAAGAGTGTTCGCCTTTACTCATGGAGCATAGTTATACTAGCTGCTTGAAAGTCTTTGTCTGATAATTCAAACACCTGAGCCATCTCAAAGTTGCATGTGTCCTGGGTGTTTGAGTTAATCAGACCTTGACAATTGGGCAGATTTTCCTAGCTCTTAGTATGTTGAGTGATTTTGGATTATATCTTGGGCATAGTGGCTATGATGTTGTGAGATGCTGAGTTTGTTTAAATCAATGGTTTTCAGCCAGGGATGATTTTGCCCCATAGAGAACACTTGGGAATGTCTGGAGACAATTTTGACTATTCCAACTGTGGGGTACTACTTCCTGGTGTTTAGTGGATGGAGGCAAGGTGCTGCTAAGCATCCAGTAATGCACAGGACAGTCTCTTCCAACAAGAAGTTATCCTGTCCAAAATGTCAACAGTGCATACATTGAGAAACCTGTGTTTAAATTTTCCAGAGAATGTTAAGTTCAGGCCACAATCCTGTCTCACCTTCTGTGGGAAGTGATTTTAGCACCAGTTCAGTTTTAAAAGCCTTTGTTCTATGTGCCATAATTGAATTGTGTCCTTCAAATTTATATGTTGATGCCCTACCCCCAGTGTGATGGTATTCGGAGGCGGGGCTATTTAAGGAGGTAATCAGGTTCATATGAGGTCACGAGGGTGGAGTCTTCATGATGGGATTAGTGCCCTTACAAGAGAGACCAGGGAGCTCTCTCTGATTGAGGACACAGTGAGAATGTGGTCATCTGTAAGCCAGAAAGAGGGTCCTTCCCAGAACTAGACCCTGCTGGCACCCTGATCTCATACTTCCAGTCTCCAGGACTGTGAGAAAATAAGCTTCTGTTGTTTAAATCACTCAGTCTATGGTATTTTGTCATGGTCGCCCGAGCTGACTAATCCACTCTGCCTCTCTATGTTCCGTGCATGCACAGCTTAGAGGTAAGCCTAGGGTTCATGGCAGCTCACACACATTAGCCCCCTAATAATGGGGGACTACTTAACTGTCTGCCCCTGGGAATTCCCCCATACTGTCTGGATCACAGGGGCACAATCCTTGGCTGGAAAGCTCTGGTTTCTCAGCCATGTGAGAAACTGTATTGCAGTTTCACCTGAGTAGAGTGGTTTTCAGGGCAAAGTGGCAAGAGAAAAAAGACAAAAAAATTAGTGGGTTCCCCCAATATTTTTGGAACACAGAGGCCCATTTTCTCAGTTCCCCCAGCCAGAGGGATGATGTTTTTCTGGTATTTTAGTGACAACACCCCTGCCACTGCCATAATTTCAGGATGGGGTGGCCTCAGAGCAGGGCCAGGAAAGGAGACAGAGAAAGGACCTTGGTGTCCCAGCTAGCTCCCTCTGATCCTCTTTTTCAGTCCTCTGGGCAAAAAGAGAGGGATTCTCTTGAAGTTATTTCTGTAACTGCTTGCTGAGTAGTGCTGAGGCTCTGGCTGCCTTCAGGACAAAGCTGAGAGATAACAAGAGAGAATCCAATAACTTCATGCCTACTGGTCACCTGTCAAGTTCCAACTTCCCGTTCCAATCTGCCTGCTGTTGCCCACATTTTGGAGTCCTCAGGTGCTAGCTTTCTGTACGCTGTCAGAGTTTTTTGTTGTAGTTGGTGGGAGAGAGCCTGTAGTGGACTTACTGCATCTTGACCAGGACCAGAGCGATTTATTTTCCTTTTTAGAAAAGAGACAGGGAAGGGAATTGAGATGGTAAGTAGATTTTCTTTAGACATAGCAGATATTGGTTTCTTTTCTTGCACTACTTTGAGGCAGTGTGTTAGCTGGCATGAGGTATTGTATTTGTTTTTATTTTTTTATTTTATTTAATTGTTTTTTTTTTTTTTTTTTTTTTTTTTGAGACAGGATCTCTCTCTGTCACTCAGGGTGGAGTGCAGTGGAGTGATTACAGCTCATTGCAGCCTCGAACTCCCAGGCTCAGTCCTCTCACCTCAGCCGCCAGATAGCTGGGATTACAGGTGCACATCACCACGCCTGACTAAGTCTTGTATTTTTTGGTAGCGATGAGGTTTTGCCATGTTGCCCAGGCTGCTCTTGAACCCCTGGGCTTAAGTGATCCTCCCTCCTCAGCCTCCCAAAGTGTGAAAATTAGAGGTGTGAGCCACTGTGGCTGGCTAATTTTTGTGTTTTTGTTGTTGTGGTTGTTGTTGAGATGGGATTTCACCATGTTTCCTAGGCTGATCTCAAACTCCTGGGCTTAAGTGATCCTTGGCCTCCCAAAGTGCTGGGACTAGAGGCATAAGCCACCTTGCCCAGCCAGCATGATGTATTTTAAATGTATTCTTCTCCTTTGGCATTCCTCCTGGGGAAGGTTGATGGAGTTGGTACTCCAAATATGGAGGCATGATCGTAGATGTGCTGTCTCGGTCAAGAGACTCCCAGTGTTTATTCTTGCACATTCCACATTTCCAAGCCTGTTTTGCAGTCAGTCACGGCCATGTGATTGCGTTCTGGCCAGAAGTGAGCATAGCAATGAGTTGCAGCCCTTTCAGGCCCTGCCTGAGGACCCTGTGCAACCTTCCTGCTGTGGTCTGTGCTCCCTGGCCAGCAGGATGCAGCCAACAGAGCTCAATGGATGCTCTAGAGACCCACATGCCAGAGAAGCCCTGGCCCCCTGAGTCACTGCATGGAGGAGACAGCCCCATCATGGCTGCCTGGCCCACATCAGACTGTAACACGAGCAGCTAGTGGGTTCTCATTGGGTTGAGTCACTGATATGTTTGTTATGGTAGCTAGAGTTGATTACCCTAACAAATACAATCTTTGATGGGCAATTTGAATCTCTCCCTGGTCGGACTGCTGAGTGAAATGTCAATCTTCTGATGAGTCATTTTCTGGCTCTAATTTTGCTTAAACCCCCTATCAAATGGGGGTATATTAGTCTGACCCACCAATATTACTTCTTGCTTTCCACAGCAATGTCAAAAGATAAATTGAAGCAATCTGGAAGACTTCAGACCCTTTGGAGGAAAGAGAGGCTATAAAGCCAAGGTATCATTATCATAATTTTGGCCACCACTCTGCCAAGTACACAGATACAAATTATGAATCATCTCTTAACTTTGACAGAACATAAGGATCGCTTTTGCAATTGAGATCTGTGGATAATTTTAAGTGCCCTGTGCCCGCCTTCAGGGTGCCGCCTTCCCTCTGACTGTTGCCATTCCCTTGGGTGGCATGGCTCGCAGGCACTGTGTGCTTTGGCAGCTGAAGGATCCAGCCCCAGGAGCCTGAGGAGTGAGTCTGCTTCGCGCGAACTTGCTCTGTTGATGGGATTTCGTGGCACACGTTCGGGGAAGCAGCACAGCACCGCCTGTCCAGATCACTTGTTAGATGTGGTTTAATTAAGCAAGGAGGGTCACTGTGGAGGAGACTGCTCTGCCTGCGTTTTGATTTGTGTGATGGTTAAAATGTTTGGAAGCTCCTTTAAGAAGCCAGGTGGTGTAGATGAAGGGAGTCATTCACCCGAGTGAGTTAGAAACAGCTGAGGGGCACCGTGCTTGCTTTACTCAAGGCATTCCCGGGAAGCTGCTGCCTCTCAGCCCCCACCACGGGAGGAGAGGAGACAGACATGGCTGTGGGGGGTCGGGGGGTCAGTGCTGTGGACGACGGTTCTCAGTCCTGGCTGGCCACCAGTGCCCTGGGGAGTTCATTCTTCATTCCCAGCCCCAGGCCCAGCCAGTCCTACCGCGGCAAAGACGTCTGTCCCCTTCTCCCTTTTAAACGTTTTTACTTTGACATAATTGTAGATTCACATGTGGTTGTAAGAAATAATATAGAAAGGGCCTGTGCACTCTCTACCCAGCTTCTCTTGACAATAGCATCTTGTAAAACTACAGTCTAATCTCATACCTGGGATATTGACATTGGTGCGGACCAGTGATCTTTCAGACTTCCCTGGTTCTGCTGAGTAGTGTGTTTGGATGCATTTGGTCGTGTGCAATTTTATCTCATGGGCGGCTCCCCTATTATCAAGACACAGAACGGTCCCGTGGATGTATGTTGCTGGTGCGTGGTGAGGCCTCCATAAATCTTTGTTGAATGACCCTTCAGCTCCTCGTTGACATGGAATGTGGGAATTCTGTGCCAAATCGAAGAAGTGCTAAGGAAGCACTTATCAGATAGAGGACACGCTGGGGACATCCAATTGGGCCAACAGCGCTGGAAGAGTCTGGAGCAGGCGAGGTGACAATGGTGGCTGCCACTCTCCACTGGAGTATTTGTGTATTAGAATGTGAAACAGATGAAGGTGTGTCTGTTAGTACATTTTAAAAATAAAGTATGTTGAGGTGCCCAGTTCTTACATCTGTAACTGGGCTACTTTTGTTGAATTATACTGATGGTTAGCTGAAGAGCTGGCAGAAGTATTTTCATGTTACTAGGGAGACATTTTAGAGTCTCTCTAGGACTTAGTGTCTGGTTGCCTCACGCCGTGACAGAGAGTTTCTGGGCCATGTATGAGAAGCTCGTTTGATCACATCAGTTACTGTGCTGTTCCTCAGCCCACGTTGATTTAGATCAATAAACCTCAGATCTGTTCACACCAGAATAGGCGCGGAGTGTCAGCATATCCACATCATAAAGGCTTTCGGGGGGCCTTTTCATCTGCAGTAGACTCCCTAACTTCTGCACCTGGCTGGGTGCCTGTAGTTGGTGCTAGCTGGTGTTGGCATAGTGTTAGTGTGGTATTAGCCTGCTGCTAGTGTGGTGTCCACATGGTGTCTCCATGATGTTAGCATGGCAATAGAGTGGTGATAGCATGGTGTTAGCATGGTGTAGTGTGGTGGTCATGATGTTAGCATGATGCAGCATGGTATTAGTGTGGTGTCTGCATGGTGTCAGCGTGATGTTAGCATGGTATAGTGTGATTTAGTGTGGTGTCTGCATGGTGTCTCCATGGTGTTTGCATGGTGTGATGTGGTATTAGTGTGGTGTCTGCATGGTGTCTCCATGGTGTTTGCATGCTGTTAGCATGGTGTGATGTGGTATTAGTGTGGTGTCTGCATGGTGTCTCCATGGTGTTTGTGTGGTGTCAGCATGGTGTCAGTGTGATGTTAGCTTGGTGTCAGCATGGTGTCAGTGTGATGTTAGCATGGTGTAGTGTGATTTAGTGTGGTGTCTGCATGGTGTTTGCATGGTGTTAACATGGTGTAATGTGTTGTTAGTGTGATGTCTTCATGGCATTTGGATTCAGCTGTGATGTACTTGGAAAAGTCCTGACTTTGGAGTAAGACACAGGTTCAAATCCGAGTCACATCACCTTTCCCAATACCAAAATTTCTCTGTGCCTCAGTTTCCTTTCCCATTTAACAATAGCTCCCCTTTCTTTGTTTTTTGTTTGTTTGTTTGTTGTTGTTGTTTTGAGACAGAGTCTCGCTCTGTCACCCAGGCTGGAGTGCAGTGGCGCAATCTTGGCTCACTGCAAGCTCCACCTCCCGGGTTCATGCCATTCTCCTGCCTCAGCCTCCCGAGTGAGTGTAGCTGGGACTACAGGCGCCTGCCACCATGCCTGGCTAATTTTTTTGTATTTTTAGTAGAGACGGGTTTTCACCGCGTTAGCCAGGATGGTCTCGATCTCCTGACCTCATGATCCGCCTGCCTCAGCCTGCCAAAGTGCTGGGATTATAGGCGTGAGCCAACACGCCCAGCCTAGCTCCCCTTTCTTTACTGAGTAGGAGTAAACGAGACTTTATGGAGGTGCCTTCACCATGCTTCATGTATTGTTAGCAGAGTTCAACAAGTTTTTCGCCCTGCAATTGACAGAAACCAAAAGACTTTTCTGTTTCTCACTGCTAAGGCCTGTGATCGAAAGTCTGCATGATTTCATGGCTAGGACATGAGGGCACGAGGGCTTTGCAGAAGTGCAGCCGTCTCAGGAAGGCAGCACATTATAGGGTCAGACCGCGGGCCTTCACGGCTGTAGGTGGCACCAGGCTGGATTCATCTCAACATGCTTGTGACCAGGCGAGCCACGGATCCTCCTGTAGACAGGCAACAGACAATATGTGAGTCCCATGTTGAGGTGCAGAGCATCGTGATGGGGAAGGGGTCTAAAAAGCTGAGAAACTTTCACAGATGGGGATTACTGTGTGATGTAATTTTCTAAATAAAAATATACAACAAAAACCTAATGTCATGAAGAGAAAACAGTTCAGAAGCAAACCACTGTGCTCAGTTCTGCTCCTTCCTTTCCCTAAACTAAAGGACCCCACTGACCAGACCCTCCCCTCCGGCATCGGCTCCACGTCTCTCAAGTCCCCAAAGCCCAGACAGCCACTGTAGCCTCGGAGGAGCCGCTGGGGGTGCACTGACCTCGCCCACCTCTTCCTGAACAGCCCCTTAGCCCAAGGCCAAAGCACCTGGCACCAGTCCTCTGTTCGACAGACTTGGCTGGATTCTGATTCAAGATGACTGAGCATGGTGTTTATTTCCTCTCCCTCCTCAGGTCCCTTTAAGACATGGCAGTGAAACGATGAAACAGGCAAAAGCTGGTTGGAGAGGAGTCATCAGAGAAGGAGCTTTAAGTGAATTTCTTGACGATGGTGCGCGGATGGATGGAGGAAGCCTCCTTGCTGATATAGAGTTGTGATCCGGGGTGGATGGGGGTGCATATGTGTTGGGGGAGGGCCGTGGGGATGGAGGGAGCTGCTCCTGGTGTGGGTGGTGGCCGTGATTCTGTGGGTTAATGGAAGGTACTGGGGATGGTCAACTCTGGTCACGCTTACCCTGCAATCTGACGGCGCCAGTGCCCACTGACTGGCCCAAATCACTCTTCTTCAAAGATTCTGAAAGGGCTGTACATCTAGAGTAGATCCAGGGCTTTTGCAGTGTTGGTGACTTAGAATAAAGATCTTCAAATTACGACATTTTGGGCCTCTGGCTCACTCCCCCAAAGCAAAATTTGTCCAATGACAATCTACAAAACTCAAGTAAGCCTCATTCTTAAATGTGACTGGAAATATTTAAGATAATCTAAAATAATCAAAGAGAATAAAAATAGCCTATGAAGAAGCAATTTAGAAACAAAATCCTCCCAATAATTAGAATTCTCAGAGAGATTTAAGGATATAATGCAGCCATAAAACATGAACATGTACTTTAAGAAAACAGCAATTGTGCCTCATAAAAGCTCTTGGAAACCTGGAATGTGGTAACTTCTGAATTTTTTTTAATCAAAAGAAAAGGGGAAATTTTCTAAAAAGTAAAACGAAAGAAGTGAAGGGGTAATGAGGCATGAAGGATCCTTCTAGGACAGACCACATTCAGCCAATAGAAGTTTTAGGAAAAGAAAACAGAGAAAATGGAGTAGAGGCAATTTTCAAGTAAATAGCACCAGAAAAGGTCCCCAAATTGTCAGGGAGACTCAAATGTTCATATTGAGAAAGTTGTGAACTGCTAAGTAAGATGAATTTTAAAAGATATCTTCACATGTCATTGTAAAAATTCAGAACACCTGGTTTAAAGAGAGACTAAAGTATTACCTAAAGAAAAAATAATTCAGCTACAAAGAAATAAAAATCAGACCGGCATTAGATCTCCAACAGCAACATAGCATAGTAGCATTCCAGAAGGCGGCAGGGTGACGTTTTTCCAGAAGGCAGCAGGGTGATGTTTTTTCGAGTGCTGACAAAGTTTCCACCTAAGTTCCACATCTAGACATCTATCAAACAAGTATGATTTTCAGACATGCGGTGAGTTCTAAGGGTCCCAAGATCCTTTCTGTTTTTAATAAACTTTTTTTTGCTCTAGTGCAACATACACGCAGAGAAGTGGGCAAAGTGAATCGAACTCTGCAGGCTGGTGTCCACATAAAGAGATGGAACACCACAGTGCCCACTGGCAGCCCCCCCAAGCCCCGCCTGCCATGGTCTCCAGGGGTGACTGTGATGCTCACCACTAGTGCTATCATTTAGCTTAGCCAATATTGGAACAGTTTTAACCAAGCATCATTTCTTAATGAGTTATTTGAGCACTTGAAATAGGGCACTGAATAGGAGCAGAGGAAGTGACTGTCCAGGGTCTGAGGCTGCAATGAGGGACCAGAGGTCCCAGGGTGGCCCCTCTATGCAGGAGTGTACGACCGGATGGTCTCAGAACAGGTGTTCCTGGGGAAGGGGATTCTCAGTAGATTAAGTGGGGAGACGGGATGGGTGGGAAATGCAAGGACAAGATAAAAGTAGAGGTTGAAGGAAAAAAAAGCCATTAGAAAGAAGCAGAATAATAATAGTGACAAATGTCCTCTCGACCCAGCCAGGGCAAGCAGAGAAGCAGAGATGGCCTAAATGTGGAGCAGTGGGTCCAAACTGGACCAGAGTGAATCTAACTTAATGAAAATGACAACTGCAAAAAAAAACAGAACTGATTCTAAGCAATCCATGAAATGCATAAGAAGCTCAAATGTATAATTGGGACAATGGTGAATAGCATTAATATTTCTTCTTTCTCAACAAGGAAAAGGCAATTAGAAATTCTAGAAAAACAACCACATAATAAAGATAGGGCCCCAGTATGGAACAATAAAAACAATGATGGTTTTGAATAATTGGTAAAGTCTAGGAAAGGAAAAGTCATTTGCGTTTGACACCAGGAACATTTTCCTAGGCGTGGCTTATGCTTTGAGTCATTGGACGTAGAGGGAGGGGTGCAACCCTGCAGCGGTGCTGGGCTCTGCAGTGAACCATGCAAATCACCTAAGGCAGCCGGGAATGGGGCCCAGCCAGCCTGCTGCAAAGTAGCTCTAGGTGCATCTTCCGTGCGTCTAGGTGTGCCATGTGACAAGGTGCTGTTGGATGCCTGTGAGTGGAAATGATGCCAGTGTACCCGGGCCTGGCCCATTAAAAACACCCACATCGTGCTCCTTTGGCCAGTTTCCCCTCCCACGGCTGAAACTGGATGACCGTGGAGTCTCACGCTCAAGATGTCAGAGCCTGGGTCACCTGGGTCCCTGAGTGGCTGAGGAGGAGATGCCACTCCATGGACCCACTTATCTTCAGGAACACGTACATCAGCAAGAAACAAATGATGGTGTTTATGCCATTTTATATTTGGAGGTTTATCTATTAGAGGAGTTAGCTATGCTAACTATTAATAATTCAGGTTAATTGGTTTTCAACTTTTTGGACTCTACAGACAAAGCACAGAGACTTACCCATGAGTAAAAATACAGTGCACGTGTCAGGAAGCTTAATAAGGCAGGGCGCCACCGTCAAAAGCAGGAAGAGGAAGCCGGTGAGGGCAGGGCAGGGGGGAAGGCTGGCGGTGCCAATACCTAGTCTCAGGGATCAGGGGTGCCTTCTGTCATTAGCGGGGAGTGTCACGTGTATTGCTTACTGCTGCAGTTAGATAATGGAAGGTACATCTGTCAATATTGATGTAACTATTGGGAGGCTGTAACAATAGTAAAGACAGCTAAATTCTTATTGATCATAATAGGAAAATAAGCTGATCAAGAAATCAGAAAGATCTGGGAAGTAACCAGAGAAGAAATGGAATCAGAACCATTAAAAGCGGTTACCCCTGAGGAGCAGGGCTGGAGGTGGGAGGGCTGTTTGGGGGCCGCCCAGCATCGCCCTTTTTCCTTTCCTCCATTTCTCCCTGTCTCTCTCTCTGTCTCTCTCATCAGCCCTCCTGCACTCTTTCAAATGTTAAACCTATGCATTTATTACTTTCATTTTAGAATTTAAAATATTTAAAGGTTTACTAAATACACATTAGAAATTAGGTTACTCAGGAGAACATGAAGTTTTTCCTGAGTACTCTAGGGACACTCAGTTATTAATAATTGATATGCAGCTCCCATGCCATGGTCGTCTGTTACAGTAGGTCTCCATATACCTGGCCTTAGGATATTCTTTATTTATTTATTTTTTTTTCCATAGGTTATTGGGGTACAGGTGGTATTTGGTTACATGAGTAAGTTCTTTAGTGATGATTTGTGAGCTTTGGGTGCACACATCACCCGAGCAGTATACCCTGCACCCTAATTGTAGCATTTTATCGCTCGCCCCCTCCCACCCTTCCCTGCAAGTCCCCAAAGTCCATTGCATCATTCTTATGCCTTTGCATCCTCCTAGCTCAGCTTCCACATATCAGTGAGAGCGTGATGTTTGGTTTTCCATTCTTGAGTTACTTCACTTAGAATAATAGTCTCCAATCTCATCCAGGTCGCTGCAAATGCCGTTAATTCCTTTTTATGGCTGAGTAGTATTCCATCATATATATATATATATATATATATATATATATATATATATATATATATAAACAATTTCTTTACCCAGTTGTTGATTGATGGGCATTTGGGTTGGTTCCACTATTTTGCACTTGTGAATTGTGCTGCTGTAAACATGCGTGTGCAAGTATCTTTTTCGTGTGACTTATTTTCCTCTGGGTAGACACCCAGTAGTGGGATTGCTGGATCAAATGGTAGTTCTACTTTTAGCTCTTTAAGGAATCTCCACAGTGTTTTCCATAGTGGCTGTACTAGTTTACATTCCCACCAGCAGTGTAGAAGTGTTCCCTGTTCACCACATCCACGCCAACATCTACCGTTTTTTTTTTAATTTTTTGATTATAGCCATTCTTGCAGGAGTAAGGTGGTATTGCATTGTGGTTTTGATTTGCATTTCCCTGATAAATAGTGATGCTGACCATTTTTTCATGTTTGTTGGCCATTTGTATATCTTCTTTTCAGAAGTGTCTATTCATGTTCTTAGCCCACTTTCTGATGGGATTGTTTGTTTTTTCTTACTGATTTGTTTGAGTTCGTTGTAGATTCTGGATATTAGTCCTTTGTCAGATGTATAGATTGTGAAGATTTTCTCCCACTCTGTGGGTTGTCTGTTTACTCTGCTGACTGTTCCTTTTGCTGTGCAAAAGCTCTTTAGTTTAATTAGGCCCCAGCTATTTGTCTTTGTTTTTTTTTGCATTTGCCCTTTGGTTCTTGGTCATGAAATCCTTGCCCAAGCCAATGTCTAGAAGAGTTTTTCCAATGTTATCTTCTAGAGTCCTTATAGTTTCTGGTCTTAGGTTTAATTCTTTAATCCATCTTGAGTTGATTTTTGTATAAGATGAGAGATGAGGATCCAGTTTCATTCTCCTACATGTGGTTTGTCAATTATCCCAGAACCATTTGTTGAAAAGGGTGTCCTTTCCCCACTTTGTGTTTTTGATTGCTTTGTCGAAGATCAGTTGGCTGTTAAGTATTTGGGTTTATTTCTGGATTCTCTATTCTGTTCCTTTGGTCTATGTGCCTACTTTACACCAGTACCATGCTGTTTTGGTGACTATGGACTTCACTTCTTGTATCATTTTTTGGATTTCCTTGCATTGGACTTCGCCTTTCTCTGGTCCCTCTCTGATTAGCTGAATAACTAACCTCCTGAATTCTTTTTCAGGTGAATCAGGGATTTCTTCTTGGTTTGGATCCATTGCTGGTGAGTTAGTGTGATTTTTGGGGGGGTGTTAAAGAGCCTTGTTTTGTCATATTACCAGAGCTGGTTTTCTGGTTCCTTCTCATTTGGGTAGTCTCTATCAGAGGGAAGGTCTAGGGCTCAAGGCTGTTATTCAGATTCTTTTGTCCCATGGGGTGTTTCTTTGATGTAGTTAGTACTCTCCGCCTTTTCCTATGGATGTGGCTTCCTGTGAGGCGAGATGCTGTGATTATTAACTCTCTTCTGGGTCTAACCACCCAGCACATCTACCCGGCTTCAAGCTGGCAGTGGGGGTTGTCTGCACAGTGTCCTGTGATGTGAACCATCTGTGGGTCTCTCAGCCGTGGATACCAGCACCTGTTCTGGTGGAGGTGGCAGGGGGGTGAAAAGGGCTCTGTGAGGGTTC
Organism: Homo sapiens; assembly: GCF_000001405.40. Taxonomy (NCBI): domain Eukaryota; kingdom Metazoa; phylum Chordata; class Mammalia; order Primates; family Hominidae; genus Homo; species Homo sapiens. The sequence continues at coordinate 3,151,735 of NC_000002.12, read as the reverse complement.
TTAGCTTTGGTGGTTTAATGTTCTATTTTTGTGCTGGTTGGCCTCCTGATGGGAGGTGGTGCTTTCCAGAGAGCATCAGCTGTGGTAGTATGGGGAGGAACAGGTGGTGGGCAGGGCCCCAGAACTCCCAAGAGTATATGCTCTTTGTCTTCAGGTACCAGAGTGGATAGGGAAGGCCCATCAGGTGGGGGCAGGGCTAGGCATGTCTGAGCTCAGACTCTCCTTGGTTGGGTCTTGCTGTGGTTGCTTTGGGGGATGGGGGTGAGGTTCCCAGGTCAATGGAGTGGTGAATCTAGGAGGATTATGGCTGCCTCTGCTGAGTCATGGAGGTTGTCAGGGAAGTAGGAGAGAGCCAGCAGTTACAGGCCTCATCCAACTCCCATGCAGTCTGAAGGGCTGGTCTCACTCCCACTGTGGCCCCACTAACAGCACCGAGTCTGTTTCCAGGCAGTGGGCGAGCAGGGCTGAGAACTCGCCCCAGGCTACCCACCACCCCCTAGCTGCAAAAGCAATTAGGGCTTTCATTCTTCCCCCGCCTGTGGAGTCTATACACCAGCTCTCACCCTCCCCTGAGTTCTGGCCAGGAGGCTTCTCGCCTGGTTCAAATTGTTACAAAGTTCGGCTGGAGAATTCCTTCTCCCTGTTGCATTTCCCCCGCCCTGCACCTCCGGTCACCCTGCCAAAAGATCCTTGTGTTGCCACGTAGGAATGGGCTGCTTGGGGACCCAGCGAGCTCCCAGGGCCTTTCCCGCTGCTTCCTCTACCCCTGTATTTCGCTCTGCTCTCTAAATTGACTCAACTCCAGGTAAGGTTGGAAACTTCTCTCGAAAACTAGACCTTCAGTTTCCCCAGTGGGGGTGTGTGCTCGGGGGCGGAGGATCTTCCTTTCCCATTTCCACTGTTGGGGCACTCACAGTATTTGGGGTGTCTCCCAGGTCCTGCAGCTGTCTGCTTCCTTCAGAGGGTCGGTGGGTCCTCTTGGGATTCCTGGTTTGTTCTGGATCTAAACTTAATGATGTGAGCCTCCACACACTGCTCAATCCATCTGAGTCGGAGCTGCAATCTAGTCCTGACTCCCATCTGCCACGATGATCCACGATGCTCTTTTTTCAAAAAAAAAAAAAGAAAGAAAAATCTTTTTAGAGTGAGGGTCTTGTTCTGCCACCCAGGCTAAAATGCAGTTGTATGGTCATCACTCACTGCAGCCTCAAATTCCTGGACTCAATTGATCCTCCTGCCTCAGCCTCCCAAGTAGCTGGGACTACAGGCGCGCACCACCATGCCCAGCTAATATTTAAAATTTTTATTTAATTTTTTCTTGTAGAGATGGAGTCTCGCTATGTTGCCCAGGCTGGTTTTGAACTCCTGGCTCAAGCCATCTTCCCACCTTGGCCTCCCAAATCACTGGAGTTACAAGCATGAGCCACTGCACCCGGTCAGGACATTCTCACATTAGTCCTTATGGATCGTAGTCTGCCCTTGAAAATACTAAAATTATAGTCCTTTGAGAAGAGTTTCCAACTATGGCTTTTCACTTTCACACACATTGTCCCTACTCCCCTCCAGGCCCCGACACTGATCTGATTTTGTGAGGTTTAAGTGGACCTGTTTTTGAGCGTTTTGTAGCATATTGCTGGGATGGAGTGGGAGGGTTGGAAGTGGTGAGGAACGTTTTCCTGCAGGTCAGCTAAATCAGCCAAACTCATGTTTACAGATCGCTTAATAAAAGTCAAAGTGAAACCACCTCACTGGATCCCTCAGAGAAAAGAAATGCAGATTTGTTTTACTTGGACAACCTAATATTTGAATAAAAACATCTCCGAAGTCCTTGCCCAGTCACTAAGATGGCAATGGCCAGGTCTGCGGGAAACTGTCCCAGGCAACCTTCTGGGGCCTGTGCCTTGAGTAGACAGCTGGCCCTGAGCTCTTGGCCACTCGAGCCATCTCCAGGACCCCCTTGGCAGGAACGTCCAGGAGTCAGCACCTTGAGTACACTCGAGCCCCAAGTTCTGTTGCAGAAAAGGCTCTGTGTGCTGTCATCTCAGCTGCTGGGGCATCGCCCAGGCTGTCAGGGGTCAGGGTTCCCCCAAGCCCAGGTGTGCCCAGGTCAGGCATCTCTGGAAAGACCACATGCTGGCTATGGGTAGACACCCTGAGGGACTGGGCATGCCCACGGGGGCCGGACCCTGCAGACTGGGTGCGTCTCCCTCTGGCTCCCACCCCAGGAGAAGGTTTCCATGGAGTCGCAGCACTTTTCCTAGCAGGGGCAGGGGCTGGGGAAGGTCCGGCCCCACCTGGCTCAGGACAATGCCTCTTGGTGACAACATGGTCTTCATGCTTGGTCCCCCCACTTTTTCGTGACTGGTCCACATTGGCTCAAAGAAGCTTCCCTCTCATGGGAGAGACTTGGTGGAACAACACTGGAAATATGGGCAGGGGCAGGAGGGGCTTTATAATCCATCAAGATAGGAATCTCAGTGCCTAATTTCTAGTAAATAAACAGTTGTCTTTGCAATAAGGTATAAATTCCTTTACAATTAATTTTTTAAATTCACCAAGTGCTGCTACAGAGTCGATCTTATGTATCAACTCAGCAAACAGGTTCCAGGTGGGTAAAGGACACGTGGATTCCCCATGTGTGGGTGAGCCTGGTGCCCAGCCGCCCATGTTCGCCATGCTAGCCACGCGGCCTCCTCGTCCCGGCCCCTCCCCATCCATCTCCGGCTGCTCCCTGAGCCCACGCCTCCTCCAGGGCTGGCTGCCAGGGGTCTCTGCCCCAGCTGCAGGGGTGGTGTTTCCCTAGTGCGAAACGCGTGACACCCAGGGTTTCACACATGGCTATGTCGGTCTCCTCAGCTGTGTTGCAGGCAGAGGCAGTTCTTTTGAGCCCTTCTCAGTGCCTGTGCACCCTGCGGGGGTCCAGCACGGCACCTGTGCCCTGGATGCTCAAGGTAAGTGACAGTTCCCGCTCATCCTGAGCAGCCTCAGGCCTTTCCGTGGCTGTGCTCATCCATATCTGTCTCCGTGGCATCAGCCTTTCCGTGCGTGTCCTTTGCCAGCTACACTGCTCTTGGAATGAGGCAGGGTGTAAACAACTGCAGTAAATACAGAGGTTGCCTGGAGTCCTTGCTAAGGGACAGTGAGGTAGCATTGTTTCCAGGCCTCCCTTGAGTGAGCTGACTGGGGTCCCAGGAGGAGGGAATGAGGAACAGTGGGCTTTCTAGAGTTGGGGCATCTGAGGGTGAGTCTGACTGTGGGGAAGGATGAGGGTAGTAAGGGACAGGGGACATGCTAAGTCAGCATGGCAGGACCTCCAGGAAGCCAGCATGGCTCTGAGATGGATGAGGGCGGGCTGTGTTTGGCAAGTGAGAATAGCAGCCTGGGTGGTCACGTGGCCAGAGCCCTGTGTGCCAAGGCTGCAGTGGCAGAAGCGAGGAAGCAGCCACCTACGTGGGAACGTGCGTCCTGTGCCAGGCTCGGAGCCCCGGGCTTCTTATGCACTGCCCTTTACTCCCCACTGTGCCTGCGTGAGATCAGGGATGCCCCTGTCTCTATCTGCAGGGATTGGGGAATCCGTTGCCTGCCCGAGGTGGGGCAGCGGGGGAGCTGCTGGGTGGCCCTGTGGGCGCCTGCGGCTCCGCGGTGTCCTCCGGCCTCTGAAGCACTGCCGCATCCAGGCCTGCTCTGCACTGACTACTGTGGAGGCGGCACTGCCCACAGGACAGCGGCAGTGACCGCAAAGGAAGAGAGGAGGAGGGTAAGGGCGGTTCCATGGAGAATGAGGACGTCATGATTATTTAAGGAGAACAAAAAATATGTGTGCCACCTGCGAACACCCGTCCTTCATCCGCACGGCCGCTGCCTGTCTGTCCTTCCGTTCAGCAGGAGGGGCCTTGTGCTGGGTCTGGTGCCGGTGCCAGGGCCGGGGACGCTGGGGTGACAGCCCAGCCTTCAGGAAGGTCTTCGGTGGGAATGGAGAAAGCCGGAGTCTTCACCAGCGAGCCGGCCCTGCTTCCCTTCACTCCCTGGGACAGATACTCCGGGAAGCTGGGATGAGCAGGGCTTTCCCCACGGCAGGCGTTCTCGTGTTTCATGGGATGGCGGCAGAGTGGCATCAGGGCAGAGAGGTTTGACTGCAGCCAAGTGCGTTTGCAGCATCCCTTACTTACTATTCCCCAGCCGGGGTCTGGGCCTCTTGGTTTCAGGTGATGATGCACCTCCCGGAAAGTCTGGGTTTCTTGTCTAGAAAGGAGAGGCAGAGACCTGGCAAGCCAGTCTCCCCGAGGTCTCCTTTCTGTCCTGGTGTCTGGGGGCTCCCGGCACAGCCAAAGTGTGGCCTGTGGCTGCCACTGTCCTCCGAGGACCAGCCCTAGTGCATGAAGAAGCCAGCTGCAGCCACGGTGGTCCTTGGGGTGGGCCCAGCTCCCCGAGGAGCTCCATGTGCACCCACTGGGGCAGCTCCCGGCGCATCCGTCTTCCCCAGAGAGGACGATGAGGCAATGCCTATTCCAGGGATGTTTTCCACAGTAAATCTGAGTCCGGCTCCGTGAGATTGAAGTCCCTGGGAGTGAGGCTCTGGGGCGGCTTGACCGACTCCAGCAGAGTAAATCCCCAGAGTGGATGACGACTTTCCAGCTGGAAATGGAGCAGGATCTAACCAGGAAGAGGAATGGCAACTACTCAGCCGGACTCAGCAGCGGGCAGGAGCCTCCGAGGGCACAGGTCAGGGCCAGGGCTCAGAGAGTGCCATGGTGATCGATGAGGACTTCCTGGGGGCGAGAGGGCTGGTGAGGCTGGGCCAGGGCTCAGAGAGTGCCGTGGTGATTGATGAGGACATCCTGGGGGCGAGAGGGCTGGTGAGGTTGGGCCAGGCCTCAGAGAGTGCCGTGGTGATCGCTGAGGACATCCTGGGGGCGAGAGGGCTGGTGAGGTTGGACGCATCTGAGGCCGCATTTGTTCATTTATTTATGCTGGGCTTCATTTCACTAAGGATTCAACATGGCTTATAGAGAACATAGCGTAAAACAAATAAAGGAGAGGGCACTAGGCCTAAAGGTTTTCAGCCAGAAGAGGTAGAGGTCAGAGGGGAAATGCAGGAAAAACCCTCTTATTCTCTTCTTTATTAGATGTCAGTGATGACAAACGCATCCGAAGCTTTTAATATGTCAGGCGCTGTTCTCAGCACTTTAGGAACATTCTCTGATTTAATCCTAAGAGGTCAATGTCATTCTCATTTGACAGCGGAGGCACAGAGAGGCTCACACAGCTGCCCCAGGCCACACAGTGAGAGGGGTGGAGCCGGGGTTTCTGCCTAGCAGCTGTTGCTGGTCCCCACCACCTCCCCAGGGCGAGCTCCCTGGGCAGGAAGAAGCGCTTGGCCACAGGGTCCCACCCTTTCCAACCAAGTGACTCGTAGAATAGCACCTCCTAAATGTTGACATGAATGAGTGAGTCCAGGTCCTGCTTTGGAATCAGGATGTACTGAGTGGCTTTTGCTGAGATGGTAGTGCGATCATTCTACTAACAGTGATAGCTTCCAGCCGTTGAGGGCCTGCTGAATACAGAATTTTACAGAAGTGGATTCTATTAATTTCCCCAACAGCCCTGGGAGGTGTGTACAATTACAATCCTTTGACCGCAAAGGAGACTGAGTCTCCGTGAGGTTAATGAGGCGTTCCAGGTCATGGAATTGCGTGTGGCAGAGCTGGGATCGTATCTGGCAACTGTGTCTGTTCTCCTGCTGCTTCCCAGGACTGGGCCCATGTCAAAGGGGCCTTTCCTCTGTGGGCCTCAGGCCGTGTGCCACCAGGAAGGAAGGATGTGGGGGAATAGACCCAGCTCTGTGTGAAGGACAGGCGGGTGGTGGCTGCCTGCAGGTGGCAGCCCGAGGGCCTGGTCCCAAAGGCCGGTGACGCCTTCTCACCTGCATCCGCTCCTCCAGCCCAGGCTGGCGGTGACTGCTCTGATCACTACGTGCTGTGAAGGGCACGGTGCCAGCCTCTGATCTGGGTCCTTGCTGCCATATGAAGACACCCACCTACCCTGCTGGAGAGGGGCTCTGGAGGGCCAGGGAGAGAGAGGATAGCTGGGCTCCAGTCGGTGCCCCATCCAGAGCCCACAGACAGGACAAAGCCATCCCGGGCCCTCCAGCCCCCGTTGGCCATCGCAGCACACGCCACCTGCACAAAGGTAAGCCCTATCCGGGCTCCTGGCCTCAGGGTGGTGAGCAGTAGACCAGTTGTATTAAGCCTCTGACTTTGCAGGGCTTCCTAATGGAGACCATTCACCGCCCGGTAAGTGACCTAGTGACCTAGCGGAGAACACGCAGGCAGCTTCAGGACTGCTAGGGCTGGAGCCAGACGGGATTGGGACGGGGTGGCTGAGTAGAGCAGTTCAGAACCCGCTAAGTGTGGGCTCAGAGGGGAGAACAGGTTGAAAGATCCTAGAGGAGTGGCAGAAACGTCAGAGGAATCAGAAAAGCACCTCCTAGGGCTGTTCTACAGGATCAAGGGAAAGGAGAGTTTGCCTTCAAACGGCTGTTTGTTTAAAATAGGAAAGCATAAAACCAGGCTCTGACAGGAGAAGAAACGGCAGCAGATGAGCTCGGCCAAATGCTTAAAATGGTCCCAACCACAGGCTCCAGCCACAGACCATGTGGGCCGAGAACCACGGGAAGGGGGTCCACTAGCTGCTGGGCACTGGATTACAGGTCTTCAGGGGTGTGAGGGGAGCAAAGTGGGAGAAACCCACCAGCATCACCACCCGTGTTCCTTTAGGTCAGGGTGCTGGGTCCAGTCCTGATTCCATCTTCTTACAAGTTAGGGAGCTGGGTCCAGGCCTGGATCCATGTTATTATGAATCAGGAAGTTGGGTCCAGGCCTGGCTCCATGTTCCTGCAGGTCAGGGCAGGTCTTCCCCCGAGTGATGGCTCTTGGACTGTGCTCCTCTGGGGCCCTCTCAACTCTGTGTCTGTCATCTGTCACCTGCCTGGCCATTATGGTTTTGATGGCAGTGGATGGGCTCCATGGGACTTCAGGCCTGGGGTGAGACTCAGGACCCTGGGGTGAGCATGGATGGGGATATTGGACCCCTGAAAGAAGGGAAGCTGAGAGACTTTTTTTCCTTTAAAGACTTTTCCATGTTATCTCCACTCAGAGAATTCTTTTCTGCAAAGTCACGGGAGGGAGGTGACATTGAGCCCTCCAATGTGACAGAAACTGTGCTGGGAACTTTACATGTGTTACCTAATTTGTTTAATTATCCCAGCAACTCCACAAAGTAGGCATTTTTATTGTTGAGGAAACAGAAGCTTAGAGACTTTGTGAGACTTGCCCGAGACCCCAGGTCACACACCAGCAAGGATGAGGTCAAGCTTTTAATCCAGGTCTGCCTGGCTCCAAGTCCACACCCTTTCACAACAATGAACTTTCTTTATGATTGCAGATATTATTTGGGGAACTTTACATAAAACATTGACTTACATAAAACTTCAACCATAGACTATATTCTTTGTTTTGGAAACTGTGAAGACTCAAATTTTTTATAAACTCAGAACAGCTTCCAGTTTTCTCTAGATATCGGAAGATGGGCTGTGTTTTTTGTCTGTTGTCCAGTGAGGCTGATTCGTAGTCAGACAGGTGAGTCAATTTGGTTGGAGTAGGCTATTGTGGTTCTCTCTCATCAGGAAAGAGGGGATGCACTTGGCCCCTCAACTCCAAGTTGGTGGTGCGATGATTTTTCCATATTCTCCCTTAACAGGCTGTGAGGGAGTCTGGGCCAGGCACTAGGCCATGAGCAGGGCAGACTGGGGTAAACCCTTAGCGAGCCTCTCTCCAGCCACGAGGAAACCTGGAGTGTGTGCGTGCCTGTGTGCTGCTGGTGTGTGTGTGTGAATGCACACGTGTGTGCATGCACTGTGAGCTGGTGTGTGCATGTGCACTGGTGTGTGCGTTCGTGTGTGTGTGTGCATGTGTGTGCTGGGTGCACACATGCATATGTCTCTGTGTATACATGTGTATGTGTGCCAGTGGGTGCATGTGTTTGTACAGTGTGCGTGTGTGTGTGTGTTTGTGCACATGAGCTGCTGCACACATATAAGCCTTGTGAATTAGGGGAAGAAGAAAGGCTCCGGCTTACAGAAAAAAAAGGAAAACTCCTACAGAGATAATTATCATTAAAATGCCAAGGCTGTACACGTGAGCTGCACTGCTTTCCCTGAAAGGGCCAGTCTGCCGCCTTTTCTTTTGCTCCCTCTTACAGCGACAGCCAAGCGAATGGAGCTGCGTGGCCTGCTGGGGCTGGTGCCCGACTTCTGGCAAGGAGCAAGTTTGGTGGAAGCCAGAGCCAAGCTTTTCTCCTTGTTGACCTTGGCAATACAGGCTCAGATGCCCATTTTCCTGGAGGAGCCGCATGCAATGCCCTTGTTAGCTGGCTGCGGCCTTTCACCGCAGTCCCCAGACACTACTCAGGGCACTGAGCTGTTGGATGCTGCTCCCATGGGGACCCTGGCTGGGACCCATTCTCAGGGCTATCTGCCAGGGAGAGACGTGGTTGTTGCTGTCCTTGTTTACCAAGAAGAAAGCAGAGGCATAAACCAGCAAGGTCATGCAGTCTGGGAGGGGTGGGGCTGCCCCGGACAGCCTCCAGGCTTCTCCCAAGCAAGCGCTGTCCTTGGGGCGTGTGCCCAGGGTGAGGCGTGTGCACACATGTGCGTGTGTGTGCGTGTGAGAGGCGGCGTTGTCTGTGGGATGGTGGGGGATCTGGACTCTGCTCCACCGTCATCGGGTCATCTGGTAGAGAGCCTGCCACCCCACCTGGGAGCAGGGAGAATGTGGCAGTGCCACCCCGCCTGGGAGCAGGGAAAATGTGGTGGTGCCACCCCACCTGGGAGCAGGGAGAATGTGGCGGTGCCACCCTGCCTGGGAGCAGGGAGAATGTGGTGGTGCGTTCGGATGGAGGAGGGGGGTGTTTTCTAAGACATCTCTTCAGCCAGTGCTGACATCCTCAGGTGGCCACAGAATTGCTCAGGGACCCATATGTCTCCTTGTCTTTGAAAATCTGCTTTTGTTTGATGGCTCTAGGAGAGGAAGAATGAACTTGCTTGAGGCTGTGTGGCCCGGCCTCTCCCCTGGGACCCATGAGTCCCTGACCCAAGAAAGCGTCCCTGTGCAGGGCTGGGCACAGAGGTTCCCTGGAGAGGCCCAATGCTCTCCTTCTGCAGCGGGGACAGGAATGAGTCCTGTCTTAGTCATGCCCCTGACTCCCTCTGAGACCTGAGAGTGGGGCCCACCTGCAGGCCCAGACGCCCTCTGTGGGAGCTCTGCACGCGGGCCCATTCGGGGCAGCCTTCATGCCAGCTTCCTGCAACCTTCTTTGCTTCTTTTTTCACCTATAACTTTCACCCTCTCAAGAGGGTGTCGCATGAGCAGTTCTGAGTTAGGCTGTCATGGTTTTCGAGCTTCTAATCTAATCAAGGTCCTCTGGATGAGTCCCTCTGAAGGGGGAGCCTCTTACAGGAGTTCACACAGAGCTGAGAACCCCAGAAACCACAGGAGTGTGGGGTAGTAGAGGAAGGCAGTGTTCTTGGATGTTTAAATAAATCTGTAACTTACTGTTGACTAGACCTAGTGTGTCATGGTGTGTAAAATTACTTAGGTAATGATTTTGCCATGTCTTACAAGAATTACAGACAATGATGACAGCAACAACAATCACAAACCACAACAATGGCAGTGGCTATGCACCAGGAACCAGGGATGCAGAGGTGACTGAGGCGCATCCCTGCCCACAGGGAGCTTGCAGTCTAAAGGGGAAGACAGCATGCACACATGACTATAACAGAGTTCTTTAGACAACGTGTGGCAGGCACCTTCGGGCTGCTCTCAGGCACGTTACTTCAACAGCCACCGTGGGGTCCCAGTGAAAGAGGAGGCCATGCCACCATCCAGGGCAGATGAGGTAGCTCAGCAAGGCAGAGACAGCAGGGTGGGTGCAGGACGGTCTGGGTTAGCAGGACATCTCTGAGAACTGATCTGGTGTTTGAAGTGGGAAGGGAGGGGTGCAATATGGCTTCTGATGGAGGTTTCTAGCTTGGAGGACTAAACGATGTAGGAAACTCAAAAGGAGATTAACATTGGTGAAGATGATTCCATGTCTATCAGCATTGATTGAGGGGCTGTGGGAGTGGACATTGGTGATAATGATTCCATGTCTATCAACATTGATTGAGGGGCTTTGGGAGATGAACATTGGTGAGTGTGATTCCATGTCTATCAGCATTGATTGAGGGGCTGTGGGACTGGACACTGGTGATAATGATTCCATGTCTACCAGCATTGATTGAGGGGCTGTGGGAGTGGACGTTGGCGATAATGATTCCATGTCTATCAGCATTGATTGAGGGCTGTGGGAGTGGACGTTGGCGATAATGATTCCATGTCTATCAGCATTGATTGAGGGCTGTGGGAGTGGACGTTGGTGATAATGATTCCATGTCTATCAGCATTGATTGAGGGCTGTGGGAGTGGACGTTGGTGATAATGATTTCATGTCTATCAGCATTGATTGAGGGCTGTGGGAGTGAACATTGGTGAAGACTATTCCATGTCTATCAGCATTGATTGAGGGCTGTGGGAGTGGATGTTGGTGATAATGATTCCATGTCTATCAGCATTGATTGAGGGGCTGTGGGAGTGGACATTGGTGAGGGCGATTCCATGTCTATCAGCGTTGATTGAGGGCTGTGGGAGTGGCTGTTGGTGATAATGATTCCATGTCTATCAGCATTGATTGAGGGGCTGTGGGAGTGGACGTTGGTGATAATGATTCCATGTCTATCAGCATTGATTGAGGGGCTGTGGGAGTGGACATTGGTGATAATGATTCCCTGTCTATCAGCATTGATTGAGGGGCTGTGGGAGTGGATGTTGGTGATAATGATTCCATGTCTATCAGCATTGATTGAGGGGCTGTGGGAGTGGATGTTGGTGATAATGATTCCATGTCTATCAGCATTGATTGAGGGGCTTTGGGAGATGAACATTGGTGAGGGCGATTCCATGTCTATCAGCATTGATTGAGGGGCTGTGGGAGTGGCTGTTGGTGATAATGATTCCATGTCTATCAGCATTGATTGAGGGGCTGTGGGAGTGGTAGTCTGTGGGTGGAAATGGTATCTAGATGTCTAGAGGGAGGATGTGAGCCATGGCCTGGAGACTGCAGCTTCTCTCCGTCACCCACAGTCTGCATTTCAGGGCCTCCTCAGGATGGTGAGAGTAGGAACTCTTCTCAACTTCGGAGCCCGTCCCTAAGACTTTGTCCATGGGAAATGTGCCTGGTAGCCCCCATAATTTATGGAGAAAGAGGTTTTCTTTGCATGAAGTTTGCATTGTAGAATGGAAAAAGAGAAAACACTATTTGATTTTTCTTTTTATTGTTGTTCTTCACTGACTACGGTGATGCTTGGGGAGGGGAAAATTTGTCTGTGTAAATGATCCTCCACGAAGGAGGAGGATTTCACAGCAGGAGGCAGATTCTTTGAGAGGGGACTTCAGAGATATTTGAATAACAGGAGCTGTGTCGAGAGCAAGACTGGAAAGCTCTGTCATCAAAGCGAATCTGGAAATTGATCAAGGCACTGCCAGCTGCGGGTTGGCGAAGGGAAGACAACTGGGAGGCTGGCAGGATTCAGCCTCCTTTGTTCTCACGATGGACATAATCTCACTAAGAAGGAGTGATTATGGAGTAATCACTTGGGGAGTGATTTTGGAGTAATCATTATTGATGAGGTGCAGTTTTGAAGGTAAAACTAGACAAAAAGCTCTAAGTTCTTGAACTCATAACTTAAATCTGTTTAGAAATCCTAGATAAGGATTTCCCAGAGTTTCTTAGTTTATGAGGGTTTTTCCTTTGTGAAGTGTATCTCATTATCATCTTAAAAGTGTTGAGGGCGTCGCCTCACGGGGAGCTCAACGTTCGTTTTTGGTGCTGTTACTGTTCCTTTCATTTTCTCACTTTCCTAGGAATTCAACGCATCAAACTTCTGTTTGGAGGCAGAAATTCCTTCAACACTGTCTCAAGGGGCTTATCCGAGGTGCCTCCTGGACACTCTTGATGAGGCACTGCTATCTCCTGGGTGTGGTAGTCAGGAGCGCAGGCTTGAAGACCTTTGCTTTTGACCTTGAATGTAGCTTTGCCACTTTGAGCCAGAAAGTGAAGTCTCAATTTCCTCATCTGTAAAATGGGGGTAATAATGATGAAATGAAATTAATTTAATTGATGCATGTAAAGTTCTTCGTACTATTCCTACTGTATAACAGACACTCTGAGAAACACACCGTCTTTCTTGTTTCCCCCACCCTGATCTATCAGCGTGCTTTTGCTCGGGGCGTGCTGTCTGAAAGACAGTCCTACACCTGAATCTTCATGGCCTGACCTTGCCAAAGGAAGTTCATAAAAGAGAGATGAAGAGGGAAATGAAGACACCTGCTGATACCACATGCATTGACATATTCATGGGCATCAGTGAGCGGGGACCAGTTTCTCATCATATTCCTCATTTCAGCTGATGGTGTGAACTTGGCTCTATCTTTTTTCTCTTCTCTCATAAAAGATGCATTTTGTGGGACAGCCAAAAAAGAAAGAGAAAAAGAAATGATCATTCTTCACTGATCATTTTCTTCTTAGAAGCCTGAGGCTGCTACAAGGCTCGCATGTCCTCCGGGGCTCTTTCTGACCCTATGGGATGTTTGGGGTCCATGACCTCAGCCCCTGCATGCTGAGTGGCTGCCTATCCTCTGAGGGGACCTGAGGTTGCTCTGCTCACACTGGAGAGGTGGTACCAAGCAGGCGTCTGCAGGAAGCCCGAGGAAACTGTGGAGTCCACCTCACAAGTTGGGATCCTGTAGTTCTCCCAGATCTGGACACATGCAGGATGCATGTGTGGTACCAACTCCAGGTGTGGCCACACTGGGGGAAGCGTGAGGGAGTGCAGGAGGTTGGTGTCTCACGGCTGTTCACAGTTGATGGCGTACGTTTGCGAATGTGTGCCAATGTGTGTTTGCATGTGTGTGAATGTGCATGTGTGTGGCATGCTGTGTGGCGTGTGTGAGTGAATTCATGCATTTGATTATGTGCATGTGTGAATTCATGTGTGTGAATGAGGATGTGTGTTGTGAATATATATGTGTGAATGTGCGTGCCTGTGTGTGTGCGAATGTGCATGTGTGTGGCACGATATGTGGTATGTGTGAGTGAATGCATGTGTATGTAACTGAGGGTGTGTCTGTGTGTGAATGTGTGCATGTGTGTGCATATGTAAATGTGTGTGTTACTGTGTGACTGTGTATGACTGAATGTGTGTGAATGTGTGCATGTGTGTAGATCTGTGTGTGACTGTGAATGTACGTGTGTTAATGTGGCTGTGTGTGCATGTGTGACTGAGTGTGTCTATGTGCATGTGTGTGAATGTGTGTGTGACTGAGAGTGTGAGTGTGAATGTGCATGTGTGTGACCATGTGTGACTGTGAGAGTGTATGTATGAATGGGTGTGTGACTGTGTCCGTGTGTGAATGTATGAGTATGTATGAGAATGTGCATGTATGTGAATGTGTTTATGTGTTGCTGTGTATGACTCTGTGAATGTGTGTTAATGTGTGCATGTGTGTAGATTGTGTGGCTGTGACTGTGTGAATGTACATGTGTGTTAATGTGGCTGTGTGCATGTGTGTGACCGTGTGTGACTGTGAGTGTGTGAATGTGTGTGGCTGTGTGTGACTGAGAGTGTGTGAATATGCATGTGTGTGAATGTGTGTGGCTGAGTTGAATGTGAGAATGCACGTGTGAATGTGTATGTGTGTGAATATGTACGTGTGTGAATGTGCATGTGTGTGCATGCATGTGTGATTGTGACTGAGAGTGCATGTGTGAATGTGTGTGGCTGTGTGTGACTGTGATTGTGTGTGAATGTGTGTGTGTGAATGTGTGTGTGTGAATGTGTGTGGCTGTGTGTGTGACTGTGACAGTGTGTGCATGTGTGTGGCTGAGTGTGACTGTGAGCATGCACGTGTGAATGTGTATGTGTGTGCATGTGTAGGGGGTGTCATGGACAGGGGATTCCTTCTGCTCAGCCTCAGGGTATTAGATTTGGACTTTTGGTCTCATCTTCAAATGAAGGTCTCTGTCCTGCATGCTGGTCCTCTCTTCCCTCTGTCCTGTGGGCGTGGCTCCTGCCCTTGGTAGAATTTGCACAGCACCCACTCTTTCTGTTGATTTCAGGCTCCCCATGAAAGTCATTCACTCTCTCCTAGGAAAGAACTGAGTTTTAAAAGGTCACACATGTGTGTGTCAGTCTGAGCCACTCTGGGTTAGTCATCAAGGAGAATTGAATGATATGAGATCAAGCTGCAGGAGGGGCACCAAGGACCTGGAACCCGCATTTTATTTTAACATTATAATTTGGTGTCATATTTAAAATGCTAGTTCTCAGGGGATGGTGCATTTTTCTCAAGTTTTCATAAAGAAACAAAAATAGAAAAAAAAGAAGTATAACTTGTAGCTTGATTTGCGTTTGTTTGGTAAAATATCCTGATTTAGTTCACAAGAAATATTCACGGTAAAAGCAAAGGAAAGCGCCCCCAGTGAACATTAATGGATGTTTGCATGCATAGCAACTAAGCCTTTGTCCTCGGATCCGTCCGTCTCAAAATGGGTGGGAGCCACGGGGAGAGGACAGGAAGACAAAAGAGGAATAAAGCTGATTGCATTACCTGGACAAAATTCAATCAATGTGCAGCTTCAATACTGGCTGCTGCATTCAGATTGCTGCTGTTAAAAAACAGCCGTGGCCAGGCGTGGTGGCTCACGCCTGTAATCCCAGCACTTTGGGAGGCCGAGGCGGGCAGATCACGAGGTCAGGAGATCGAGATCATCCCGGCCAGCATGGTGAAACGCAGTCTCTACTAAAAATACAAAAATTAGCCTGGTGTGGTGGTGCGTGCCTGTAATCCCAGCTACTTGGGAGGCTGAGGCAGAAGAATTGCTTGAACCAGGAAGTCGGAGGTTGCAGTGGGCCGAGATTGCGCCACTGCACTCCAGTCTGGCAACAGGGCGAGACTCCATCTCAAAACAACAACAAAGACAACAGCAACAACAACAAACCCAGCCTTATGGGGATGTAATTTACATGCCATAAAAGTCACCTGTTTTAAGTGTACAGTTCAATGAACTTTAGGCTGTTTAAAGAGGGCACAACCATCACCACCCTCTAATTTTGGGACCTGCAGTCACCCTGTGATGACGCCTCATTCTGACACCCAGTCCTAGGTAATTATTATTAGTTTTGAGACAGAGTCTCCCTCTGTCGCCCAGGCTGGAGTGCAGTGGGTTAATCATGGTTCACTGCAGCCTTGACCTCGCTGGGCTCAGGTGATCCTCCTGCCTCAGCCCCCCTAGTAGCTGGGACCATAGGCAGGCACACACCACCATGCCCAGCTAATTTTTATATTTTTTGTAGATGTGAGGTTGCCCAGGCTGGTTTCAAACTCCTGCCTTGGCCTCCCCAAAGTGATCCTTCTGCCTTGGCCTCCCCAAAGTGCTGGGATTACAGATGTGAGCCACAGCACCTAACTCTTAGGTAATTACTAATCCACGTTTGGTCTCTCGCGATTTGTTTTTTTTTTTTTTGACACTTGAAATAAATTAAATGACCCACTATGTCTTCTTTTGTGTCTGCTTCTTTCAGATAATGCAGTGTTTTCAAGGTTTATCCACGTGGTAGTGGATGTCAGCATTTCCTTCTTTTTTATAGTCAATTAATGTTCCATTTCATAGATATACCACATCCTGTTTACCACATCACCACTTGATGGCCATTTGGATTGTTTTCACTTTTTGGCTGTTGTGAATAATGCTGCTATGGACATCTGTGTGTGAGAGTCTGTCTGGACATACACCTTCATTTCTCGTGAGCACATACCTAGGAGCTGAACTGCTGAGTCATGTGGTAGCTATGCTGAAAATCGTTTTGATCCAGCAATCCCACTACGGGGTATCTACCCAGAGGAAAAGAAGTCATCATACGAAAAAGATACTTGCACACGCGTGTTTACAGCAGCACAATTCGCAATTGCAAAATAGTGGAGACAGCCCAAATGCCCATCAATCAACGAGTGGATAAAGAAACTGTGTATGTATATATACATATATATACACACACACACACATATATACACATATACATATATATACATATATACACATATATACATATACATATACATATATATATATATTTATGATGGAATACTACTCAGCCATAAAAAGGAATGAATTAACGACATTTGCAGAGACCTGGATGAGATTGGAGACTATTATTCTAAGTGAAGTAACTCAGGAATGGAAAACCAAACATTGTATGTTCTCACTCATAAGTGGGAGCCAAGCTATGAGGATGTAAAGGTATAACAAGGATACGATGGACTTAGGGGACTTGCAGGGGAAATGGTGAGATGGGGATGAGGGATAAAAGACCACAAATTGGGTTCAGTGTTTACTGCTCTGATGATGGATGCATCAGAATCTCACAAATCACCACCAAAGAACTTACTCAGCTGGGCGTGGTGGCTCATGCCTGTAATCCCAGCACTTTGGGAGGCAGAGGTGGGCAGATAACCTGAGATCAGGAGTTCGAGACCAGCTTGGCAAACATGGTGAAACCCTATCTCTACTAAAAATACAAAAATTAGCCGGGCATGGTGGCAGGCACCTGTAATCCCAGCTACTTAGGAGGCTGAGACAGGAGAATCGCTTGAACCTAGGAGGCAGAGATTGCAGTGAGCCGAGATCGTGCTGCTTAACTCCAGCCTGGGTGACAGAGCAAGACTATGTCTCAAAAAAAAAAAAAAAGATTAAAAACTTACTCATGTAACCAAATACCACCTGTTCCCCCAAAACTGATGGAAATAAAAAGTTAAAAAAATAAAAATAAAATAAAATTATTGTCATGAAAAAAATGTGCCAAACTGTTTTCCAAAGTGGCAGTGCCATTTTACATTCCCACCAGTAGCATATGAGGGTTCCAGTTTCCCGTTGTCCTTGCCAACACTTGTTGTTTTCCTCTTTTTTTGCTAATAGCCATCCGAGTGGGTGTGAAGTGGAGTTTCTCCGTGATTGGATTTGCCTTTCCCTGATGGCTAATGATGTCAAGAATCTTCTAGTGTGCTTGTTGGCCATCGGTGATTATGTCGAGCACCTTCTCGTGTGCTTGTTGGCCATTGGTGATGATGTCAAGCATCTTCTTGTGTGCTTGCTGGCCATCGGTGATTATGTTGAGCACCTTCTCGTGCTTGTTGGCCATTGGTGATGATGTCAAGCATCTTCTTGTGTGCTTCTTGGCCATCGGTGATGATGTTGGCACCTTGTGCTTCTTGGCCATCGGTGATGATGTCGAGCGTCTTCTCATGTGCTTCTTGGCCATCGCTATGCCCACCCTGGTCAGGTTTTCTTTTTTAAAGTTCCCTGAACATGGTGCCCTTCACGCCCCACTGTGGTTGCATTTTTCCATCTGGCTGTGAAGTGCAGAAGCTGCCACTGTGCCTCAGCGGGCTCCTTTGTCACCAACTGCCCCGTGGCAGCTGCCAGCAGGAAGGGAGCTGGTGGTGGAGTCATCCCGGCAGGGTGTCCAGCTGGCCACTGGGAGCTGGCAGCAGATTGGGCACTGCTGGCTTGGCTGTTACCTTCCCTCCCACCTGGGCCACTTAATGGTATTGGACAGCAACTAACAACCTTACAGCTCCTGCTCAAAAAGTGACTTTCCACATGGGATGCCACATGCTTTTCTCAGTAGGCTGTAAGCTAATGGTGACTCTCACCCATTTTCTGCAGAAGAAACCTGAAGCTTGTCCAAAGTTGCTCAACAACCTGACCATACCTGGCTTTCTTTTTCTGGTACATACTTTTATTGTGGCATAATATACATAACATACGATTTTCCATTTTGACTTTTTTAAGCGTACAGTTCAGTGGCATTAAGCATGTTCATGGTGCTGTGCAAACATTGCAACTATCCATTTCCAGGGTTTTTTCATCTTGCAAAATTGGAACTCTGTCCCCACTCAACACGAAGTCCTCATGCTTCCCCCTCCCCCAGCCCCTGGCACCCACCCTTCCACTTTCTGTCTCTATGAATCTGAGTATGTGGGTACTGCATGTAAGTGGAATCACACAGTATTTGTCCTTTGGGGTCTGGTTTATTTCACTTAGCATGATGTCCTCAAGCTTCATCCCTGGTGTAGCACATGTCAGATTTCCCTTCCTTTTCTGAAGCTGAATAATATTCCACTGTGTGTCTATGCCACGTGTTGCTTATCTGTTCACACACTGACGACACTTGGGCCGTCGACACCTTTTGGCTGTTGTTAATATGCTGCTATGAACGCGGAGTGCAGATGTCTGTTTGAGACCCTGATTTCAGTTCTCTTTCAAAAATTCCCAGAAGTGGGATTGGTGATCAGAACAACACTCATGTTTGGTTTTTGAGGAGCCGCGATACTGGCTTCCATGGTGACACAATTTCACATTCCCACCAGCAATGCAGGAAGGATCCAGACACGACTTCCTTCTTAGAAGTGGAAAGAAAAGATAGAAATGGGCCACAGCTCAGGACCTCAGGATTTCAGGATTCGCCGTTTGAGCTCAGCTATGTGAGCTCAGGGACTCTGCCGAGGACAGTGGGACTCTGAGGGCAAGGGGACACCAGTGTGGCTGGTGAGTGTCATGGGTGCCCTTGGATAACAAAGCGGCAGGTGTGTGAGAGGGAGTGGCACTGCCATGCTGTAGCCAATGACAGGTCAGCTCTGACCCATCGCTTCGCGATGGGAAGTTCACTCCCTCGTGGTCAGCGGATGTCACTGATTAGCTGCCCAATTGTTACCTCCCCACTTTCCCTTCCAAAGAGACGGCAGTTCTGCTCAGGTGGATGGGATGGTAGGACCAGGTGTGCCCATTCACGGGATGATCGGCCAGGCTCTGAGGGTCCCCTGACCCTGCTTCCTCCCTGCACAGGGACAGGTGCTTCCACTCTTCCACTCCCCTCTGGGCCGGGGGGCCATGGGAAGTGTGAGGGTGGGGTGTGGATTTGCGGGGTTGAAGTGGAATCCAGGATCTGCCTGGGGCATACTCTTCACAGCCTAGGCAGGGCAGGCAAACCCCAATTTCCTGGAAAGCAGGCCTGGGTAGGGCCGCCCGGGGCTGGCAGAGTGAAGTCCTCGAGTCCTCTGCCAAGGGTGCTGTGTCTGGGCTGTGGTTGTCATCTGCATATTTAGAAGGAAAGGCAGGGGTTAAAATATCCCTTTGTCTGCTGAGAGGGTCTGTGGTCTCTCCATCCTTCCTTTGATTTAATAAGAAAGATAAACACTGCACAGCGAGTGCTCCCGTGCTAGACAGGTGCTAAGCCCCCCGAAGACGCTGCCGTTCACCAGCTCACTCGTTTAATTTCAGGTTTAAACAGCTATTGGAATATAGGAAAGTCTGCGGATCACAGTGGAGGGTTTTATATTTTATTCTTCTCTCCAGATCCGGCAGGCACCGGGAGC
The DNA here is from genome assembly GCF_000001405.40 of Homo sapiens. Classification (NCBI taxonomy): domain Eukaryota; kingdom Metazoa; phylum Chordata; class Mammalia; order Primates; family Hominidae; genus Homo; species Homo sapiens. Next base: position 3,132,146 of record NC_000002.12, on the reverse strand, counting down.
CGGCTGGCAGGTACCTCTGAGCACACTGGATTAATTCCCAGGGCGGCCGTCACAGCAGTGACGTTGGCACTGACCACCCACGGAAAGGACAGAATTTAAAGAGGCTGAGTTTTTCATCTCTCTCTGCTGTTTTCTCTCTGGTTTCCCTTTTACCATTTTGACAAGTCCCACCATACTCAGTTCCAGCCTGGGACACACACTTGTGATTGCTAACGGGTGGAAAGTTGCACGTGCCATGTTGTGTTGCTGACACCAAAGGCAAAAGCCCAGGTCCTGGCCCCAGGTTAGGCCCACACATGCCTGGGCTGTCCCATCTCGGGGACTCCCTGGTCAGAGCTGAAAGTCTTCGGGCTCTGTCTCCCTCGCTGGGGAGTGTGTCCAGCCCTGTCCTCTAGCACTGGGCCCCTGTCTCCCCAGACACGGCCCCCAGGGCGGAGGGGACCACAGACATTCTGAGGTGAACTCTCCTCCGTGTTGGAAATATGAAAAATAAAAAGGGAAGGGCTGGGGGAAGAGACGGGGCATTGTTTACTTCCTCAAAATTCCATGTTAACGAGTTCCCGCTGAATTCTCTGGTTAAGCAGAGAACGGCTGTGCAGAGCGTGAGCTGTGAGCCCCAAGCTGGTCCTCCTGTGGGCCCCGCAGCGCTGGAGCTGACCTCTCACCAAGGGTCCCTTTGTAACTTCCTGTGACTGATTCTTTAATGGCATCTAATGATGATGCAAGGAAGCTGCCAGCTGGGAGTTTCGGCACCACTGATTGCCCCCATAAGGAGCCAGTGGGATGGACACCAGCTCCTGCCCCTTGCCTGAAACATCCCTGCAGACCCTCGGCCTGCACCGGTGCCCCACTGAAGGCCCCCACCTACGGTTCTGCCCACACACCAGGGTCTCTCCAGCTCACCACCACCCAGGGTCCTTCCAGCTCTCCTCCCCCAGGGTCCTTCAAGCTCTCTCCCTCCAGGGTCCCTCCAGCTTTCCCTGCTCTAGGTTCCCTCCAGTTCTCCTCCCCCAGGGTCCCTCCCGCTTCCCCACTTAACCTCCCCGGGGTCCCTGCAGCTCGGGCTTCCGCCCCCGGGGTCCCTCCAGCTGGGTTTTCTCTTGCACCCTGGGGCCTGGTGCTCCACCCCTCTCTGTCCACTTCCTGCCTCCAGGCTGTGTCCGAGCTCTGTGCACCTGACACCCACGTCTCCCCTCTTCATCTGTCTAAAGCCTACCTGTGCTTTCACAGCACGTCTCAAATATCATTTCAAATGTCAAATAACAGAATGATCTTTTAAAAATATAAATCAGATCATGTCATTTGTGCTTGAAACCTTTAATGGTTTCTGATTGCACAGTAAACCCAAGGCCCTTCTCTGGGGTCCAGGTCCCTGCCCACCTCAGTCCTTGTCCCCCTGTCCCCTTCACCACCAAGTTTATCCCTGCCCTAGGGATGTGGCACTTGCCATAGCTTTGCAGGAATGGCTTTCCCTGGTTCTGCATGTGGCAAACTCTGTCTTGACACCCACGTCTCAGTTTAAATATCACAGAATCTGCAGGAGAGCTTCTGTGCCCCCGGATCTGAGGCAGCCCCTTCAGGAGCAGAATTACAGCCCTAAAGACGTCCGTGCCCCAGTTGCTGGCACCTGTGAGTATGTTATGCTTTGTGGCAACAGGGGCTTTGCAGAAGGAATGGAGGTTACAAAGTTTAAGCTTTCCTGGTTTACCTGTGGGGGCCCAGCATAATTACAAATGTTCTTAGATGTGGAAGGGAGAGGCGGGAGGAAGAAGCAGCGTGGGTCCACATGAGATGCATGGACGGCTGTTGCTGGCTTTGGTGGTGGAGGAAGGGGCCGAGAGCTGAGGAATGGGGTTCACAGGAGCAGAAAGCATCCCTCAGCAAGGGAACCTCCGTCCTGCAGCTACAGGAGCTGAATTCTGCCAACGACCCACACAAGCTGGAAACAGACACCCCCAGGGCCTCTAGAAGGAAGGCAGCTGGCAGACTGGGGACCCCTAGAAATGGTAGGATAACACACTCGTGCAGTTTCAGCTGCTGAGCATGTGGTTATGGCAGCCACAGAAAATGAATACAGCCCATTCGCTCTTTTTTTTTTTTTTTTTTTCCAGACATGGTTTCACTCTGTCACCCAGGCTGGGGTGCAGTGGTAAGATCACGGCTCAGTGCAGCCTAAGCCTTCTGGGCTCAAGTGATCCTCCTGCTTCAGGCTCCCAGGTAGCTGGGACTACAGGTGCGTGCCACCATGCCTAGCTAATTTTTTTTAATGTTAGTCATTATTTATATTGAAAAATGAAACCTGAAAGGCACTGGATTCAGTCGTAATATGTCCAGATATTCTTTTTTTTTTTAAATTTACTTTAAGTTCTGGATTACATGTGCAGAACGTGCAGGTTTGTTACATGGGTATGCATGTGCCATGGTGGTTTGCTGCACCCATCATCCCGTCATCTAGGTTTTAAGCCCCGCATGCATTAGGTATTTGTCCTAATGCTCTCCCTCCCCTTGCCTCCCACCCCCTGACGGGCCCCAGTGTGTGATGTTCCCCTCCCTGTGTCCATGTGTTCTCATTGTTCAACTCCCACTTATGAGTGAGAACATGGGGTGTTCGGTTTTCTGTTCCTGTGCAGGGACATGGATGAAGCTGGAAACCAGCTATTTTTTTTTTTTTTTTAGACAGAGTCTCACTCTGTCACCCAGGCTGGAGTGCAGTGGTGCGATCTTGGCTCACTGTAACCTCCACCTCCCGGGTTCAAGCAACTCTCCTACCTCAGCCTCCTGAGTAGCTGGGACTACAGGCGCACACCACCATGCCTGGCTAACTTTTTGTATTTTTAGTAGAGATGAGGTTTCACCGTGTTAGCCAGAATTGTCTTGATCTCCTGACCTCATGATCCGCCTGTCTCGACCTCCCAAAGTGCTGGGATTACAGACGTGAGCCACCTCACCTGGCCTGAAACCAGCTAATTTTTAAATTGTTTGTAGAGATGGGGTTTCACCCTATTGCCCAGGCTGGTCATGAACTCTTGGAGGCAAGCAGTCTGCCCGCCTTGACCTCCCAAAGTGCTGGGATTACAGATGTGAGCCACTGTGCCCGGCTCCCATGACTCCTTAATCAGATCAGCTTATTCTGTCATCCTCACAGCTTCTGTCATTTTCTGGCCTGAAAGTGATGTTTCCCCTGACATGCTATGGCCCGGATAAACCTTGCGGACATCACGCTAAGTGGTGCAGGCGAAGTCATTCGTCACAGAAGGACAAATACTGTGGAATTCCACTTCCTGTGAGGTCCCTGGCATAGTTAAACTCTTAGCAACATAAAGTAGAATGGTGGGTGCCAGGGCAGTGGGGGAAGGGTGTTTCTGGGGGTTGTTTAATGGATCCCTAGTTTCAGATTTGCCGGATGAAAAGTTCCAGTAGTGTGTGTAGAGCCAGCCCTGCTGCACTCCACACTTAAGATCCTAAGTTTATGTTATATAGATATATGTTTAAACCAGGGCAAAGGTGGTCTTCTCTTGCATTCTCGTGTGTCTCCCAGTGCCCTCCTGGCACCCCAACTGAAACATCAACTTCGAGCAGGGTCTCATCTGCCTTGGTCATGTGATACGGTTTGGCTGTGTCCCCACCCGAATCTCAACTTGAATTGTATCTCCCAGAATTCCCACATGTTGTGGGAGGGACCCAGGGAGAGGTTATTTAACAAAATATATTAATTCACATATAAATTAATATGATTTGTGAAACCTCTTTCTAACATCTCAAATATATTTACTAATGAGAAAAATCTTTTTTTAAATTGTCAAAACCTGTGTCTCAACTTTTGGCTCAAAAACTGCAGTCCTGCTGTCTGCAGTGGCTTTGTGAGTTGCCTTAGGGAAGAACCAAGCAGGGAGGACAGACCCTGCAGACCAGGCTGGGGTGAGGGTGTGGCTCTTGTCTCCTGGCCCCCACATGTTCAAGAAGAAGGTGCTGGGGCCTCATCTTGGCCCTTTGCCTCTTGCCTCTGCACTGTTCCCTTAGGATGGATCTGGGACAGAGCTAATGGAGGCTCTTCTGGCGTGTCCTGAGGACTTTGGCTCAATCTTGGTGAGTTTAGCTCCTCTGAGTTCTTCTTAATTCTCCTTGGGGGCCAGTAGTTGCAGATGGCTAGGAGAAGGTGGGGCAGCTCTGGTGCTCTCTGCACTGAGGAAGCACTCCTGCTGCCCTGTGCGTGCTGCTGTGGATGCTGAGTGCAGTCTGGACAGGGTTGCCAGCCAGGGCTCCAGGTGTTCCCTTCCTGTACGTGTGATCAGCTCCTCCACCACAGGAAATGCTCCCAGTCACCCACCTCCCACCCTCCACCCTCCACCCTCCACCCTCCGTCCTCCACCCTCCACTGCAGTTCTTCCCAGCTTCATTTGCGGCTGCCCAGGGAATAATTCCAGGGATATAGTAATGTCTGGTGTCTGGACGGTCTCCATGGGATTAAAAAAGTAGCTGGTTTGCATTTCGGAGACAAAACAACCCTGCAGCACGGAGTCAAACACTGCTTCTTCGCGGGAGATGCGTCCTGTCAGGTGAACACCAGCAAATCAAAACCCAATTCAGCAGAGGGATGATTTTCGCCTTCCGGAAGATGAAATCACGAAAGCTCAGAGACGGCGCGCACTCCGTAGAAAGCCCAAATCAAATTATTCTGTGGCCTGTGTAGATTTCCTGTGCCTGGCACCCAGCTGCCTGCATACAGGAAGTGCTCATTACAGGCACAGCAGCAGATGTCAGCCCCAAAGTGTCCATTTTACTAGCTGGTGTTTCAGCATCTGTCACGGGGATCAACAAAGCATGACAGCCGCCAATGTGCCTCCGTGTGGACTTTTGTGATGCTGTATTTTCTCTTGAGAGGGGCCCCTGATTCTGGACAGAATGCACTGGGTAAGTCTTTACGACTTCGTAGCCCCAGGCTCCTGGCCCAGGCAGGATGAGGAAAGGATGCTGCCCCAGGATCGCCCGAAACGTTTGGTTTGTTTTGTGTGGCTGGACGTGGCCGAGTCCCTGCGGCCCCAGCAGCTCTCAGGCTTCCCTGCCCGGCTGCTGCCTCAGGGCTGCGCTGAGCTCAGGCCAGAGCAGCTTCCAGGGCCTCATTTCAGTTGTTTTTATCATCTATGAGTTATCCAGTGTTTCCAATAAATCACATTCCAGGGCAAGCAGTGCAGAGATGTGGGCCCTTATTTCCTCTCCCAGGCTGATAACAATGAACAAGTGATTTCCTGTCCAAAGCTGGGTACTCCAGCGAAATAAGAAGTCCTATCTCCAGGAAAATAACACTGTCTCTCTCTCAGCCCCAACTCCAGCACACCAAGCATGGACCGTCTCTGGCCCTTGGGCAAGCTGGAGCAGCCTTTCATTTCCTCTCTGCCTATTCATGCACGCCCCACCCATCTCCCAGTCCAGGCTGTGATCCTCACCACCCAGCAAGCAGGCGAGGCAGGGCTAGGAACCCATTTTACAGGTGAGAAAAGTGAGTTTGCCAGACATTAAGTGACATGGCCAGGGTCTCACCGGCAGTAAGTGGACAGGGCCAGGCCAGGTCGTCTCTGTGTTCCTAGGAGACCCTGTGATGACCACTCAGCCCCCTCTGCTGCTGCTGGTTGAGGTGAGAGGTGCTTATAACTCAGAGATCTTTGTCATTTGGGTTCTAAAAGCAAACTCCACCTTGTGACGCGCACCCCAATCCGCCAGCAGCTTCAGAAGCAGCATCTACCTGTAAGCTGCGCGGTCTCCCTCTCCCATCTCAACAACCTTCCTGTGTGCGGCTTCCCTCTCGGATCTGCACAACCCCCTTGTTGAGAAGAGGCAGCAGGAGCAGTGTGGGCGGTCATTGCCCTATTTTACAGATGAAGAGTCAGGGCATTTAAACAATTTGGTATGGATCTATACATAAGAGGGTGGAAGAGGCCAGAGGAGACCTAGACCTACTTATCTAAAACCCAGTCACTGATGCTGGGACACAGAACTGTCCTTCCTCGTCTGCCCCCTCCCTGCTCACGCTGTATTGGTGGAGACCTTGTCTCTCTTGGTGCCGTGGGAACAGCGCTGGGCCCACCCATCAAGGGCTCCCTGGAAGCGTGCTGAGCGTGTGGCATGAGGAAAGAGTCACCAGCCACCCACGTTGCCTCCACACTGGGTGTCATTGTGACCTTAGCAGACAACAGGGTCCTCCCGAGGAGAGAACACAGTAGGCACACTGGATGTGGGGAGAGGGTCCAAAAGCCCCAAGCAGGGGGCAGGTCTGGGCAGAGGAGAAGGCGCTGTGTCTGTGGTGGCACTGGATGCCTCGGAAGGTGTGTGGCCTCCCTCCATGGCTGCCCAGGACCCAGGGTGCTGACCGTCTCTCCTGGAGTATGGCAGGGCCCAGGGGGCTGAGGCAGGGCCCCTTTTGGCAAATTCTTCACTCATAGAGGTTTCATGTCTTTCTCTGTAAAATGAGGATGCGAACATAGTTTGTCTTTCAGGATAGCTGTGATTAGAACACGTGTGTAAAGCGCCTGTCATGGCAGCGTCCTTCTCCTGGCGGCAAGTCTTCACTTGCAAAACAAGTCCTTTTAGGTACAGCAAAAACTGCTGCACGCAAGGGGGTGGAGGGGAACGATGGAAGGCGGTGTTGAAGGGTGGGGTGGGGAGTGTGCAGAGGCACTGGAAACAAACTTTTCCAATTTCTGTTATGCCTAGGAACAGGCTTTGTGACAGCTGCTGCTATCCAGTCATCTTTAGAGCCCTGGAGTCCTCGCCAAGGGCACGGGCTCCCTTTGTGGTCCTGGAATAATGGGGCCTGCCTGGCACTCTCAGATTGCGTGGGGATCCGCTGGACTTAGGGTAAGGCTTTTGTGGGATAAACTGCAGTGGCGCTAGATCAATTGTCAAGGTTTGGCCGACTCATTTGAGAGACTGGGTTCACGCCGTGCCATTTCTTCTTCCCGTTGCAAGGCTCTGCAAGGAATGTGGTGTCAGAATTTTAGCGCCTCGTATTTCCCACAAATGATAGCAGTAAGCTAACCGCGCGATAGAGACAGCGCTTCATGTTGTGCAATTTGATTTGCTGAGATTCCCAGCTCTTGCGTCTTTGAAACGGCGGCTCTGTGCAGAGATGAGATGGTGTTCCCAGCTCATCGCAGCGTGCGTGGTAATCTTATGTTCAGGCACACACTCTTTTTGGAGAAAACATACATTCTTTAGTATTCATGTGGATTTCACAGCAGTAATGAGGAAACTCTATTCCTTAGAGAATGTTTTTAATGTTAAAAAAAAAAGGATGGCATTCTTGGGAGGCATTTTAGTTTTCCCGTTTTTATTTTCTGACGGTTTTCATAGACTAAAGACTGAGAATGCAGGAATACCTTATCTTATTCCAGAAATTATTTTTACCCAGACCTGTTGATTTTCCCCTTACATTTGTATAGATGTTACACTCTATCATATTTAGCTTAAACATAGACTGAGCTCTCCTGGCTGTGTTACGAGGGCAACTGACTCTAGGAATTGCTGCTTTTCTTGATTTCCCAGAGCTTTGTGTTTCCCCATCCCCGAATCTCCCCACACCCCGTCATATTCAAAACACGTCACTGCTGCAAGATCACGTGTTTTATCTGCTCTCTATTATTATTTAGTAATTCTATTTTGTAGCTGAACCTGGTATTCCATCAGGGTGTGTAGTGCGAGCATGAATGGAGCCGATTTATTGTCCTCCCAATTAACTAATTTTTCTAACCCAACTTAGTTGTTTTCTTTAATACATTCTTCTATAGAACTTAATATGTGCAGGCCTTCTTTTTAGGGCTTTTCATCTATTAACTTATATAATCCTCACAACCACCCAGTAAGAGAGATATTATTATCTTTATTTGACTGGCGAAGAAATGTAAAGCAAAGCCAAGTTAAGGAACTTGCTCAGGGTCACACAGCTGCTCGATGATGGAAACAGGGCTCCCTCTGGACGGCCTGGCTGTGAGACCTGGGCTCTGGGTCTCTGCTCGGCCTCCCGCAGATGTGAGTGCCAAACAGTGTTAAGGTTGATCTTCCTATCTGCAGCTTCCACACCTGCAATTCAATCACCATAGATGGAAAATATTCAGGAAAAAAAAAACAGCACAACAAAAACTAATACAAATAAAACCGATACACTCTAATGACAACTATTGACGTGGGATTTGCGTTGTATTAGCTATTACAGGTAATCTGGAGATGACTTGAAGTATATGAGAGGATGTGTGTAGACTTTATCCAAATACAGCACCGTTTTATATCAGGACTTGAGCATTCTCAGATTTTGGTACCTGCAGGGAGTCCTGAAACCAGTCCCTCGTGGGGATCCAGGGATGACTGTCTAGGCTGACTGCTGGTATATACTGGGCATGTTTCTGGGTCTCTGTTCTAGTCTAGTGATCACTGTGTGTATTTTTGCCCTAGTACTTCACCCATTTACTTATTGCCACTTTATTTCAGCCTGAAGTATCCTATACGCATCCATGTTATTATTTTTAAAAAATTTCCTTGCTTTTTTTTGCTTTTCATTTTTCTAGACAACATTTATAATCAATTTTGCTTACAAAATTCTATTGGAAGTTTGAGTTGCATCAAATTCATAAATTAGTTTGGCAAAAACGTACATCTTCTTAATATTTCTTTTTAGATATGGAATATACTGTATTTCTCCATTTGTTCAAATATTTTCTATGGTGCTCTCTTGGGCTTATGGATTTAATTATTTGAGCCTGACAGACTTCTTGTAAGATTAATTTCCAGGTACTCAGTTTTAAAATTGTGAATAGAATTCTTTTCCCATTGTTTCTCTAACTGTTAATGCTGATATGTAGGAAAACGACTGCTTTTTATGTTCCTATTAAAATTTTTTTAAAAATTAGTATAATTTTACATTATTTTTCTTAGGTAAGCGATGATATCAAATTTGAATAATGTCAAAATTTCACCTTCCTTTTCAAAAATTATATGTGAATGTGTGTGTGTGTGTGTGTGTGTGAGTGTGTGTGTATTATATATATAGGGAGAGAGTTTTCCCTCCTTTTATTTTGTTGTGGATCTGAGGGCATGCTGGCCACAGTAAGCTGCCTTGTCTTTTCCATTGTTTCAGTGAGAATGCTACCAGATTTACTGTTAGGTATTTATTGTTAGGTAGGTATTGGCTACTGGCTTTGAGTAGGTGTTTTTAATCATGTTAAAGAAGCATTTTTCTTTCCTAGTTTATTATAAGTTTTAGCAAATGTCTTTTTAGCATCTATTGACATAAGCATAGTCCTTTTTTCTCTTTATTTCACATATCATTTTTGCATCTGTATTCATAAAAGACATCTGCGTCTAGTTCCCTTTTTAGTCTGTCTTTGCTTGTGTCTCTAGGACATGCTGGCTTTGGGAAATGAATTATTGGGAAACATGCCACCTTTTTGTGTTCTCTGGAAACACTTATCTAGCATGGAAATCATCTGTTCCATGACAGTCTGAAAACCCAGCCTGTGAAAATGTCTGTGGCTGGAAACTTGTGAGAAATAATTCTTCAACAACATTTTCAATTTCATACATGGCTTTTCATTTATCGCTTATTGATTCAATTATGGTGACTCTTTTTTCTTAGACAAGAAAAGAACACACATTGTTTAAATATCAACGTCAAGAATGAAACATACTGATTTTTCTTATATAAATTGAGTTGATTGGCACACTTATTTTCTTTTACTTTTCCTTCTAGCTCCTGTGTATCTTTTTTCTCTCATACTGTCACTGGGCTGTCTTTTACATGAAATGTTTTCATTTTTGAGAATTACATGTGACAGATGAATGAAATTTATAACAATTATTTAGAGTTGTTTGAGTAAACAATTTTGATTCCCTTTGTCAAATTTTTATGTCGTGACTTCCATCTTTGAAGGATTAAAAAAAATCTTTTTGTTGATGGCCTAGAGCACATTTCTGAGGAAAGATGTGGATATCAGTTCTGCAACCTTAGCTGGGTATGGAATTTTGGAGTCAGAAACTTTCTTTTTAACTTTGAAGTAGTCGCTTCACTATTTTCTAATCTTTAAAGTTGTGTAAGAAAAATTGAGTCCAGGCTGTTACTTATTTCTTAAAGGAAAACGATTTTTGCTATTTTATTGTTAACTCTATGTTTAACATGTTGATAAACTGCTAAAATGTTTTTAAAAATGCATACACAATTTTACATTCCCACCAGGAATGCATGATGGTTGAATTTCTCCACATCCTCGTCAATGCTTGTTATTGTCTGCAGTTTTTACTTTAGCCATCTTATTTGGATGTGAAGTGGTGTCTCATTGTGGTTTTGATTTGCGTTTCTTGATGACTAATATGTTGATCATCTTTTCATATACTTATTGGCCCTGTGTATATCTTCTTTGGACAGATGTGTATTGAATTCCTTTGCCCAGTTTTTTGGTTGTCTTTTCACTATTGAGTTAAGAATTTCTTATGTATTCTGGATACTAGATCTTTGTTAGATATGTAATCTGCAAATCTTTTCAACTTTGTTTTTTAGAGTCAGGGCATCACTCTGTCATCCAGGCTGGAGTGAAAGCGGTGTGATTATAGTTTACTGCAACTTTGAACTCCTGGGCTCAAGCAATCCTCCTGCCTCAGCCTCCTGAGTAGCTAGGACCACAGGCACATACTACCATGCCTGGCTAATTCTTTTTAATTTTTAGTAGAGACAAGGTCTCACTATATTGCCCAGGCTGGTTTCAAACTCCTGGGCTCAAGCAATCCTCCTGCTTCGGCCTCTTGAGTAGCTACGACTACAGGTGTGCATCAACACACCTGGTTAATTTTTTTCTCTTGAGAGACAGGGTTTTACTATGTTGCCCAGAATGTTCTCAAACTTTGCCCTCAAACAAGCCTCCTGCCTTGGCCTCCCAAAGTCCTGGGATTATAGGCATGAGCCACCACCAATTTCTTGATAGTGTCTTTGAAGCACAAGAGTTTTTAATAAAGTTCAGTTTATCTATCTTTTTTTCTGTTGTCACTTATACTTTTGGTATCATATCTAGGAAACAATTACCCAATACAAGATCATAAAGATTTACTCCTATGTTTTCTACTAGGAATTTTATAGTTTTAGTTCTTACGTTTATTTCTATGATCCATGTGGAGTTAATTTTTGTACCTGATGTAAGGTAGGAATATGCATTTATTCTTTGCATGTGGATATCCAGGCTTGAAAATACTATTCTTTCTCCATTGGATTGTCTTGGTGCCATTGTTGAATATCAACTGACCATAGGTGTAAGGATTTATTTCTGGATTCTTAATTCTATTCCATCGAACTGTATGTCTACACGTAGGTCAGTACCTCACTGTATTGATTACTATAGCTTTGAATTAAGTTTTGAAATTGGGAAGAGTGAGTCCTCAAACTTTGTTCTTTTTCAAGATTTCAGATAAAAAATACAATATTTACAGAATGCAAAACTGATGTATATGGAGGGCTGACTTTTTGAATAAGCAGATTCTGCCAGGTCAACCGCTGGACTTGAGTATGCACAGATTTTGGCACATGTGGGGTCCTGGAACCAATTCCCTACATATACCAAGGGACAACTGAACTTTTTTTTTTTAAATCTTTTTACTTTCAACCTATTTGTGTCTTTAAATCTAAAGTGTCTCTTGTAGACAGCGTATAGTTTGATCATGTTTTTAAATTCATTCTGTCAATCTTTGCCTTTGAATTCATTTGTTTCATCCATTTACATTTAATGTAGTTATTCATAAGCTAGGATTTACAGCTGCCACTTAGCTATTTTCTGTATCTTATGTCTCTTTTGTTTACCTATTCATCCATTATTGCCTTCTTTTGTGTTAAGTGGATATTTTGTAGTTACCATTTAAATACCCTTGTTTCTTTTACTACATTTTTTTCAAGTTGTCATCTTATTGGTTGATATGGTAATTAAAATTAACATCTTAACTTATAATTATCTAATTAATATTAATACCAATTAATTTCAATACTAAATAAAACCTTTGTTCCTACATAGCCCCGTTCCATCTCCCTTTCATTGTGCTATTATTTCATACAAATTACATGCTTATAAATATAAGCCTGTAAACATAGTTTTATAATTATTACTTTATTCAGTAGTCATTCATACTAGATTAAAGTTACAAACAGAAAAATACTCATTCTTTTAAATTTTTACCAAAGTGGTTATCTTTACTATTTTTTTATTTCTTCATGCGATTTCATTTACTGTCTGGTATCCTTTTACATCAGCCTGAAGGACTTCCTCTACTTAATTCAAGTAAGGAATGTCTGATAGCAATGAATTACCTCCATTTTTCTTTACCTGGTAATATCTTTATTTTTCCTTCGTTTTTCCACATTAAAAAATGTTTGCTGGGTAAACATTTTATTTTGGAATTTTAAACATACCCAAAAAGAATTTTATTACTAAGTCTTAAAAAAATAACATCCACATTTTCTTGAGTTTTGTTGAGTTTGAAACAGATGCTGCCTGAAAATTACTTGTATTTTCTACAGAAATGCTGTGTGCTCATTTCTTCTCTTTCTCTTATATGGCCATAAAGTTTGCAGGTATTTGCGTTAGTTAACTCATTGCAGTAAGCTGTATTACTACACATCCATTTCCAGTGTCCTTTCTGGGAGAGGATTATATCTCCCTGCCCCTAAAGTCAGTCTTGTCCCTGTGAATTGGTCAAGAAAGTTTGAACAGAACTAATAGGTGTCATTTCTGGGTGGACACTGTAAAAGCCGACCTGAGCTTCACCATGCTCTGTTTGTCCCTTGTCATTCATCTGCCCATGCTGTAGATAGTGGCTTGGGTCCCAGAGTGAGGATGAAAGTGACACTGAGTGGAGATCCCAGGTAACCTGCATGGGGAGGAGAAATGGACCTTCATTGTTGCAACTTTTTTTAAACATAATTTTTAATAGAAAATCATTTCCAAATGGTTCAAAAATTAAGAATAAAAATATGCTAAAAAGTATGCAGTCTCCTTCAGTCTTTATCTCCATCTTCTCAGCGCCGTCTTATCCCATGCCTAGGAACCGTGATCATTAATTATTTAATGTATATTTCCAGAGGGTGTTTATGTGTCTATGGCAAATATGCCACCCACATGCTCACACACAGATCTTCACCTATTGTTAATTGACAGATGCACCATCCCACTGTGCTGCATATGGCTTCTTAAATTTAATATACCTTGAAGATCTGTATATATTAATATTTTTATTTATTTTACAGTTATCTAGCATTTCATTTATGGTTGTGTAATCATTTATTCATGAAAGTGTTGGCCAGGTGCAGAGGCTCACGCCTGTAATCCCAGCACTTTGGGAAGCTGAGGCGGGCGGATCGCTTGAGGCCAGGAGTTCGAGACCAGCCTGGCTGACATGGTGAAACCTTGTCTCTACTAAAAATACAAAAATTAGCTGGGCGTGGTGGTGCATGCCTGTAGTCCCAGCTACTCAGGAGGCTGAAGTGGGACAATTGCTTGAACCCATGAGGCAGAGGTTGCAGTGAGCCGAGATCGCGCCACTCCACTCCACCCTGGGCAACAGAGCAAGATACCATCTCAAAAAAAAAAAAAAAAAGGCAAAGAAAGTGTTATTCTTGAAATCTTGAAATTTCACCACAAGAGCATGTTAAGAATAGATGCTCCTCTTTTCATCCTTTCAGGCACTTTGGAGACTCTCTCAATCTCATGTTTCATGCTTTTTTTCCAACTCCTGAAAATTTTATCTCATTACTTAAAGAAATATTTCATCAGCTCCTGTCTTGGTTTTCTCTTTTATGCAACTCTTATTGCAAAATACTCTGGATTGATTCATTGTCTTGAATTTTTCCTCATATGTTATCTTTTTCTTTTTCTTATGTTTTGAATTTTTCCTGAGCTCTGTCTTCTAGAAAATCAATTAAATCTTCAGCAACATAATCTTTTGTTTTTAAGTTTTTCAGATCTTCTGCCTCTGTCTCTGGGTGCTAACCCCCTGGTGGGAGATTCCTGTCTTCCTGCGTGCTTGGTTTTATTTCTGTAGCTCTTTGGCTTGATCCTGGGGGCGGCCCTACTGCTGCGAGTGACTGCAGGTGGGAAGGAGTGGTTTTGGGATTGCAGAGACATTCCTTCAATTAACCAGCCAGATTTCAGCCTCATGGTCCCACAGCTCAACCTGCTTGCTGGAGCCCTGTGCCCTGGCAGGAAGAGGGGCTGCCACCCTCACTGCTCAGCTGTGGTTCCTGCAGCCAGTGATCATCTGCCACAGCCTGCCTGTCCTGTGATCCCGCCTACGTTCCGTCTTCTGGAAAGCCACCTGACTATCTGGTCTGCTTAAGGCTCCCATGCTCGCTGCTTTGCTCTGTGTGGATTAATGTACTTTGGTGAATTCTTATTGTCATGCCATAAAATTTAGAAAGAAAACAAGGAAAATCCATCTGCTAATTCTGCTATTTTGAAAGGAGAACTCAGTGGGGAAGGGTTATTGGCAGAGACAGAGGGAAACAGGCATTTGGACAACAGGGAATTGCCTGGACTTTGATGGGAACAGGGAGCTTGCTCGGACTTCAGGGCTGGTGGCTGCTCACTCATCAGAATGACACCTTCCTCTTGGGGGAGGGAAGTCGTTAGAGGGCCCTGCAGGTTGGGGTGGAGAGGACCCAAACGCAGGTTCTACCCTGGCCTGGATCAGAGCCTGTCACCTCTAATGGCTAACGTTGTCTCTTTAGTACCGTTTACCCAACTCCACATGATGGCTAACATTGTCTCTTTAATATCCTTTACCCAACTCCACATTATGAAGATTCTGCCTAGAGAATAAGTGGTTGTTCTGCTTACCTGGTAACATGTGTACCCAGATCCACACTATCATGGGCCCTCACAGCTTCCCCTGGATATATGGCAGGTAAATTAGTTAATTATTGTTTTCAAATTGGCATGCAATTCAGGCTTTTGATTTATAACTTAATTGTACTGCCTTAGGTAACTTCCAATTTTTAGCTAGATCCATTTGAATAAACTTAGTGTTCTATCTCAGTATGTTCTATCTCAGGAAGATTAAGAAGTAAGCTGGAGAGTTTAGTAGCTTTATAACAATAGCATAAAATGTGGAATAATGAACTGTAAATGTGTCTAATTACATAAATAATGCATTTGTGTAATTGTCAAGGGGGTGTACTAATGAATCAATTATTTTTAATTGTAGGATGCTTGATTGTTTCAGAAATATAATTGATTGTAATCAAGAATCAATTAAATGTTGATAGTAATTATGTTTATCAGGCTTAAATACATGACATCATTACACTATAACTGCTTCAGGAAGAAGAAACTAGAATGAGGTTATTATAAGTGAAGGAGAAATAGTTCATGTTTATATCAACAGCTTTGCAGTCGTAGGACTGCACAGTAATGAGGTAAAAATGAGGAACACACACATTCTTCAGGGCTTATCAACGAAGGCTGATGAGGGCCGGCTCCCCCAGCTGGGAGCCTTCACGCCCCCACCGCAGAGCAGGTTCCACCCGTGGTACGTCGGATCAGGGACCACACTTGCGCTAGAGTTGTGGGCGTGGCCAGGCCTTGCCTATGTTGCTTTCGGGGAAAACTATGTTGCTGGGATCCTATGACTTCTCCGCGTGGCACTTGTCTTGCTATTCTGCCCAAGTTGATGTGAGACCCCTGACTCTGCCCAGTGCACCACGGGTTGTCTAAATGTTACAGAAATGAATGCCACTATGTGAGGGCCTGCTGAAGTCACTGGTCTGCAAGCTTCTCCAGGGCTTGGGGGCTGTGTCTCGTTCATATTTGTACTCCTGCTGCCTGCCACATAGTTGCCCTTACGGAACGTTAAGTGAATAAATAAAAGTGGTTGTGATTCAGTAGCTCCTTAGGATGCTGCTCCTGGGTGGCTACTGTTGCTCTCTGTTTAACAATTGTTGACTTACCCACACTCTCACCCATTCACTCACTCATTCAATATTTATTGAACACTTATAGAAACATTCAATGATATTTATATGTGCCAAGATCTGTTCCAGAAGTTTAGGACTTGTTATTTAACATGGTTAGATGGTCCTTGTCCATGTGGAGCTGATGGTAGGTAAGAGAGGCAGGTACCAGAACCATCAGTGCAATCGGAGGTGACAAGTGCTCCTGGGTGGATGGTGCTGGATGCACACGGCACAGGCACAAAGAGGGACTCGAGTCTGGTCCTGCAGGCAGGACGGAAGAGGGCACAGTTACAGCTCTGGAGATCTGGGAGGGAGCCAGGCCTGAAGGGCTAAGGCCTAGAGGCTCCTGTGTGCCGAGGAGTGAAGAGAACTGGTGTAGCGAAGGCCCCTGTGGGCTGCTCCTTGGAGAGGGTGTCAGGAAGGAGTGTACCCAGTGAGACTGTATGCCACCAGGTCTTCAAGCTGAACACAGCGGGCAGACTTCAGCCCTTATTTTCCTGGGTCCCTGTTTCCTTTTCCCTGAGGGGCCACTAATTCTTTCCTCCCTTCTTCCAGGTCCTCTCCTCTTGGCTCTGTGACACCATCTCCCATTGCTCTGTTTCACTTCTCTCCTCCCACACCCCCTGCTGATACGGTTTGGCTGTGTCCCCATCCAAATCTCATCTTGAATTGTAGCTCCCATAATCCTCATGTGTTATGGAAGGAACCTGGTGGGAGGTAATTGAATCATGGGGGCGGGTCTTTCCCGTGCTGTTCTTGTAACAGTGAATAAGTCTCGTAAGATCTGATGGTTTTATAAAGGGCAGTTCCCCTGCACACACTCTCTTGCCTGCCACCGTATAAGAGGTGCCTTTGCTTCTCCTTTGCCTTCCGCCATGATTGTGAGGCCTCCCCAGCCATGTGGGACTGTGAGCCCATTAAACCTCTTTCCTTTATAAATTACCCAGTCTAGGTATGTCCTTATAGCAGCATGAGAACAGACTACACCTGCCCTGCCCAGTCTCCTTTGCTGGCTCTCCCGCCGCTGGAGTCACCCCAAAAGCGGCAGCAGGAAAGTTCAGCAAGGTTTATTGAAACTTGTGCTCAGAGGGTCCTAGTGTCCTTGCGAGGCACAGTGAGACCAGACGCTCTGCCCAGTTACGCCTGCCGTGAGGGCGTTGGGCTGAGGAGGTTACGGGGGGTTTGAGGACTCTGGTCCGGGGCTGGGGCTAGTTCCTAGGTGTTTCACAACACGGTTGATTTCGCAGTGTTCGGAGCAGCCACCTACACAGCTTTCGCAGTGCCTGGGAATCAAATAGTCCCAGCTTGGGTTCACGCCTGTGGGTAAAACTTGCAGCTGCCAGGGCCACAGAGGGATCAAGGACCCTGTGCTTCCCTGGCAGAAGAAAACTAGGGGTCCTGGGGGCCCTTCCCTCCTCTTCAGCAGTGTCCAGCCTGGCCTCTGTGATTCCCTCTGCATGCACAGCCCACAGCAGTCTTCCTGCTGGCCCCGGAGTCTTCCTCTCAATGACCTGGCCCCTGAGTTCCCGACCCCTGAGCTCCCCCACTCTGCCTGGTGGTTCCTGTCCCACGTTCCAGTTGCTGCCTCAGTGACAGACACGCCTTTGTGCCGTTTTCCGTGTCCCGTCCCTGTGCTTGGAGAGCAGCTGCTGCATCTTTCCGTGACTCTTCTAAGATTTCGCTGTTGTTTGTGTTAGCCTGAGGTTCCTCCAGGAGAGCTACTATCTTTTAAAAAATCAAAGTAAAAATAGAAGCAGTGAACATTTACGCAGCGTCCTAAATCATCCTGTTCTAAATGCTCTGCATATATTAATTAATGGAATCCTCTCATCAAACCCATAAGGAAAGTACCATTATTATCCTGGGTTACAGATGGAGAAACTGAGGCACAGGGACGGTAACAAAAGCCCTGCTAGTGAGTGGCAGATGGAGATGGACGGAGGCAGTCTGGCTTCAGAGTCTGGGCCCCCACTCACAGGGGGGTCAGGATGTTGGGGTCCAATATGAGCATTGTAAGTCATTTTTTTCCACGGGTAAGCCCTGTAGTGTGCCATATTTACACTTCCTTTCTCAGACAGTACTTTCCTTTCCTAGAATCACTCATTTTTATTTATTCATTAGTTGTCTATAAATGCCCCCAAAGTCTCCTGTGACACAAGCACCACAGCTGGTCCTCCAGCTTCTCTTTCTTCACAGTGCACATCTCCCAGGGGCTGTGCCCTCCTCCTGTGGTCGCCACGCAGCTGTCCTGGGCTGGTCTCACCTCCCCCTGGGGGTCTCTTTCCTCTGCTGGCCTTTTCTTGCGTCCCACAACCACTGTTCTCTTGCTTAGTCCCTACTTCTGGTGGCCGCATTTCCAGGGGCTTCATGAATTAGGGTGCACGGGAGGTAAAGGTTTTGAGTTTTTGCTGTTTAAAACTTGAATAAAACTTAGTCTGTAGATATACAACTCTAGATAGGGCTTCATTTTCCTTCTGGAATTTTGAGGGATTGTTTTGTTATCTTCCAATTTCTAACATCACTTTTGAGACATCCATCACATCTGTTCTTTTGTGCAGAACCTTTATTTTTTCTGTATGCTTTTTATGGTAATAATACAAAACATATTAAATGCATACTTATGTGTCAGATACGCTCTAAGTCTTTAAATGTATTAATTTAATATTCAGAGTAACTCTACAAAGTAATAATATGATCATTTCCACTTTTCTGATTAAGAAAACACGCACGCACCTGGGACACAGAGCAGACGTGTAACTAGTCAAGCTCCCCGTGGTCTGAGTGGAGGAGCTGGGGGTTCACACCAGGCAAAACCATGCTGAGGCGCCCATCACCCCATCCTGGCCCCTTCCCAGCTGAAGCTCTGAACCTTCACACGATGGGTTTGGAGGGGCTGTCTCCTCCTGTGGGCCCTGGTGGGTGCTATCCATCTGGAATCAACATCCTTCCCGGGGCGATCATGGCTTCCATCGTTTCTTTGGTAATTTCCTTCTCTCCGTTTTCACTTTTCTCTCTTCCTGGGGCTTCTGCTTTGTGGGTATTGAATCTCCTGGATGGAGACTCTGATTTTCTTATGTTCTCAGTCTCATTTCTTGCTTTTTGTTTTGTTCTGCTTTATAGTCTAAACTTATTATTTTATTTTTAGAGTTTATTTTTCTACTTTGAATTCTCGAGGTTTTTTTTTTCCTTTTTTGGAATGTTCTTTTATTCATAGCATACTGCTCCATGTTCTGTTCTTTAATTTCTGAGCAAATCAACTATCGTTCCTTTTTAAAATGTTCTTATGCTCCCGTTGTTTCTTTCTGAGTTGCTGTTTTGTTTGCGTGTGCTGGGTTTGTCTCTGTGTTGGAGATTTCCCCCATGTGCCTGGTGATAATGGGCAAGTTCGCCCACGTTTGTGAGCGTTAGCACCTACTACAGGCTTTGTGTGCACGGGTGGGGCTTGCTGCGTTGTGAGCTTTGTTCTAGGATACTGGGAAGGGGAGCCAATGGTTGCAGTGTGAAATTCCCAACTGACAGAATCTGCAGGTCTTTTTCCTTGGGCTAGTCAATTTCCTCAGAAAAAAATTCTCCAGACTTCGGCCTGGGTTGTAAACCTTGGCGTTAGCATTCTGGAAGTGGGGTTGTCCAGTCAGCATCTGCCATCTTTTCCCTCTCCTGGCCACTTCTTGCAAAATTTAGTCCTAAAGACATTACATGGCATTGAGCAAGGTGGGTGTCCATGCAGAGTGGGGCTGGAGGGAGTCCAGGAGCTCAGAGGAGGGCAAGGAGGGTGCCCATGGAGGGAGGCGTCAGGGGTGTTCCAGTCCAAGCAGAATTGCCTGCTGTAAATGTCTGTCCTTTGCACAGCAGGAAGCAGACTGAATAGCAGCAGCCCCGTGGATCTCCTAAGGATTCAGTGGTTATTAACTGTCTCCTCTAGTGACTGGCTGGGCACCCTGGAGGTTCAAATCCTCACTGAGAGTCAGTATCCTTATCGGCAAAATGAGCGGGTCCCAGGGCGTGCACTGAATGTCCCCACTGGCTCCTAGGACACATGGTGACGTGAGGAGGGCGGCTGAGTGAGTATGAGTTGGTCTCAGGCCCTCTATGTTCTTTGTAAATAACCGCACAGGTGTCTTCAGCCTCAGCCTCTTGGTGCTGCCTACCACCTTAGTAATTCAAGGAATTGAAGCTGGTTTTTTTTTTTGGTTGGTTGTTTGTTTTTGAGGTGGAATCTCACTCCGTTGCCCAGGTTGGAGTGCAGTGGCATGATCTTGGCTCACTGCAACCTCCACCTCCCAGGTTTAAGTGATTCTCCTGCCTCAGCCTCCCCATTGGCTGGGATTACAGGTGCCTGCCACCACGCCCGGCTAATTTTTTGTGTTTTTAGTAGAGATGGGGTTTCACCATGTTGGCCAGGCTGATCTTGAACTCCTGACCTCAGGTGATCTACCCGCCTCGGCCTCCCAAAGTGTTGGGATTACAGGCCTGAGCCACCACAACCAGTCTGTTTTTTTGTTTGTTCTGTTTTTTTGCTTTTTGTTTTTTTTTTTTTTTAACAGTGGTATATTTCCCCCACCCCCAGAGGGCAAAATCAAGTGCAGTTGAAACCTCTGAGCCATGTCCACTTCCACTCCACCCATCAGGCTGTGGAGGCTGTTTGGCAGCCTCCAGACTCGCTTATCTTCCAGGCCGTCTTTGCACAGACATCTGTCCTGGGCGACCTGGAGCATCACCCTGCGTCATGGCAGCTGGGGCAGGGTCTTGTCTGCTCCCAGGTTTTGCTCCATCACAGGGCCTTGTTCCTTTACTGCCTGGCTCCGCACTGGGCTCTGGATCCTTGAACGCAGGGGCCACATGTGGCTTTCCATGCTGGCAAGAGTTGTAGAAAAGGACTTGTGACATGAATGAATCCCTGAGAATATGTGAGCTCAGCTTCTGCTGAGGTGGCCCAGGGACAGCCGAGGGGCAAGTGCTTGTTAAAATTCCAATTTTTTTTGGCCTTGTGTCCAAACAAGTGAGTCAGAATCTCAGCTGTGCAGAGCTTGCATTTATATATGATTAAAACCAACTAGTATTTGAGAGCATGTGGGTTAGTTAGGAAGAGCTGCTCCCAGATGGCTCACACCTGATTCTTTGAGTTTCTGCTAAGAAATGGGTCCATGTGGCTTTAAGCACCAAGAAGTGCCAATGCAAAGTCCACTGTTGAGTGAGTGAGCGAGAGAACACTTACACAAACAAATGCAAAGACACATACGCACCTGCACACACATGCACACAATATGCACACACATGCACATAACATGACATGCATACACACATGCACACAATATGCACACACATGCACACAACATGGCATGCACACACACATGCACACACATGCACACAATATGTACACACATGCACACAACATGGCATGCACGCACGCACACACAATATGTACACACATGCACACATGACATGCACACACAGGCACACAATATGTACACACATGCACACATGACATGAACACAGGCACACATGCACATAATATGTACACACATGCACACAACATGACATGCACACACATGCACACACATGCACACAATATGTAACACATGAACACAACATGACACACAATATGTAATACATGCACACATGACATGCATACACACATGCACAAACATGCACACATAGGTACACACATGCACACATGAGATACACGCGCACACAATATGTACACACATGCACACAACATGATGTGCATACACACATGCACACACAATATATACACACATGCACACAATATATACAGACATGCACACATGATGTGCATACACACAAATGCAAACACACGCACACAATATGTACACACATGCCCACATGACATGCATGCACACATGCACACAATATGCACACACAGGCACACAACATAACATACACACATGCACACAATATGTACAGACATGCGCACAACATGGCGTGCATACACACAAATGCATACACAAGCACACAATATGTACACACATGTGCACAACGTGACATGCATGCACACATGCACATACAGACACAATATGTACACACATGCAAACACGCATACACAAATGCACACACAGAATATGTACACACGTGCACACAACATGACATCCAATCACACACACCTGATTGGATATGGAGTAAGTTGTGGTCAGAGTAAGGTGAGGTTGGTCAGAAAAAGCTTCCAAATGGAGTAACTTCGTTGGTGTGATTTTTCTGATCTTGAACGCATTGCCTCAGGTAGGTGGAGAGGGCAGACCTCTGAACTGAGCAGGAACCTGCAGGAGCTTTTGCTCTGTCACTCAGGTACTGCTGGTTCCCTTCCCAGCGGCGCTTTTCTTTCCACCTTTTCCCGAACACACAGGCCTGGATGGTTCATGCTGGACGTCATGTTAAAGCCTGGCCTGTATTTTGGATTCTCCTGACCCTACAGTATGCGTTTCTGGCCTTGTTGCTTCTCCTGGTTTTGGTGCGGGGTGCCTGTTCTGAAAGTGCGGTGCCGGGACTGCTCGTGTGTCCTGTGCAGTCAGCCCGGGGTCCACAGCGCCCTCCCATCAGCTCTCGGATATACTCAGGGTTCATGTGGCACTTCTTTTGTCTTCCAGGAAGGTTTTGGGCACAGGAGGTAGAGGTCCATGAAGCAGGTTCTGGTCACGGTCTGAGAGATGTGGCAGGTGAGCCCTGGGGCCCACTGGGGTCTTGCTATGGGGTGAGTGCCTGGAAGAGCCTGGCGCTGCCTGGCCCGGGAGGGCAGGGCTCAGTACCTGGGGGCTCGGGCTGCCTTGAGAGGAAAGTGGGTTTGACTGAGGGTATGTAAGGGTGAGTGTTCAGGCAGGGGAAAGGGCAGCACATGGCCCCACGCTCTGGAGGCTTTGATATGATGTCTGGCTGTGGGATGGAGAGTGTGGGACCATGGGGTTCCTGGGGTACGAGGAGACTGTGTGTCTCTTAGCGTCTGTGTAGCAAGGCTGCACTCTTCTGTCCACCTGGGACCCAAGAATGCCACGAGGTGGGAGGGGACAACCAGTGTATCCAGGGCCTTGAGATGGCCTGGAGCATGGGCAGGGCCTGGCTGGACAGATAGGGGCAGCCCCCGCAGCTGTGCAGGCCTGAGGGGCCGAATTATCCAGCAAATGGAGGGGATGTGTCCTGGCAACACCTCTCAGTGCGAGGATGATGCGCAGGGCCCCGTCAGGATGCCAGGCCTTCATGGGCAGGTGAGGCTGTCGTGGGCAGGTGAGGCCATCGCAGGCAGGTAAGGCCATCCCGGGTAGGTGAGGCCATTGTTGGGTGGTGGACAGTCCTGTGCCAGTGCCTGCCTGGAGAAGGCGAGGGCAGTGGGACTGCGACAGGGTCTCTGAGAGGATGGAGGAGCAGCGTGGAGCCGGGCGCCATGGCCCTAAACGCTGGTGGTGCTGGCTCGGGAGGAATGAGACCTTGGCACCATGCAGCCACATTCCTGTTGGAGCCATGCTAGCGATTTGGAGAAGAATCCATGTGTGTAACTGAATAGCTGAGTTGGAAGCAGATGATTGAGGGTCTTATCAGGAGTCTGGTGAAGCTGCCCTTGCCTTTCCTTCCACACTGAGCAGACCAGATCTTTCTGGGAGTTGATATGTTGAGAATAATACATGTAAACCCATTTTAAACCCATTTTTCAAGAGCAGGAAAAGGCGTAAGTCATACACTGTGAGGCCACCTGAAGAAGACACGTACGTGTAAATAAAATGCAAATAACGAATCCTGAGAGCTCCCCTGCAGGAACTGTGGGACCCCTGCTTCACAGCTGAGCCCCGAGGCTGCTGCAGGGCTGACCCCAGGGGCGGGTGAGGGATGCTGGCGAGTGGGGCTGTGGGGCCCTTTCGGGGTTCCTGCCCTCCGGGCCCCTCCTCGGTCTGGCCAGGGTCTCTGCTGGGACAGGCCTTGTCTGGACAATCATAGAATTCCCGAGACCCTCTGAGGTGGACAGGGCTTGGCAGACCTGGGTCTAGTGGCTGCTGCCCTGAGGCCTCCCGGGTCTCTTTGCAAGTGGAAGTGGAGCGGAGAGGGGTGGCGGGCCTGCTCTCCCTGAGGCTGCGCTGCTCTCTCCAGCCCTCCCTCTCCAGCATTCACTCACCCCCAGGCTTCCCCTTGTCTTGCCTCTGCTGTCTCTGCCTTTCCCCTCGATCTCCCTCTTTCCTTCTTCCCTTCTCTATCCATGGTCTGGTCTTTTCTTTCCCCGTCTTTTTTAAACTGAGGTGTAAATAAGTGAAGAGACTGTCTCTGAGATTCCAGTGCCCTATCTCTAGAGAGAAGACCCTCCTTCTGCCCGTCCTTTCACCCTCCTTCCGCCTGTCCTTTCAGCATCCAGCCACTTGGTGGGGGCGGCTTTTGCAAAGTGGGTCTGTCAGCGCCTCACCCCCGCCCCAGCGTAGCTCTCTAGGTGTGCAGGAGTCAAACACAGCCACGATAGGTAGGCAAATCCTCACGCGAGTTCACAGGAAAGGCCTTCCTTTTCTTGCATTGTGTAAGCTTTCAGCTGCCAAGAGTTGGATGTGCCGACGTTTTTTGATGGTACGCGCACTAGACACAGGCATGACACATCAAGTGGAATTCACAGCCAGGATTTTCCAGAGGGGGCTTATTACTGGTGGGTGCCTGTAAGGAGAGGTGGGATGGCTTCTCCGCAGCAAGACGTTCCGGATGAGTTCTTTAGTTTTCGTGAGGGGATATCGGCCGCCTCCCTCAGTGCCACTGCTAATAAAGGCATAGACTCCTGTTTTCATGAACAGCACAGAAACCTGCACCCCAGATTCTTCTCAGCAAACAGGGGGTACTCAGGGCACCCTAAAGGTGGATGGAAACCATCTCGGGTGGGGGGAGTGCCGAGCTGCCCACGACCTGCACCCCACGTTCTTCTCAGTGAGCAGAGGGTACTCAGGGCACCCTAAAGGCTGATGGAAACCATCTTCGGGTGGGGGGTGCTGAGCTGCCCACGACCTGCACCCCAGATTCTTCTCAGCAAGCAGGGAGTACTCAGGGCACCCTAAAGGTGGATGGAAACCATCTCGGTGGGGGGAGTGCCAAGCTGCCCACGACCTGCATCCCAGATTCTTCTCAGCGAGCAGGGGTACTCAGGGCACCCTAAAGGTGGATAGAAACCATCTCCAGGTGGGGGGTGCCGAGCTGCCCCCCACCTGCGCATCCAGGTCAGCACTTCCTGATGCAGAAGGTAAAGCATCCTTCATGATCTCAAAAACCTTCAGTACCCCGACCCCAAAGCCCCACTTATTGCTGGCCACGTTTTAACATTTGTTGATTGAGAATAAAGCATAAAGGAAACTAAAACCATCGTGCATTTATTTATAGTTTTAAAATGGATTTTTATTTTATAAAATGCAGCAGCCTCTGTGCATACCTGGAAACAGCCCAGTATTGAGTCTATAGCGAATTCTTAGGATCACATGGATTCGTGGGACCCTCGCGATAGCTCCATGGTTTCCCAGGATGTGACTATCCATGAATTCTGTAGGGTGGAATCTGTTGCTCTGGATCTTTGAAATGTCTCCCTAAACTCGGCCTTGTAGGAGGATAGGCCATTACATTCAGTGGCAAAAACTGCAATTACTTTTGCACCAACCTAATATATACATTTTCTCTCTATCTTTCCTTCCGTACAGAAAACTTCCCCTGCTGAATTGC
The DNA here is from genome assembly GCF_000001405.40 of Homo sapiens. NCBI lineage: Eukaryota > Metazoa > Chordata > Mammalia > Primates > Hominidae > Homo > Homo sapiens. The sequence continues at coordinate 3,106,501 of NC_000002.12, read as the reverse complement.
ACTCTGTGCGATCCATGGGTCCCAAGGGGCCACAGGAGGTGCCCTGGAACCTGCCTCCAGGGAGGTTCTAGAGGACATTATTTATCACGCGGCTCAGGCGGGGCTCCTGGCTGCCAGCAATAGAAGCCTGTTCTGGCTGAGCTCAGGTGAAAAGGAGCTTCTGCAGGGATATTGGGTGGGCTTTGGTCTCCAGCTCTGACAGAGTCCTCGGTCCTGGACTCACCCTCCCACATTAAACAACCATAAAATTGGACAACATTTATGAGGCAACTGATTTCAGGTGTGAACAACAGGTAGTGCAAGACTCCAAGGAAGAGGAGGAGGTGTGCGCCCCATAGTTCCCTGGCTCTCAGCCCGGTTACAGCTTCCCTGTGGCACCACAAGCGGAAGTCCAAGGGAGCCTGGTGGGGTCCCACCGACCCAAAGATGGTCCCACTGTCCTCGGTCCCACTGAGCCGAGGCCGCAAAGATCGGAATTTGGGGAATGTCAAAGTGCTAACTGCCAGTGCCTGGGAATGTGACCTGACGTGGAACAGGGTCTTTGCAGATGCAATTCAATTGAGGTCGCCTGAATTTAGGGCAGCCCTAAATCAATGACTGGTGTCCTTAGAAGAGAAGGGAGAGGGGGGTTTGGCACAGAGACGCAGGGATGGAGGCAGAGATTGGAGTGGTACATCTACAAGGCAAGGAGAGTCAAGGGTTGCCAAGTTAAAGGAGAGGTGTGTGTGCATAGTCTCTCTCAGAGCCTCTGGGAAGAACCAGCCAGGCCAACCCCTTGGTTTTGGACTTCTGGCCTCCAGGACGGTGAGAGAGAAATATCCATCATTTTAGCTGCCAAGTTTGTGGCACTTTGTTACACTAGCCCTGGGACACGAATGCACTTCATCGCCAGGCGTGGTTTTAGATGTTATCTGCTTGGATTTGGTTCTGCTATCAAGTTACTGTTTTTATTGGCGATTTGAAGAGATTGTAAAAAACTATGTGACCACTGCTGCTACCTTCCCAGCACTGATTCGTTAGTTTCTGCTGTTGTTCACGTTGGATCCTTCTCCTTCAGGCCTTCTGCCCTTCTGTCTACTGTGGGGAAAAGAAAGAGAGATCAGATTGTTACTGTGTCTCTGTAGAAAGAAGTAGACATAGGAGACTCCATTTTGTTCTGTACTAAGAGAAATTCTTCTGCCTTGAAATGCTGTTAATCTGTAACCCCACCCCCAACCCCCTGCTCCCTGAAACATGTGCTGTGTCCACTCAGGGTTAAATGGATTAAGGGCGGTGCAAGATGTGCTTTGTTAAACAGATGCTTGAAGGCAGCAGGCTCGTTAAGAGTCATCACCACTCCCTAATCTCAAGTACCCAGGGACACAAACACTGCGGAAGGCCGCAGGGTCCTCTGCCTAGGAAAGCCAGGTATTGTCCAAGGTTTCTCCCCATGTGATAGCCTGAGATATGGCCTCAGCCCGACACTCGTAAAGGGTCTGTGCTGAGGAGGATTAGTAAAAGAGGAAGGGACGCCTCTTTGCAGTTGAGACAAGAGGAAGGCATCTGTCTCCTGCTCGTCCCTGGGCAATGGAATGTCTCCGTGTAAAACCCGATTGTATATTCCATCTACTGAGATAGGGGAAAACCGCCTTAGGGCTGGAGATGTGACAGGCGGGCAGCAATACTGCTCTTTAAGGCATTGAGATGTTTATGTGTATGCATATCTAAAGCACAGCACTTAATTCTTTACCTTGTTCATGATGCAGAGACCTTTGTTCACGTGTTCACCTGCTGACCTTCTCTCCACTATTATCCTATGATCCTGCCACATCCCCCTCTCCGAGAAACACCCAATAATGATCAATAGATACTAAGGGAACTCAGAGGCCAGCGTGGATCGTGGATCCTCCGTATGCTGAACACCGGTCCCCTGGGTCCCCTTTTTCTTTCTCTGTACTTTGTCTCTGTGTCTCTTTCTTTTCCAAGTCTCTCGTTCCACCTAACGAGAAACACCCACAGGTGTGGAGGGGCAACCCACCCCTTCTGCCTACCCTGGACTGCTGTCTCTCAGCCCGCTCCGTGGCTGTCACCCTGGGAATGAGTCTGCCACGGTCCCGGGAATCCTCTCCCTGCTCTGGGACCCTGGGTTTTCTGCGTCCTGTACTCTCTGTCTTTTGTTCATTCATTTGTTTTTTGTTTATGCTCTTTTTTGAGTCCAGTCTAAAACACTGTGTTTTTAGTCCTTGCACACCTGGAAATGGCTTTATTCTACGCAACGTGATCATTTTGCTGGCTGAAGAAATCAAAAGCTGAAGCGAGGCTCCATGGTTTTCGAGAAGCTGGTGCTGCTGAAATCCACACGCCACTCTCTTTCTTTTCTTTGCATGTGACCTGCTTTTCCTTTCTGGAAGTCTTTAAGATCTTTTATTTATTTATTTTGGTTGTTTAAAATTTTATACACAGTGGCGTGCATCCTCCCTCATTTACTCCGATGGGTACTCAGTGGGGCTTTTCAGGTGAGAAAAAATGTCTTGTATTGTTTCTTTGATCATCTCCTTCCATCCATCCTCTTTTTTGATGTTTCTATTAGTTAGATGTTGGACAGCCTGTGCTAATCCTCTACATCTTTAACATTTTCTCTGTTATTCTTCATCTCTAGCAGATTTCTTTTACTTTATTTTCCAATTTGTCCTTTGAATTTCATCTATCATCATTTTAATTTTTAAAGAACTTTCTTTTTCTTATTCTCTTGTATTCCTTAAAAAAAAAAAAGCAAATTCAATAGTTCCCTAGTCTGAGAGCATTTCTTGTATATAAATCTTTCTTCAATTTTTCTGTGTTTGTTTTATCATGTGTTTCCTCCTGATTCTGTTTCCCCTTTTGTTCTCTATTTCATGCTTGGCTGTCTGCTCATATTTAACAGCGAGGAACTAAACATTTATTGGAAGCTCCCTGTGCATGGCAGAGTTTGCCAACTGGTTGACCTCAGAGTCGGGTTATGGGGTAGTGTGACAGGTGAGTCTTAGTATCTAGAGGTGCTTTTTCCGAAGCTGTTCAGTGATTCCTAGCAAAACTCTCTGATCTATTGCTTGGGATTTAAGCCTGGTGTTAGCAGCCTACTAGCAGGAGTGTGGCAGAGGGTGGAGGGGTGGTGATGGATTTGGGAAGCAAGCTGAGGGGACAGGTTCCCAGTGTGTGGAGTTTAATTAACCCCATGGAGTCCACCTTCACCTTCACCTGGTGCCCCAGGCACAGGCCCCTGTTGTTAGATTTTCTCTAGGAAGTGTCTTTTGTTTTCTGCTCTTGGTGTGTGTGGTCTGGGGAGGGGTAGAGAATGATCTGTTGTGTGCATTTGGAGGACCCCTGGGTTATCCACCCTCTCTGTGAATTCTCACCCAATCCCCCATTCCCGATGTCGCTCCTCATCCATGCCCGCCCCAACCCCAGCTCCTTTCTGTGCACTGGTGCCCTCCAGGTCTGACTCTCCTCCCTGGGGGGAGCCAAGTGGTCCCTCCTCGGTCCCCTCGTAGCACAGCTGGGTGGTGGCCTTGGCTCGCTCCGTCCCACCTCCTATTCAGGCAGTCTTGCGTCACCTACCGCCTACAGCCCCGTTCTCTTGTTCTCTCTGCTCTTGTATGTTTACAGCTTTCTAATTCCTTCATGGCTGTTTAGTGGAGCCTGAAGGGTGGGGCCTCGTGTGGCCCGTCTGCCCTCCTTCAGGCTGTGCCGCACTGGTGCGTTTGGTGTGTGCTTGGTGAGAGTCTTTGGGTCCTGCTCGGAGGAGGCAGGAGCGTGAACGGCGCTCCCAGGGCCAACCAACGGTCTGTGGTCATCAGCAGGCCTGGAGCTGCCTGTGCAGGGTGGAGGGGGCTGTTCTGGTCTTGGCCTCACCTCCTCTGCCACAGCTGCAAGTTTAAGTGCCTAACCCATCAGGGTCAAACCCAGGGGAGTGCTTCCGCTGGCAAGAAGGCCCACACAGAGAGGCGAGCCCTGACTTCCGCTGTGCGCCCAGCACTGTGACCCAGAAGGCCGGCCCCAGCGTTGGTCCTCGCGGGACGCTTGTGTGGACCCCGGTGAGGAGCAAAGGTGAACATGCTTGTCGTGGTGCAGCACACAGTGACCTGCGGCTGATTCCAGCTTCAGCTTGTTCTCTGTAGACCAGAAAAAGGCAGCTGTGAGCAGCGTGCGGGGAGAATGGTCCCAGGGGCTCGGCCTCCCACCTGCCTGTCTCAGGACCCCAGGGCGCTCCGGACCCCAGGTCAGTGTGGGGTGAGAGGGGCACTTGTCTCTACTCCTGGCGCTGCTCTCCCCAACATGGGGGCTAGGGAGGGTTAAAGGGGGTGTGAGGTCATGTGCCCAGATGTCCCCTCCAGTGGTCTGGGCGGGCACCCTGGTGCTTGTGCCGACCCCTTGGCCCCCTATCTCTTTGCTTGTGTGTCTGTGTCCTCGTCTCCTCTTTGTGTGAGGATACCAGTCCTATTGGATCAGGGCCTACCCTGATGGCCTCATTTATCTTAGTTACTTCTTTAAAGATCCTTCTCCAAATACAATCCCTTCCTGAGGTGCTGGGCGTGAGGGCTTCGCCAGATGAGTTTCAGGGAACATGACATCGTGCTGGCTCCTCGGAGGCTGTGAGGGCGGGGTCTGCTGCTGCTCCTCTCCTGGTGGGCAGGTGGCCGTCCTCATCTTCATGGGGACATTCTCTTTGCATGTGTGTCTGTCTCCAAATGTCTTCCTTTACACGGACCCCAGTCGCGTTGGATCAGGGCCCACCCTGATGACCTCATCTTAGCTTGATTAGCTCTGGAAAGCCTCAGTCTCCAAAGAGGGTCACATTCAGATGTGCTGGAGGTTAGACTTCAACATATGCATTTTGGAGGACATAATTCAACCTGTAATAATGTCCTTTGGGAATCTGACGGAAACCAGATGCCCTCTCTCCAGAAACGCGCCGCACACATGGCTCACAGTCTGATGTAATCACAATCACAGGGAGCTCTGGGCTCCTCTGAACCCCACAGGATCCATAGGTCCCGCTCATGAGCTGACCTCCAGGGAGTGCCTGTCTTCAGCCTGGACCCACCGCCTTCTCTCCTCCACCCGCTTTGGAACGTGCCGCCGATCCTCGCCTGACACTTACCTGCTGCAGCTGTGTCCGGACAAAGCTGTCTGGGGCTTCTGAGATCTCACAGCACAGCAGCCCCAGTTGTAGTCACTTTTAACTGAAGGTACCTCCACCGCGTCCTTGGGGGTTTTGGAGGCCAGCTGTCCCTGGCTCGCAGTGGCTTTTTACCCTGCACGGAAGGCGCTGTCCCTGCTGGACACTCTCGGCTCCATCACTTCCCCGCGCTCCAGGCGGGTAGCAGGTTCCACCGGGGCCGAGAACCGGCCGGTGAATGAATGGCCCCCACAACAACCTAAAAAGGAATGGTAGATGTCTGGGTTGCTAAAACTTCTCCAGCTACTGCTGGAGTCTTCCGGGTCACCTCTCTCCTCCCACCATTTGCTGGGGCTGGCCCCATTGTCTCTTTCTCCATCCTCTGTCTGCAAAGAGCTCCTCCAGGAATCTCAGAAATGATTCCTCATTCTCCAGGTCCTTTCAGCCGAGTCTCTGTCTGCCTTAGCCTTTCTGGACCCTACCAAAGGTGAATGAAGCCAATTCCCCTTTCAAGCCCAGGAGGGCCCTGAAGGTGAGCAATTCTCAGGGAAGAAGTTGCTCAAAAACAAATACACGCAAAATTTCTTCCAGGCTGTGAGCCCCTGAGAGCAGGAGCTCAGCGTTTCTCTTTGCACGTCAGCTTCTGCCTCATTCTGGGAGGCTGGTGAATGTGTGTGGAATTGAGCCGAATCAGGAGGGCTCTCTCCCCTGGCGGTTGGGGGAGGGCGAGGACCCTTGCCTGGGTCTGCACTTCCCTCCACTGGGGCCGGGAGTCATCTGAGAAGTTGGCCCACAGGGAGAGGGCAATGGTGAGGGTTGGTCTCTGTGGTTTCCTGGAGGAGGGTGGGGAAAATCCACAAAACAAGGCTGGAGAAGCTGCGTTCTAAAGTGGAAAGGCCACATCCCCCTTCTTGAGGACTTCCGGATTGCTCACCCAAGTTATCTCTTGAGAATTTTCACCATTTGTTATAGAATGTACCATAGGAATGAAATTATTTATGGTGAAAAATGATGCTTATTAACCACGAAGGTTAAGAAAATAGCCCTCAAAAGGGAGTAAGATTTTGCCAGATTTTCTTAATGAACAGGATTATGCTTATAAAATTGCGCATTTTGCATACACATTTTAAAAAAGGAATGAGGACTTTTCAGAGTGAAATGAACTTCTTTAATTAGAAAGCATTTGCAAAAGCAAAATAGGAAATAATACCCACACTTGCAGCTTCGCCCGCATTTCCTTGCAGGGCCTAGAGCATGCGTCTAGACTGCGGTTTCTGTGGAAAAGACCTGTTGCACGGCAGCCTCGCGGCATGCGGCTGTGAGAGAAGGAAGCAGGCAACATGGTCAAGGCCAGGAGAAAGCCCTGATGTTGGTGTGCTCTGGAAGCATGCGGGAGCTGGTGTGGGAACAGGTCCCTGGGGTGGGACCCTGTGATTGGAGGCAGACGGCTCTCCGTCACTCTCAGGGATGAAGACGATGAGGCTTCAGCAGCTTGAAGGGAGAGGGATGATTGTCAAAGCATGATAGGACTGTAGCCTGGTGGAGTGGGGAGCAGGTGGATGTAAGACCACTTAGACTAGACCCAACTGGAAAAAAGACCCCAATATATGCAATGGTTCCTTGCATTAGTGGCTCTCAACTGGGGGTGATTTTACCCCACAGGGGACACTGGTGATGTCTGTAGGCATCTGTGATGATCACGGCTTCAGGGGTGCTACTGGTATCTGATGGCTGGAGGCCAGGGGTACTGTGAAACATCCCCCGGTGCACAGGACGGACCCCATGACAAAGAATTATTGTGTCTAAAATGTCACCATGCAATTGTTGAGGAATTCTGGTCTAAAATGCAGAACTCCTGATTTCCAGCACAGTGTCCTTGCTAGAAGTTTCTGCTTGACTCTGAAGGCACATATACATTGTCTATGACTTACCTGGAAAACTGTGAGTGTGAGTCATGTGCTTCTAGGTGTACTGCTGGTGCAGTAGACCATGGCAGAATCACATGCAAACAGAGAAGCAGATTCTCTCAAAGCCAAACAGTATCCCAGTCCTGAGTGGCAAACTGCCCCGCCCCAGCCCAGGGCAGACATCACCAATCAATCGTGGCATGTGGCATGGTTTGTCGTTGTGGGCACCAGATCCTCACTACATTATGGCCCACACAGACTTGGCAAGGGACAGGTACTTCCCACTCCTAGTGCACATGATGTGAATTTGTGTATGATCACCACAATGATGACCTCGCTCCCCACACCTCTGCATCAGGCAGTCATCAATACCTCTATCTTCCCTTCCATAACTCTTTTTTTTTTTTGAGATGGAGTTTTGCTCTGTCACCCAGGCTGGAGTGCAGTCGTGCAATCTTGGCTCACTGCAGCCTCCGCCTCCCAGGGTTCAAGCGATTCTCCTGCCTTAGTCTCCTGAGTATCTGGTACTATAGGTGCATGCCACCATGCCAGGCTAAGTTTTGTATTTTTAGTAGAGATGGGTTTTCACCGTGTTGGCTAGGCTGGTCCCAAACTCCTGATGACCTCAAGCAATCAGCACTCCTCAGCCTCCCAAAGTGCTGGGATCACAGGTGTGAGCCACTGTGCCTGGCCCTCATTCTTGTTTTAAAGGCTGGAAATATAAAAATACCCCAGGAAAGGGTCAAATTAACCTTTTACCCCACAATGTGAATAAAGCTATTGATTCCAGGCCCTACTGATCATTGGCTGAAACCAGAGAAGGTTTCCATACCAATCAATCACTGGCTGGAAAGTTCTGTAGATGAAGAGAAAACTCGTGTTGAGTGTGGGGCTTGGCAGAGAGGTGAGCAGGGAGAGCCTGGAGGGCTGGGGAGGTGTGGCCCCCAGGACTCAGGGTGGGTGAGACTGACAGCAGCCCCCAGGACAAACTCAGCCACATCCCCTCAGGATCAGACTTGTCTGGGGGCTCAAGGGCAGAAAGCAGGACTACAGTGTAAGCCTTGTGGTGTTGGAGTGGGGTTTCCTGTCTCCATGGGTTTGCTGAGGCTGGAGCTGCCATCACAGCCCACCCACCCGTGATGCAGGGGGAGCAGCAAGCCTTAGCAGGTCCAGACCAGAAGCTTCTCTGGGTCCATTTTCCCCTGGAAGGCAGTCATTCTAGAAAATAGAGAATTCTAGAAAGAAGTCAAGGATTCGGGGACTCCACCGATAGGTTCTGTCCGAGCTGCCTTGCAAAGGTGCCCCAGATCCACCACTCTGCATGAGGCCCTCTATGGGCTCCCTAGTCCAAGCTGTCACTGTCCCTCATCTGGACAGAGCTGTGTCCCCAGATGGTCTGTGATGGCTGCCCTTGCACCGCCTCTCCCAGTGTGTCCTCTACAGAGCAGGGCAAGCTCTCAGGTCCTGTTTTGGAACACACCACCATGCTGCCTGGTTGTCTCACAGGACTGGAAGCTGGGCCCCAGCTTGCTGGCCCCGGCGGGGCACCTGCCTGCTCTCCGTCTGTCCGTCCTGGTCATGGGGCACTTCTTCATGCTCCTGGATGGCACCCAGCCTGTCCGTGCACTAGGGTCCTTCTCTTGCTGTGGACTCTGTCTCAAAGGTTCTCTCCTCTCTGTCTTCAGCTTGTTTCTTCCATCCGCTTGAACTGACTTGGTGCTGGCTGTTCCATCTGGAACCCAGGTCATCCCCCCTTTTTTCATTCCTAGCACTTATCACTACCTGCAATTGCATTGTTTGTTTGATTGATTACTTTTTGTTACCTATGTTCCCCAATAAATCAAAAGCCCTAGGTTGGCAGGAATTCTTTTTTTCCTTTTAGTCCTGGTGACTAGGGCTGTGCTTGGCACTTAGTAGCAATAAATAAGCATTTCCTATGTGAATCACTGAATTATCATAGAGGGACCAGGAACAGAGATGCCTAAATAAATCAACCTAAACAATAAAATTTAATTAATAAGCTTAATAAACCAAAATAAGATTTTATCAATAAGTTTGGTAACTTAAAATAATCGTTGAGATGCTTAGGTGGGCAGGGATCTGCCAGATTATTTGGTTTTAAGTGGTTAGAGCAATCCCAGAGTGGTGGAACAGAAAGAGAGGGCGGAAAGACCCACCTGTGTGGTTTGGATTCCCCATCTTATGAGAAGCAGGAAGCGTAGAAATGAGGTGGCCTGGGAGCAATTAGCTGGTGCTCAGAGAGTAAGAGGCAGCTGCTAGAGTGGGAACTGATGTTGGAAGCCTTCAATCACTGTTGATAGGATACAAATGAGAACAATCGCTTGAAAGTGAATATGGTAGCATCTGACGAAGGTAACCCAGTGATTCACCGTCTAGGTTTATACCCCCAGGAAAACTCTTATGCATATATACAAGGTAACATGCATAAAATAGTGTCCTGCAGAATTGCTTTTAATCACAAAAATCCGAAACAAGCTAAATGGCCATTGATAGGCAAATGAGTAGTTGTGACATATTGAGAGAATAGTTTTATAACTCTTAAATGAATTTTTAAATGAATGAATCCAAACACTCGATTTCTCTTTCTGTATCAATAAAACTAAAGTGGATACATCTCAATAATCTAATGGTGAATCCAAGAAATCTATTTGCACAATGATTCCTGGAGCATGATATTATTAATATAAAGTTTGAAAATATGAAAAACAGAGCTTCAAATTATTTGTGGTCCAATATATATACAGGAACAAGATAAAAACATGTGCAGAATGATAGCTGCCCAATTCAGGATAGTGATTGACTCCGAGGCAGGGAGGGTTAAGGACACTTAGAGGTAAATACGAGCCTTCAATTTCATCACTGATGTTTAAAGATTTTTTAAAATGTAAAAAGTGTATACCAAAATGCTGATATGTGGCAGAGCTGGGTGGATGCTGGGTGTCCTTATTTCAGTCTCTGTACCTTCCCGCTTGTTCTAATTTTTCCTAATCATGTGACTGATTTTTCTTTTTCTTTTTCTTTTTGAGACAGAGTCTCACTCTGTTGCCCAGGCTGGAGCGCAATGGTGCAATCTTGTCTCACTGCAACCTCTGCCCCCTGGGTTCAAGCGATTCTCCTGCCTCAGCTTCCTGAGCAGCTGGGACTACAGGCGCCCACCACCACGCCTGGCTAATTTTTATATTTTTAGTAGAGATGGGGTTTCACCATGTTGGCCAGGCTGGTCTCCACCTCCTGACCTCGTGATCCGCCCACCTTGGCCTCCCAGAGTGCTGGGATTACAGGCGTGAGCCATCGTGCCAGCCCTGATTTTTCAATAGACTGAAATATGTGGGGTACAAACGGGGAACAGGATCATTTTCTCCGCTGATTATTCTAGCAGTGCCCTGGTCATTCTCTCTTCCCCTTAATGACTCCCAGGCTGATCTCATAGCCTCTGGATTGCTTTTGAGTTCACAAGTAAGTCCTGTCTTGATAATTGCCACTCACTTCCAAGTAGTTAAAAGCCATCTAATCTAAATAAAAACTTCAATCTCACATCCCAGTCTCAGTTTCCTCTCCTCCCAGGCTGTTCCGTGATTTGGAGTCCTTGCATGCTTCCTCCCTCCTTCATCCCTATTCTGGGTGAGGGAGGATCAGAGAGCAAAAAGGTAAGAAGTTGTGCCTGTTTAGCCAGTGCTGCTGTTGTGCTCTGTTGGCTGATAGCAGCCATCTCTGCTGGGGTCAGGGAGGCTGGGGGAAGGGCGAGCGGCTCCTCCCTGGATCTCCGGGTGGGGCTTCTGGACTGCTCAGCCTGCTGACTGAGTGATAAGCTTTTTCACCCATCTCCTGTGACTCCCCTCCCCTTAGACCAGGCCCACAGCCTCCTCATTGCCTTCTCTCACCTGGCAGACAGACCTCTTGCTCCGGGTATGCTAAAGGTGTCTCGGAGGCTGCCGTGCCCAACGGTGACTTTCTCCTGCCTCACCTTGCCAGGTGATGGTTGCCATGTTTCCTTGCCCAGCATTCTTGGATGCTCCAGCCAGACTCCTGCCTCAGAATTTTCAGGAGAGGAGCAAACACAAGTCTGTATGTTCACACATGTCCCCACACTGCAGGGACACAAGCCCGTCTTACCTAGGGTCTCTCCCACTATTATTTTCTCTGGTGGCCAGGCTGTGGTGGCCCTAGAGGCTGCTGTTGTTCAGCAAATGTTTAGCAGGAAGTGTGAAGCTGGTGCTCCCGATGTGCCCGGGAGTCCTCCTCACTTGACTTATAGGAAATGGGGAGTGCTTCCCAATCGGTCCTCCACAGAAAGGATGGGGCTTAAGCCCCAGTGTTCCTCCTTAAGGACCCCGCATTCAGATGGACTTCTGGTGGCCACCAACACGCCTGGTCCTAGGTGCTCCTTTTGAATTTCTGTTTTCTCTTTGTATGGCCTGGTTGGGATAGTGGCAGTGAGAGTGGCTGAGCCTGTTTTGCTCCTCTTCAGTAAGTCCAGAATTCAAGACAAGTAAATTTCCATTCAAAATCCAGTGATAATGCATAAAAATAGAGTGGATTAGTGCCTAACTACATGAAGTGGCTGAGACTGTGAGGGCAGGCATCTCGGATGAGGAAAATAACCTGGGGAAGCCCTTAGGTTTCAGCAAAGGCGAATTCAGTATTTGCTCATACAAATGCAGATGAGTGATTAGAAGGCCAAATTAGTCCTGAGAAGATAATTGTACTTTTAAGCTTTGGATACAGGATATTTGATGTTTTGATATAGAATGTTTAATTTTTCTAGCTATAAGTGATATTTGTAAAATAAACATTTAGATTTTTAAAGTGCTCAGATGAACAGTGTATTAACATTTCCCCATTTTTAGGTAAATATGGTGGAAATAACCCTAACTAGAGGACACAGTCTTAAACCCTGAATGATCCACGTGGTGGTAGTTACCCACAAGGCAAACACAGAACTCTTTGGACAAACACTTGTTTCCTCTACACAGAGAGATACCCAGTTCTATCACTTAAGCTGGAGTTGGTAAATCCCTTTCCTTATTTTGATTTTGTGTTTCTCCTGCTTGCTATTGGCCCTCTCCTCATGTTCCCTTCCCACAGGATAATTCCTTACAATGCTGCTGCCTTGCATCCTAGATCCGTTCTGCCTTACTACATGATCATTTTCAATTCTTAACTTCTTTGCTGTTAAAAGTTTTCCCTGGGCCAAATGTTCTTCCCAGCATTGAAAATAATCCAAGAATGTCCACTTTCACCACTCTTGTCCAATACTGGAGGTTCTAGCCACTGCAGTAAGACAAGAAAAAGGTACAAAAGGCATACAGATTAGAAAGGGAAAAGTAATTCAGCTGGCATGATTGTCTACATAGAAAATCTCAAGAAATCTATCAATACAACTCCTAGAGACAATAAGTGAGAGTATCCAAATTTTGGGGTACAAGATCACCAATGAAAATTATATCACCTTTCTACATATCAGTAATAAATATTTGAAAACCAAAACTAAAATCACATTACTACAAATAATCTCTTCAAATAAAATATTTAGCTGCCTCAAACAAAACATATAAGGATCTATATGCTGAAATTTTCAAAATGTTCACAAAAGAAATAGAAGAAAATCAAAATGAGGAGACATGCTATGTCAATAGGTTGAAAGTCTCAATCTAATAAAGGTGTCAATTCTACCCAAATTGATCTGTAGGTTTAACATAATTCTTATTAAAATCCCAGTAAGGCTGTTTTGTGGACTTGGACAAGTTTAACACATCTAGACAAAGGATCTATAATAGCTGAAACAGTGTGAAAAAGAAGAACAAGGAGGAATGACTCTTCCTGATGCTAAGGCTGGCCATACAGCTACAGGAATCAAGACAGTATGGTTTTGGCAGAGGGACGGACATAGCAATCAGTGGGACGTAATAAAGAAATAGACACACAAATATGCCCAAGTAATTTTTTGTTGTCAAGGTGAAATTCACAGAACAAAAACCTCAACCGTTTGAAGAGAGAAATTCAGTAGCTTTTCATACAAATTGTGCATTATCCACCTTTATCTACTTCTACAATATTTTTATCACTCCAAAATAAAATCTGCACTTCTCCCTGGCCTCTGGCTGTCACCAATGTTCTTCTTGTCTCTATAAATTTATCTATTCTAAATATTTCATTTAAGTGGAATTACACCAAATGCGACCTTTTATGTCTGGCTTCTCACACTTAGCACAATGTTCATGAGGTTCATCCACATGGTAGCATGTATCAGTACTTCATTCCTTTTTATGGCTGATTAATATTCCATCATATGTATAGGCCACAATTTGTTTATCCATTCATCTACTGATGGACATTTGGGTTGTTTTCACTCATTGGCTGTCATAAATAGTGCTTCTATGAAATTCTTTTACAAGTATTTGTTTGGATACCTTTAAAAATTCTTTTGTATACATATGTAAGAATGAAATTGCTTGGTCACATGGTAATTCTATGTCTAACTTTTTGAGGAGCCACCAAATTGTTTTCTACAGTGGCCGAAACATTTACATCCCCACCATCAATGTGTAAGGGTTTCAATTTATCCACATCCTTGCCAATGATTATTATTTTCCATTTTGAGTTAATTACTTTATACATGGTGTGAGGTAGGAGTCCAGCTTCACTGTTTGCATATGGATATCTAGTCCTGACACTATCTGTTGAAGAGACTATACTTCCCCATTGGTGGTCTTGACACCCTTGTCAAAAAATCATTTGGTCATAGATAGATGGACTTACTTCTGTACTCTCAGTTTGATTCCATTAGTCTATAGGTCTATGTTTATTGCATACCAACTGCTTTGTTTCCTGTAGTTTTGTAGTAAGTTGAAATCAATAGTGTTTATGTTCCCACTTTGTACTTCTTTTTGAGTTTGCTATGGCTACTCAAGAACCCTTTTGCAATTCTACATCAATTTTAGAGGCAGATTTTTCCATTTCTGCCAAAAAAGATTACTGGAATTTTGATAGAGGTTGAATTGAATCTGCAGATCACTTTGGGAAGTACTGCCATCTTTACAACATTGAATCCTCTAATCCATGGGTATGAGATGTCTTTCTGCTTACTTAGGTCTTTTTAAATTTCTTTCAGAATTGTTTTATACTTTCCAGTGTACAAGCCTTACACCTTCTTGTTAAATTTATCCTTAAATATTTTATTTTTTATACCATTATAAATGGAATTGTTTTCTTTAGTTCATTTTTGGACACTCGTTGTTAGTGTATAGAAATACAACTGATTTTTGTATTTATCTTGTATCCTGCAAATTTGCTGTGTTTAAAATTGACTTTAATAATTATTTGTGGAAAATATTTTTGTGGAAAATCTTTAAGATTTTTTACATATATGATTATGTTATCTGTGAATAGTTTTACTTCTTCCTCTCCAGTTTGTATGCCTTTTATTTCCCTTTTGCCTAATTGCCCTGGCTAGAACTTCTGCTAAAATGTTGAATAGACGTGGCTAAAGTGAACATCCTTGTTTTGTTCCTGATACCAGGGGGAAGTCTGCAGTCTTTCATCAGTATGAGATTGTCTGTGGGTTTTCACATGTGGTTTTTATCATGTTGAGGCAGTCTCCTTCTATTCTCAACTTTTTGAGTGCTTTTATCATGAAAGAGTGTTGGGTTTTGTAAAATGCCTTTTTTTCTGTATCGAGTGAGATGGTCTTATGTTTTTTCCTTTGTTCTATTAACATAGTGGATTATATTGACTGCTTTTCATATGTTGAACAACCCTTGTACTCATAGGATAAATCCCACTTGGTTATGGGATATAATCCTTTTAATATGCTGTTGGGTTCAGCTTGTTAGTATTTTGTTGAGAATTTTTGTATCTACAGGTACTCCTTGACTTACGAGGGCTTACATCCTGATAAACTCCTTAAAAGATGAAAATCTTGTAAAAATGCATTTAATATACCTAACCTATTGAACATCATAGCTTAGCCTAGCCTGCCATACATATTCTCAAAACATATTAGCCTTCAGTTGGGCAAAATCATTGAACACAAAGCTTATTGTAAAGTGTTGAATATCTCATGGAATTTATTGAATATTATAAGTTGGGGACCATCTGTATATTCATAAGGGATATTGGCCTGTAGTGTTATTTTCTCATCATGTTTTGGCTTTGCTATTAGGGTAATACTGACTTTTGTTTTTTGGGGGACTTGGGGCTCAGTGAGGGTAGAGATTTTTGAATACTGATTAAATCACTTTACTTCTAGATTGGTTTAGATTTTCTATTTTTTCTTTAGTAAGTTTTTGTAGTTTGGGTTTTTCTAGTAATTCTCCAATTTTTGTCTAAATTGTGTAATTTGTTGGTGTACAATTGTTCATAGTATTATCTTAGAATGCTTTTTATTTCTGTAATGTTGGTAGTACAGTAGTCCTCCTTTATCCATGGTTTTACTTTCTGCAGTTTTAGTTACCTGTGGTACAGTATAATAAGATATTTTGAGAGAGAGAGAGCACATGAGAGAGAGAGAGTACACATTTGCATAACTTTTATTACAGTATATTGTTATAATTGTTCTATTTTTTATTAGTCATTGTTGTTAATCTCTAGTTTTGTCATTAATCTCTTACTGGGTATAAGTTATAAATAAAACATAATCACAGATATGTATGTATAAGAAGAAAAACACAGTATACCTAGAGTTTGGGACTATATGTGTTTCAGGCATCCATGTGGGTTCTTGGAATGTATCCTCCAAAGGTAAGGTGGGGAACTACTATAATGTCTGCACTTTCATTTCTGATTTTAGTGTTTTGAGTCTTCTTTCTTTTCTGTTGGTCATTCCAGGTAAAGGATCATTAATTTTGTTAACCTTTTCAAACAATTCACTCTTAGTTTCATGAATTCTCTCTATTGTTTTTCCATTCTCTATTTCATTTATCTCTATTCTGAGCCTAATTATTTTTCTCTTTCTGCTAGTCTTTGGTTTAGTTGGCTCTTCATTTTCTTGTTCTTTAAGATATAAAGTTAGGTGATTGATATGAGATTTTTTTTTCTTTCAAATGTAAGCATTTATAGCTAAAACTTTCCCTCTGAGCACTGCCTTCATGGCATCCCATAAGTTCTTGTATGCTGTGTTTTTGTTTTCATTTATTACAATGTATTTTCTAATTTCCAATGTGATTTCTTCTATGACCTATTGATGTTTAAGAGCATGCTGTTTAATTTCCACATTTTATATATTTCCCAGTTTTCCTTCTGTTATTGTTATTGTTTTATTGTATTGTAGTCTTAGAAGATGCTTTGAATAATTTAAATTTTCTTAAATTTATTGAGGTTTATTGTGTGGTCTAATATATGGTCTACCCTGGAGAATGTTCACGCACACTAGAGAAGAATATGTGCTCTGCTCATGCTATAGAAAGTTCTAAAAATGTCTGTTAGATCTAATTCTTTTATCATGTTGATCAATCCCTCAATTTCCTTATTGATCATCTGTTTAGTTCTAGCCATTATTGAGAGTGAGGTATTGAAGTCTCAAACTATTCTTGTAGAACTGTCTTTTTCTCACTTCAGCTCTTTCAGATTTTGATTCATGTTTTGGAGTTCTATTGTTAGGTGTGTATATGTTTATAATCATTATTCTTTCTTGATGGATTAACAAGTTTATCAATATTTAATGTCCTTTTTGCTTCTTGAAACAATTTATCCTTAAAGTTAATTTTGTCTGATACTGTTATAGATACCATAGCTTTCTTTTGATTAATATCTGCATGAAATATCATGTTCCATCCTTTCACTTCCAATCTGTTTGGGTCTTTGGATCAAAAATGAGTCAGTCTCTTGTAGGAAGCATATATTTGGATTATTTAATTTTTTTTTTTTTTGATATAGAGTCTCACTCTGTTGCCCAAGCTGGAGTGCAGTGGCGTGATCTTGGCTCACTTTAACTTCTAGTTCCTGGGTTCAAACAATTCTCCTGCCTCAGCCTCCCAAGTAGCTGGGACTACAGGTGTATGCCACCACATCTGGCTCATTTTTGTTTCACCATATTGGTCAGGATGGTCTTGATCTCCTGATCTCGTGATCTGCCCACCTTGGCCTTCCAAAGTGCTGGGATTACAGGTGTGAGCCACCACACTCAGCCTGGATCATGTATTTTTATCTAATCTGCCAATCACTGCCTTTTAATTAGAGAGCTTAATCCATTTCAATTAACATAATTATTGATAAACAAGGGATTACAGCCATTTTGCTATTTTTCTATACTCTAATGACTTTTCAATTTCTCAGCTCTTCCTCTATTGGTGCTTTCTTTGGTATTTAACTGATTTTTTTCTAGTATACTCATTTGATTTCCTTTTTATGTCCTTTTCTAGGGATTATAATTCAAATATTAAATATACAGTAATCTATTTTAATTAATTCCAATCTAGCTTCACTAAGTGGATCCTTTATAGCTCTGTCCCCACCCCTTATGTTGTCATTGTCACAAATTACATCATTTTATCTTGTGTGCCCATTAACATAAATTTATTTTGTTTATTCATTTTGTTTTGAAATGTATAGGGAAAATAAGAGAGTACTAACCCAAAATATTATATTTTATATTAACTTATGCAGTTGCCTTTACTAGTGTTCTTTATTTCCTTGTATGGCTTGCAGTTACTATCTAGTGATCTTTTATTTCAGCCTTAGAGACTCCCTTTAGCATTTCTTGTACGACAGGTCTACTAATTATGAACTCTTTCAGCTTTGCTTTATCTAGAAATGTTTTAATTTCTTTTTCATTTAGAAGTAGTTTTGCTGGACATGGAATTCTTGGTTGACAACTTTTTTTCTTAAGCACTTTAAATCTGTCATCCCACTGCCTTCTAGATTTCATAATTTTCATTGAGAAACTGTCTTTTAATTTAATTTAATTTTATTTTACTTATTTTTTAATTATACTTTAAGTTTTAGGGTACATGTGCACAACGTGCAGGTTTGTTACATATGTATACATGTGCCATGTTGGTGTGCTGTACCCATTAACTTGTCATTTAACATTAGGTATATCTCCTAATGCTATCCTTCCCCCCTCCCCCCACCTCACAACAGGCCCTGGTGTGTGATGTTCCCCTTCCTGTGTCCATGTGTTCTCATTGTTCAATTCCCACCTATGAGTGAGAATATGCGGTGTTTGGTTTTTTGTCCTTGCGATAGTTTGATGAGAATGATGATTTCCAGCTTCATCCATGTCCCTACAAAGGACATGAAATCATCATTTTTTATGGCTGCATAGTATTCCATAGTGTATATGTGCCACATTTTCTTAATCCAGGCTATCATTTTTGGACATTTGGGTTGGTTCCAAGTCTTTGCTATTGTGAATAGTGCCGCAATAAACATACGTGTGCATGTGTCTTTATAGCAGCATGATTTATAATCCTTTGGGTATATACCCAGTAATGGGATGGCTGGGTCAAATAGTATTTCTAGTTCTAGATCTCTGAGGAATCACCACACTGACTTCCACAATGGTTGAACTAGTTTACAATCCCACCAACAGTGTAAAAGTGTTCCTATTTCTCCACATCCTCTCCAGCACCTGTTGTTTCCTGACTTTTTAATGATCACCATTCTAACTGGTGTGAGGTGGTATCTCATTGTGGTTTTGATTTGCATTTCTCTGATGGCCAGTGATGATGAGCATTTTTTCATGTGTTTTTTGGCTGCATAAATGTCTTCTTTTGAGAAGTGTCTGTTCATATCCTTCGCCCACTTTTTGCTGGGGTTGTTTGTTTTTTTCTTGTAAATTTGTTTGAGTTCATTGTAGATTCTGGATATTAGCCCTTTGTCAGATGAGTAGCTTGCAAAAATTTTCTCCCATTTTGTAGGTTGCCTGTTCACGCTGATGGTAGTTTCTATTGCTGTGCAGAAACTCTTTAGTTTAATTAGATCCCATTTGTCAGTTTTGGCTTTTGTTGGCATTGCTTTTGGTGTTTTAGACATGAAGTCCTTGCCCATGCCTATGTCCTGAATGGTATTGCCTAGGTTTTCTTCTAGGGTTTTTATGGTTTTAGGTCTAACATGTAAGTCTTTAATCCATCTTGAATTAATTTTTGTATAAGGTGTAAGGAAGGGATCCAGTTTCAGCTTTCTACATATGGCTAGCCAGTTTTCCCAGCACCATTTATTAAATAGGGAATCCTTTCCCCATTTCTTGTTTTTGTCAGGTTTGTCAAAGATCAGATAGTTGTAGATATGTGGCATTATTTTTGAGGGCTCTGTTCTGTTCCATTGGTCTATATCTCTGTTTTGCTACCAGTACCATGCTGTTTTGGTTACTGTAGCCTTGTAGTATAGTTTGAAGTCAGGTAGCATGATGCCTCCAGCTTTGTTCTTTTGGCTTAGGATTGACTTGGCAATGCAGGCTCTTTTTTGGTTCCATATGAAGTTTAAAGTATTTTTTTCCAATTCTGTGAAGAAAGTCATTGGTAGCTTGATGGGGATGGCATTGAATCTATAAATTCCCTTGGGCAGTATGGCCATTTTCACGATATTGATTCCTCCTACCAATGAGCATGGAATGTTCTTCCATTTGTTTGTATCCTCTTTTTTCTCATTGTGCAGTGGTTTGTAGTTCTCCTTGAAGAGGTCCTTCACATCCCTTGTAAGTTGGATTCCTAGGTATTTTATTCTCTTTGAAGCAGTTATGAATGGGAGTTCACTCATGATTTGGCTCTCTGTTTGTCTGTTATTGGTGTATAAGAATGCTTGTGATTTTTGCACATTGATTTTGTATCCTGAGACTTTGCTGAAGTTGCTTATCAGCTTGAGGAGATTTTGGGCTGAGACGATGGGGTTTTCTAGATATACAGTCATGTCACATGCAAACAGGGACAATTTGACTTCCTCTTTTCCTAATTGAATACGCTTTATTTCCTTCTCCTGCCTGATTGCCCTGGCCAGAACTTCCAACACTATGGTGAATAGGAGTGGTGAGAGAGGGCATCCCTGTCTTGTGCCAGTTTTCAAAGGGAATGCTTCCAGTTTTTGCCCATTCAGTATGATATTGGCTGTGGGTTTGTCATAGATAGCTCTTATTATTTTGAGATACGTCCCGTCAATAGCTAATTTATTGAGAGTTTTTAGCATGAAGCGTTGTTGAATTTTGTCAAAGGCCTTTTCTGCATCTATTGAGATAATCATGTGGTTTTTGTCTTTGGTTCTGTTTATATGCTGGATTACATTTATTGATTTGTGTATGTTGAACCAGCCTTGCATCCCAGGGATGAAGTCCACTTGATCGTGGTGGGCTTTTTGATGTGCTGCTGGATTCAGTTTGCCAGTATTTTATTGAGGATTTTTGCATCGATGTTCATCAGGGATATTGTTCTAAAATTCTCTTTTTTTGTTGTGTCTCTGCCAGTCTTTGGTATCAGGATGATGCTGGCCTCATAAAATGAGTTAGGGAGGATTCCCTCTTTTTCTATTGATTGGAATAGTTTCAGAAAGAATGGTACCAGCTCCTCCTTGTACCTCTGGTAGAATTCGGCTATGAATCCATCTGGTCCTGGACTCTTTTTGGTTGGTAAGCTATTAATTATTGCCTCAATTTCAGAGCCTGTTATTGGTCTATTCAGAGATCCAACTTCTTCCTGGTTTAGTCTTGGGAGGGTGTGTGTGTAGAGGAATTTATCCATTTCTTCTAGATTTTCTAGTTTATTTGCGTAGAGGTGTTCATAGTATTCTCTGATGGTAGTTTGTATTTCTGTGGGATCAGTGGTGATATCCCCTTTATCATTTTTTTATTGCATCTATTTGATTCTTCTCTCTTTTCTTCTTTATTAGTCTTGCTAGCAGTCTATCAATTTTGTTGAGCTTTTCAAAAAACCAGCTCCTGGATTCACTGATTTTTGAAGGGTTTTTTGTGTCTCTATTTCCTTCAGTTCTTCTCTGATCTTAGTTACTTCTTGCCTTCTGCTAGTTTTTGAATGTGTTTGTTCTTGCTTCTCTGGTTCTTTTAATTGTGATGTTAGGGTGTCAATTTTAGATCTTTCCTGCTTCCTCTTGTGGGCATTTAGTGCTATAAATTTCCCTCTACACACTGCTTTGAATGCGTCCCAGAGATTCTGGTATGTTGTGTCTTTGTTCTCATTGGTTTCAAAGAACATCTTTATTTCTGCCTTCATTTCGTTATGTACCCAGTAGTCATTCAGGAGCAGGTTGTTCAGTTTCCATGTAGTTGAGCGGTTTTGAGTGAGTTTCTTAATCCTGAGTTCTAGTTTGATTGCACTGTGGTCTGAGAGACAGTTTGTTATAATTTCAGTTCTTTTACATTTGCTGAGGAGTGCTTTACTTCCAACTATGTGGTCAGTTTTGGAATAGGTATAGTGTGGTGCTGAAAAGAACATATATTCTGTTGATTTGCAGTGGAGAGTTCTATAGATGTCTATTAGGTCTGCTTGGTGCAGAGCTGAGTGCAATTCCTGGATATCCTTGTTAACTTTCTGTCTCATTGATCTGTCTAATGTTGACAGTGGGGTGTTAAAGTCTCCCATTATTATTGTGTGGGAGTCTAAGTCTCTTTGTAGGTCACTAAGGACTTGCTTTATGAATCTGGGTGCTCCTGTATTGGGTGCATATATATTTAGGATAGTTAGTTCTTCTTGTTGAATTGATGCCTTTACCATTAGGTAATGGCCTTCTTTGTCTCTTTTGATATTTGCTGGTTTAAAGTCTGTTTTATCCGAGACTAGGATTGCAATCCCTGCCTTCTTTTGTTTTCCATTTGCTTGGTAGAGCTTCCTCCATCCCTTTATTGTGAGCCTATGTGTGTCTCTGCACGTGAGATGGGTTTCCTGAATACAGCACACTGATGGGTCTTGACTCTTTATCCAACTTGCCAGTCTGTGCCTTTTAATTGGAGCATTTAGCCCATTTACATTTAAGGTTAGTATTGTTATGGGTGAATTTGATCCTGTCATTATGATGTTAGCTGGTTATTTTGCTCGTTAGTTGATGCAGTTTCTTCCTAGCCTTGATGGTCTTTACAATTTGGCATGTTTTTGCGGTGGCTGGTACCAGTTGTTCCTTTCCATGTTTAGTGCTTCTTTCAGGAGCTCTTTTAGGGCAGGCCTGGTGGTGACAAAATCTCTCAGCATTTGCTTGTCTGTAAAGGATTTTATTTCTCCTTCACTTATGAAGCTTAGCTTGGCTGGATATGCAATTCTGGGTTGAAAATTCTTTTCTTTAAGAATGTTGAATATTGTCCCCCACTCTCTTCTGGCTTGTAGAGTTTCTGCCGAGAGATCAGCTGTTAGTCTGATGGGCTTCCCTTTGTGGGTAACCCGATCTTTCTCTCTGGCTGCCCTTAACATTTTTTCCTTCGTTTTAACTTTGGTGAATCTGACAATTATGTGTCTTGGACTTGCTCTTCTCAAGGAGTATCTTTGTGGCATTCTCTGTATTTCCTGAATCTGAATGTTGGCTTGCCTTGCTAGATTGGGGAAGTTCTCCTGGATAATATCCTGCAGAGTGTTTTCCAACTTGGTTCCATTCTCCCCGTCACTTTCAGGTACACTAATCAGATGTAGATTTCACAAGGGGTCTTTTAATTTTATTGAGATCCCTTGTATGTGTTGTTTCTTCTCTCTTGCTGCTTTCAAGATTTTCTTTGTCTTTTTTTTTTGTACAGTTTGATTATAATTTGTCTCAGTGTAGATTTCTGATTTTATCTTAATTGATGTAGATTCATGTTTTATTAAATTTAGGTAGATTTTTGTCCATGATTTATTCAAAAATGCTTTCCTCCTCTTTCTCTGTATCTCTCCTTCTGAGATTGCTATTGTATATATGTTGGTATGCTTGTTGGTGTCATAAATGTCTCCTGGACTCTCTGTTTTTCTTCATTTTTTCCTTTCTGTTCCAAAGACTGGATCATATTAAATAACCTATCTTCAAGTTTGCTAATTCTTTCTTCTGCCTGTTCATATGTATGTTTCAGTTATTATATATTTAACATTGATAATTTCTACTAGATACCTTTTTACACGTTCAATTTCTTTATTGATATTCTTTATTGATATTGGTATTCCTCATTTGACATAATTTTCCTGGTTTTCTTTAATTCTTTGTTCATGGTTTCCTTTCACTCTTTCAACTAATTTGAGATGGTCTTTGATTTACAGTTTTTATCTAGCAACTTTTTTGCAGAGATTTTTCAATTAATTTCTTATTTTCTTATGAATGGGATAGACCTTACTTTTTTGAATGCAAAACATTTTTATTTTTGTTGAGAACTGGACTGGACAGTTTGTACATTATAATGTGGTAACTCTAGAAATCACATTTCTCCCCTCCCCACTCAGGGTTTGTTGTGCTGCTTGTTATGGATTATTTGTTTGATTTAGTGACTTTTCTAAGATTTTTTTGTAAAGACTGTATTTGTTGTGTTTTACCACTGAAATCTCTGTTCCACTATTTTAGTGATCTGTGAGTGATTTGGCAGAGATCTCCTTAAATGTCTGGAGCCAGAAACATACAAACGAATGAACAAACAAACAACAAACCACAAACACATAAGAGCACTCCGGGTCTTTGCAGGTTGGCTCTGTGTCGGAGTACTCTGTTTACAACTCTGTTTTGCCTTCATCTGTTTACACAGAGCCTAAGCATCAGGCAGAGGTGGAAGCTTAGGGTCTCCTCAAGTTCTTATGAGGACATGTTCACCTTTGTGCATGTGGCTGTCTTGGTTCCCATTCCATCGTGTATCTCCTTTCCCAGCATCTTTTCTCTTTTGTTTTTGGTGTGTCTATTGCTTTCTCTGACGCCTATCCATTTCCTCTTGTGGCTGTGGCTAGTAAATTTGCCTTTAAATACTTTAGACAAATATCACCCAAGAAACCAGTTCAGCCTTGGAAAAGCTTTAAGGCAATTGAGGCAAACCCTTGAGTTGATCCTTTAGGGAGCCACCAGAAAGGTGACATATAACCATAATTCCTTGGGAGCAAAGTCCATATTGGACCCTCTGGTGGCAGAAACATGCACCTGGCATGTGGGCCACCACCTTCAGAGCTGCCACTGAGCCCAAGGGGAGGGGATGGTGAGCAGGTAACTAAAATCACGGGGATCTCTTATTGAAATCTAGGAGCCCCTTGCCTCATTAATAAAGAAGTTCCTTCAGGTTGTTTTTTTATTAGATTCCAGAGTTCCAAAAAAGTCAATTCTGACTGTTTTTGCCAGTTCAGTCACTGCTGTGGTGGAGGGATGGAGTCTTGGATTTACCTAGTCTGCCAATTTTGGTGGCAGATGATTTTTGACAAAGGTGCAAAAGCATTTCAATGCAAGAAAGATAGCCTTTTTAATAAATGGTATTGGAGAAACTGGACATATGTTAAAAAAAGAAATCTGACCAAAGACTGATATATTACATAAAAATTAACTCAAAATGGATAAATGTAAAATGTAGAACTACAATTTTTTTAGACAACAACAGAAAATTTCAGGACCTAAGGCTAAGTGAAAAGTTTTTAGACACCAAAAGTACAAACCACAAAGGAAAAAAAAGGATAAGTTGGACTTCATGAAAACTTAAAATTTTCTCTGTTAAGAGCGTAGAAAACAAGTGAAAGACTAGAAGGAAATATTTGCAAACCACACATCTGAGAAAGGATGTATCTAAAATATATAAAGATCAGTAGAAAACAAAGCAACATTAAAAACAACCAATCCAATTAGAGAATAAACAAAAGACATGAACAGACACCTCATTAAAGAGGTTAAAGAGATGGCAAACAAGTTCATAAAAAGATGTTCAACATATTAGCCATGAGAAGAATGCAAATTAAACCACAATGAGACACCACTGCACTCCTATCAGAATGTGTGAAATAAAAAGCTGACCGTACCAATGGCTGGTCAGGATACAGAGACACTGGATCACTCATACATTGCTGGTGAGAATGTAAAATGGTGCAGCCACCCTGGAAAAGAGTTTGATGGTTTCTTAAAAAACAAAACATGCAACTAACTACTGTGTGACATAGTAATGACATTCATGAGGATTTATCCCAGAGATATGAAAACGTATGTTCACGCCAAAATCTGTGCATGAATGTTCATAGCAGCTTTACTTGTAATAGACTGGGAAAAACCCTAATGTTCTTCATGGGTGCATGGTTAAACTAAGTGGTACATGCCGACCATGGAATACTACTCAGCAATAAGGAATGAATTATCGATACATACAACAAGTTGGGTGGATCTCAGGGAGCTATGCTGAGTGGAAAAAGCAAACCTCAAAAGTTTACATACTCTATGGTTTGATTTATATAACATTCTTGACATGACAAATTGTAGACATGGAAAACAGGTAAGTTCTTGCCAGGGACCGGGGTATGGGGAGGAGGAGCCTGTGACGATGGAACTGTTCTGTATTGTGGTTGTGGATACACAGAGCTACATGTGACACACACACACATACACACATACGAGTGTATGTAAAACAATGCATCCTCTGGTCTGGGTCTTTTGCATGGTTAAGATTTTGGTCAGAGTCATATGTCACCTGGTTGTCCCCTGAACCTGCCACATGTATTTCCCCTCCCTGCCCTTCCCTCAGGCAGAAGTGGAAATAGAGCAGCTTCCATGGGAATCTGAGAGAGCAGAAGAGGTGGAGGTGGAGGCTGTGTGGTTCTGTATCCACGCTGCTTCTGCAGCTCCTCTGCTTCTGAGCCACAGGAGGTGGTTGTGCAATACCCAGAGAGGCACTGGGCATCCCAGGATATTAGAGGTAGAGGTCGGCCTCCTTCAGCACCCACCAGGGTAAACTGAGGGCCTGTGTGAGGAGCCCCGCATTGACTCCAGTGGGGTGGTGAGGCAGAGAGCTGCCCTGTGGAGGGGGTGCTCAGACATGCCGTAAGACACAGGGTCGCTGGCTCCCTGGCAGGAGTGGGGGGCATCCTGCGTCAATCTGGCATGTCCCACACACCCCGGTGAGGCCACCTGGGGGCACTTGAGCGGGCCCATGGAACTGCCAAGTCCTGGGGTTAGGAAAAGGGGGCAGGTAGCCTGGACGGTGGTTCAACATCATGTGCCTGACTGATGCCGCTCCAGGTTGGGGCTGACCAACAGCCAACCGGGTGAGACCAAAAGGGTCCCGAGGGCCACATGGGCCCAAGCCCATCTCCACCCTCAATACCGTGGAGCTCCCCAGAGACTGAGATGCCACACTGGGGAGAAACATGAAATGGTGAGAATTTTCCTCAAAGAGACTGAGTTAGTCTCCTGGAAGAGAAGGTGAGGCCTCAGAGTCACACGTCCTCCCTCTCTCCACCCCCAAACTCATCAGGATGAAACCATAAGGAGTAGGCTAACTTTTTGGAGGTGTTGCATCTGAGTCATATAATGTGCCATTTTTCTTCCCAATATATTGGTATAAAGGTAGAATATTCAAGTATTGGGGATGACCCAGAATAAATAGTAAAAGCCCCCTTTCCCCAAGTCCTCTCACCAAAGGCACTTACTGTCAGCAGTTTCTGCAATTCTTCCCCGAATATTTAACTTTTAAAAAATATTTAAACCAAAAAGATAATCTACAGCACTCTCAGTGCCTCTCTTGCCTCTTTTTCTACTTAAATTGTCCTGAGAATCTTTCCACACTGACCCTTCCCTTTTACTTCTAATGACTGTAGAGTTTCACCATCATCAGTTTCCGCACTGACCCCCCACCCCTTTCACCTCTAATGACTGTAGCATTTCACCATCATGAGTTTCCACACTGACCCCCACTTTTTACTTCTAATGACTGTAGAGTTTCACCATCATTGGTTTCCACACTGACCCCCCAACCCTTTTTACTCCTAGTGAAGTAGAATTTCATCACCTTTGGGGGACCTGACTTATTTCCCCTGTCCTCTTTGTGTGAACACTTCGCTTGTTTCAGTTTTTTGCTATTTCAAAAAATGTTGCAATACACATCTTTCTTTTTTGTGTATATTTTGGGGGAACACTTCTGAGTACCTACACAGGACAACTAGCAGTGTATGTTTGGATTATGGGGCACAGGAATTTATTTATTTTTAATAAAAAGTAAAACATGCTCAAAGTAAAAAAAAATCAATCTGATATTTGAAGAGTAAAAAGTATAGCTCCTTTCTATTCAAGCCTGCATCCCCTATTTTCAGGGGGGTCATCATTTTTATTTCTCTTTCTACATCTTACCTGTAATTCCCTATGCCAAGGGTTAAAACTTGGTCCCTTGTGGAACACACTGTATCTGATGAATAATTCTCATTGACTAGATATGTAGACTTTATGAATGGAAAGGGTGAGAGCAAGATAGATACCTACAAGGAAAGTGTTTGTCCCAAATCCGGACTAAGCAGAAATGTCCAGGGACATCTGGGGGAGGTGAGATGAAATATTCAGACTTTGCTTTTTGCTTCCCTGAGCTGCCCTGCCTCCCAGGTGTAATTGTAGTCCCAGTGAGTCCTTGGAGACCTACA
The DNA here is from genome assembly GCF_000001405.40 of Homo sapiens. Lineage (NCBI taxonomy): Eukaryota > Metazoa > Chordata > Mammalia > Primates > Hominidae > Homo > Homo sapiens. Next base: position 3,078,965 of record NC_000002.12, on the reverse strand, counting down.
AGCTAAATGAGATATAGATTGAGTCATTCCTCTTGAATTTCACAGTCTGGAGTGCTGAGAGTCATCTGATCTTACGGCTCTGGTTAAAGAATTCTGGCCATCTAGCGGCCTGTGAAGGAGACTTGAGCACACACTAAGGCCTTGTTAGTGGGATGGCTGTGGTAGGAGGTCCAAGTGCAATGCGGAAAGCTACAAAAAGAACACACTGGTTCCAAGTAGGGATGTTTATGGAAGGAAGAAGGAATTTCAGACCCTCTGACATAGAGGCGCCATTTGGAAGAACTACCAAAACTGTATCAATTTGATACCATTTAACCTGGAGGAGAAGAACCCAGGCTTATTTGTAGCTCCTCCCTCCCCAGGTGTGGGAGGTGGTGTTTGGGGGGGCAGAAAGGCCTGGGGGAGGAGATGGGGACCCCGAGTTTGTTTAGGATGGGCACACACACGGTGGCTTAACGTGCACCATCTCGCCGTTTAGTTTCTGATTGTAACCACAACAACCGAAAGGTGGGATCACCTTCTCCATTCACAAGTGAGAAAACCAGGCCCCCAAAGAGAAGGAATCGGGTGAGACTCCACTCATAGTGATCACTGGAGAGAGCTGGAGAGGACAAGGCTGCATTTCCTATGCTCCGTTTAAGGAGGCAGAGAACACGAATCTAAACGCAAAAACGTTTTCAGAAATATGGTTCTACAGAAAGGTTTTGGTCCTGAAAGGACTACGTTTCTATTATCTCAAAACTGCCTGCTGTGAAAAGTCACTATTTTCTTGGTGTTCAGTGCAGTGAATTGCAAACGCTGAGCCCTGGGCCCCCTTCCACTGCCCCCGGAAAGGTCTGGTTCTCCCCGAACGATCAAACTCAGGGCTCCCTTACAATGACTTTGGAGGGAGGGGCTTATTCTGATTTGGGGGATTCAATGAAGGAGGTTTTGGGGTGTGACTACAGCCTGCAGAAGGTGGGGATTTGTTCTGATGGTGACCAGGTAACAAGGGATTCGTGGGTAGGCCTGAGGCTGTGGCCATACTCTCTCTCTCCAGATACGGGATTCCCAGATACAGGAGGGGGTTCAGTCCTGCCTGGGTGAGGGTTCCTTCAGTCCCCATTGGAGACAGCGGCTTGTGCACCAAGCTGAAACAATCTCTTATTTGAAAATACGTCATGGTGATTTTACAAAAAACAAAACATGAAGAAAACACTCTAGGCTGGGGGTTGCTTGCCCCAGTGAGCAGTAAAAGCAGGTTGAGGGGACACTTTCTGGCTGGTTTTCCTCTTCCTCTTGCTTCATGGCTCTGGGCGAGTGTGTCTCTGCGAGGTGCTCAGGGGGCCCGGCCTACCATTGCGGGGGAGGGCAGGCGCCTGTGTGCAGGGACCTGGGGGGCCCATGCCTGAGTAGACAGCAGGGAGGTCGCAGGGATGGCGGGGACAGCCAGCCCTGCTGCCTGGTGACCATGTGCGCACAGCCTGCTTCCTCCCTCCGAGAGGCTTCTCTCGTCATGAAAAACAATGGATATTCATTCTACAGGCTTTGGGAAGTAGCCTTTGTTCCTCCTGGCCCTGGAAAAGTGGCCTTAATCCAAAGTGATTACTTTGCAGCTCTCTCAGATTTATTCTTCAGTGATAGCCTCTCCTCTGCCACCTGCATCTTGAGCTCCAATTGCCCGCGGCCTGTCACAGAAAGGCCATATGTCTTTCTGTCCCTGTGCAGAGAATGACATTGAAGTCTCTTTGTCCTCTCTGAAGCTTTTGTGTGTGCGTGTGTGGCATTGACCTCCGTGGCTCATTCCACCCACAGTGAAAAGGAACCATAAAAAGCACAGGGGTTTGAAAAGTAGCCTAGGCAGGAGGAAGGCGCTCCCGCCTGGATGCTCGCGGGGTCCCTGCATCTGTCTCCTTTGGCTGTTGGCAGCACTCTGGCCCTGGTGCGGGCAGCCGGAGGTGCGCCTGGCTATTGTCTGGGCAAGGGCGTGTGGGTCAACCTCCTTCCTTCCTGTCCCTGCAATCTATTGTCTTTCTGGGCAGGCTAAGAAGCACGTCCAAAAGGGCTTGTGTACTTTGTTGCTGGGTCATTGAAGCTGCAAGAAGGAGGATTCCTTCTTCCCTTGAGGGTCTCTGTTCCTGGCATAGCAGCCTGGCCAATTGTCTTGATACCAGGATTTGGGGAAACCCCCTTTCTCCATTCTGGTGTTGCCTTTTTGCCTGCAAGGGAACTTGCTGTCTGCCTTTAACCTGATGCTTTAAGTCTTGCGGAGCCCTCCGGAGGGGCGTGGGAGCACATTGCCTGCCTCTCCTTCACTGTCCCTCCACCATTTGGCATTTATATCCAGCAGGAGACAGGACATGCAACGACTTCATTTCCTGGATGCCAAGTATTGATTGAAAGGTGTGTGTAGCCACACCCACTTTTCTGCCTGTTCAGAGTAACATGGATAATTTCTTTGGTCATTGTGTCTTGTCTCTGCTCAATGTGTTTTGCATTATATAAAAAAAAAATTTCAAATTAACTGCAGTTTAGCTGTGACTCAGTTTTTAATTGCTTGGAATTAGCACTTGATTTGCATACTACTTGATTTGTCAGTTATCTGTGACTTTGTGATTATCTGCACTAAAATGAGGGACCCTCCTGATTATGCTCCTTAATGGAAAGGGGCAGGACTGTGGGGGATCCCGTGATGGGAAAATCTGAAACCCACTGCGGTTTAACGCTGCCAGGCATGTGTCTTTCTGTTTCAGGAGGAATGTGCTGCTCATTCTTGAAATTCACTTCCCCGGAAGACATGGCAACCATGAACACTGGATCAGAGGTGGGGAAGCTGCCTGGCTTCCACTGGGCCCCACCCATCCACCCATCTTGGCCTCCTCATTCTCTCTGTCCATGGGTGGTGACAAGCTTTGCCTTGACCTGAGCCCATGTACCTAGGTTTGCACCTTCTCTGGAGTGAAAGAGGAGATGAGTTATTTTAATCTTGAAGATCCCAGGTCAGAACATCAGTTTTCTAGTCCAAGCGCTGCCTCACTGTCTTCATTTATAAAATGAGAGAGGGGATGCACTGTTCCCCAAATCTGAGACCCAGGGTGTACACGATTGGAGCCAAGTCTCACAGCTGGGGAGGAGTGGCTCTGGCACTTGAGTTCAGTTTCTCTGGCTCCAAATCTGTAGGGAGTGGGGGTCTCCCTTAGATAAGTAGGTTAAGATCCTTTTGTGATTCATAAGCGTGATGATTGGGTTTTCATGCTCATGTGTGAGATATGCCTCTCTCAAGCCTTGTTACAACATCACATTACCTGTCTGATGTTACAAAAAAAAAAAAAAAAAAAGAGAAGAGAAGAATAACAAGAACAACCACAGAAAGCCCCTCATCATCTCTCTGGGGCGTGCAGTGGGGCCGTTTCCACGGGGGCGGGCCTCAGAGCCCTCTGACTGATTCTTCTGGAGCACAGAGCCCCACCATGCTGATGTTCCGTGCGCTGGTCTGGGATGGTTCCCGCGCTCACAGCCTGGTGTGGTCAGCAGCAGGGTTTCATTCAGGTCTCTCCTTCCTGACCACACTGAGAGACCTGCAGGCAGAGGCTGACCTGAGTCACCTTTAGGGTCCCCAGGTGAGCTCTTGAATGTCTCCCCAGACCACCCCATCTCTCTGCTCCCACTCTGGGTCCTAACAGCGTCCTCCAAATCCACAGTTCTTACAGGGGATGTCTGCTCACTTAGGAGACGGCCCTGTCCCCAAGCACCCCCTATGCCCTCCAGAACGGAGAAGACACGCAATTCTTCATTTGGGTTATGTGAAATGTTGGCCCCTCACTGTGATACGGAAGGGAAACAGGGAGGCACTGGGTAGAAGACCGAGGTTCCCTGGCAAAGGCCTCACCCTCAAGCCTGAAGACCTGAGGACCTAAATGAGGACAGGCATTTCTGTTTTTGCACCTAAAAAGTTGCCTTCTGGTCTGCTATGCCCCATATCCTGTCCCCGTATAAACCCAAGGGCACACATGCAAGTGGCTGAACATCAGGACCAGCAGACCAGTGAAGGCAGAACAACAAGGCAGAGAAAGAGAAAAGCGGAGGGACACCTGGAGGCTGAGGGGAGTTCAGCCAGAGGTGGCTAGAGAAAAGTCCAGCACTGGACAGCCCGGTTCCAGGGGAAGACCTCCTTCCCCTCCATCACCTCCTTCCAGCTCCCCATCCATCTCGCTGAGAGCCACCTCCTCCACTCAATAAAACCTTGCACTCATCCTTTACGGCCACAAGTGATCTGAATCTTCTGGTACACTGGGCAAGAACTCGGAATACAGAACGCTGTCACACTAGCCCCCTGCCCTTGCAATAAGGCAGAGGGTCCATTGTGCTCATTAACACACAAGCCATCTGCAGATGGCAAATCTAAAAGAGTTTGGTAACACACACCCATGTGGGCTTTGGGGGTTGCAGACATCCATCTCAAATGCTGCTGTGGAGCTGGAGCCCAAAAGTTCTTTTCCCGGCCTCTGCACCTGCCCGTCTGCATGCTCCCCTGAGGGGTTTGAGCTGCGGGGCGACCAAACAGGTGACACCCCTATCGTACATCCTGCAAGGGGAACTCTCTGGTTTTAGCTGCATGGGGATTGCCTCACCTTTGCAACCCGGCTCCTGTTATTTGAACACAGAGCACCTGCCCTCAACATGGGATGTTTCTCGCCTCCAAGCTCCTGTGTCCTGGGCATCCCTTCCCACTGAAGTAGCCCTTGAAGCCTACTTGGCCTTCAAGGGCTAGATCCAACGCCACTTCCTTCAAGGAGGCCACCTGGATATCACCAGGTAGGACAGTAGTAACAAAATAGCAATGCGGCCTAGATCCAATGCCACCTCCTTCAAGGAGGACACCTGGATGTCACCAGGTAGGACATTAGTAACAAGACAGCAATGTGGCCTAGATCCAACACCGCTTCCTTCAGGAGGATACCTGGATCTCAGCAGGTAGGACAGTAGTAACACGACAGCAATGGGCATTTATTAGCATTTGCTGTGCCCGGGGATGCACTAACACACTTTACGGATGCGGCTGCATTCCGCCTCAGGGCTCTCTGTATAGTTGAGACTCTTGTTTTTCTCTCCCTGTGGGTGAAAGACCTGAAGCTTGGGGATCTCGTGCTTTCCAGGAGGCGGAGCCGCATTCCTGATCCGCGGCATCCGTGTGCTGGACCGCAGGATGTGCCTTCCAGCATTAACAGATCCCACAACGTTTTGTCTGCTCCTCCTTGTGTCCTTTTGAATTTCTAAATTTCTTGGCATTTCTTAATTTCTTGTCCTACTTGACTGCTAACATGTGTTATTCATACTTGCCTTATTGCTTTTGAATTTGTGGCCATAAACTCTTTGAAGTGGGGGAGTTATTTTTCCCAGAACACTAGCACAGTGTCTTGTACAGGACAGGTTATATGAAATTTTGTTAAGCGAAAGGGTTGATAACATAGTTGAAGTATGGATTTGTTTTACTGGCTGGTGGCATTGAGCGCCCCCTGAGACTGTGCAGGCTGTGTTCTGAGCATCTGCACAGACACCCGTGTGGGCAGCTCCCTGACGTTTCTCTACCCGCGGTGGGTCGCTGTGCCTGGGGACCGTCGAGGTTGGCAGGTGCAGCAGGAGCTGCTGACACCGGGCCACTGCGTTCTGGAAGGCTAAGTGTGTGTCACGTGAAGAGGGTTTCTGCTCTGTATGTAGCTGGCATTCCTCGGTATTTTGGATGAAAGACTGCCTTTTCCTGTCTGTTGTGTGGGTAAAATCCATGATGTTTAATGAGAAGACATTAAAGGGATGGAGTTCTTTGTTTTGCTGAGGTTTTGCTTTTCTGCCTCTGCAAAATCAATGATGTCTGTGTGGTCCAGAAAGGAATTAATCCTGTGTGGTATAAATGGCTGTGGCTTGACAATATCCAAAGCTGAAATGTTCTGCCCATCTCTGCTGAACGCTCTAATAGGGGTATCGAGGGTCAGGCAGAGGGGCCTTTCCCAGGTGACTTGACTCATATTTCAGACTGCTCTCTGTAGAATCGTCGGGTTATTTGCAGTGATTAGATTTTGTCTCTTCTTTGAGAAAATGTTTATAGTAATCTAGTTCCCTCTCTGAGTTAAACAATAATTAAAAACACATAAGAAAACAAGCTCCCTCCAGCGGCCTCTCTTTGGCCCCCAGGGTTGGGGATCGATTTTGCAGCAATCTTGCTTTGCTGTGGATTGCAGAATGTCTGGGAGTTCATCAATAGGTCTTCAGTCAATACCCTTCCTTTCAGCTTGCACCCCACAGTGCAATGCCTAAGCCAGCAAGGAAAAAGCAGGCAGGCCCTGGGGTTCCTCCAGCCCAGACCCTTCCCTGAAGGATTGAAATTGTATTACACTCAAACTGAGGTTACCTTTGTCAAATAATAACATCTTCCATCAACTTTTGTGTTTTGGTGTTTCAAAGCCTTCAGTTTCAAGGTCATAGAATTTCTTAATAGAGAAAGACCTCAAGACATATTTAAGTGTTTATCAATGATATTTTAAAAGCCATAACTTTAGAGAAAGAACAAAAACCATGAGGAATCCATACCCTCTTTTCCTGCCTCTCTCTCCCTCTTTCTTCCTGTCTTTCTCTCTCTCTCTCTCTGCCCCTCTCCCACCCACCTTCCTCTGACTTGAAGCTCATGTGTGCTCAGTGTGTCCTCTGGGCCTGGCATTGTTCTAAGTTTTCTACTGTGGATTAGCTAATTTGTTCTCCTCTCAGCTCTGAGAGGTGGGTTTTAATGCCCCCATTTTGCAGATAAACAAGAGGAATCATAGTTCTGGGGTTTTCTCAAGGTTACATGGCCAGTAAATAGTGGCATCCAGACCCAGGCAGGCAGCTCCACGGTCCACACCGTGTTCTGTGGCCTCCCTCTTTTTATGCCTGTAATTCATCATCCGTGTGCTGCAGTCTCTGAGCCCCTTTCTGTGTTGTCTTTGTCATCCAGTCATTCATTTGAATAAATATTTCTTCCGTGCCTTCTTGATGCCAAACCACAACCTGGGAGACACAGCAACAAATAAGATGCTGCCTGCACCCTCCAAGGGGCCGCAAACAGCCTGGGGAGGAGAGGAACTAGAAAGTGCCGGCGGGTGACATACGATGGGGAAAGTGGGGGCGGCTGGGCTTATGCTTTGAAGATCCCTCCCAAGCAGTGTAGATCAGGGTTTGGAAAGGGAGGAGTTGGCCGCTCTGGTTCAAACTGCCTCTTAATTCTGGTGCATGATGTCATGGTTCCAGGTACAGATTCTGGAGCCACATTCCCTGGGTTCTACCCACTCCAGGACTGGCTGGAATAGAAAACTGGCAGATTTTTTCCAAAGTATGGCTGAGAAAGATCGAATCTGTGAGATCTAGAAAAAACAGTGCTTCATTATCATTTGGAGGACAGGTGGGCCCAGCAGACCAAAGAGGCGGCTAGGTTAGAACATGGAGGTGGGTGCTTCGTGCCCCAGGTAACAGGAAGCTGGAGCTAAACGGGCTTGAGCTTGTTCAACACCAAAGACACGTGTTGGGTGTGGAAGGGGAAGTCCAGAGGTGGGGTGAGGTTCGGGCTCCTAGAGAACCCTGATTCTTTCTCCCTCTCCACTGTGATGCCACCAGCACAGCACAGTCCTCAGTGGGGCCTCCCTAGGGTGGCAGGATGCAGCCCACAGCAACAGCACCTCTTATCTGTCTCCAGCGATGAGAGCCTGCTGCCCCAGGTGGCGCTGGACCACCTCCCATGGACCACCAGGCCCCCTCCTGGACTAACACCAGGCAAGGGGAGTGGGGTTACTTCCATCGGCTTTGACCTCTCAGGAGCTGGGAGTGGAGTCAGTGTCTGCTGAACCCATGGCATGGGGCAGGTGGACATACAGACATTATTAGAAGGGGTAAAAGTGCTTCTGAAAAGGTGGCTGAAAGTACCCACTCCTTGAATTGAGACGTGGAATTCCTCTAATTTACTGAAGACCAAGGCCATCCTTTCCCCCAACAGCATTGCTGGAGCCGAGCACTCCAGGAATAGGTGCTTCAGTCTCAGTCTGGATTTCTATCCCCAATGCCACGGCAACTCTGAATCCACAGAGGTCCCCGGAATAGATGGACCCTGACGGGGATGATGTGGGCCGAGGAGCCGCGGGACTCAAGGCCTTCCTGCATGGAGGCCGTGGTTACTATTTGTTGACGTGTGTTCCAGGCGTGCACAACCTGTGACGGCTGGGAAGCAGCAAGAGCTTGGAAGTGAAATGAATCTGGGCTCCTGTGAAGTGGCTTAGGCTGTGGCTACTTGAACTTGTGTTCTTCTGACATTCAGAGGGGGAATAAGTAAATGCAGTTTTCCTGGAGAGCAGGAGAGGACATCTTATTTCATCCATCAGCCAACGTCACGTCCTGATTGTGCTAGGAATCTCGGGAGGTCCACCTTTGTGAGTTAGAGGATGCGAGCAAACATCTGGAATAACAATTAATCATGGGATTTATTATAACTGCCAGGCATTTCATGGTCCTCCCCACTTTTTTTAAGCATTTAGGGCTCTTTGTGTCAACTTAGAGAAAAATAAGGACCTGTTTGGTTGGAAGAATCTTAGACAATTTTGTAGCTCGTAAGGCAGATGCAGTTTAGTCGTTCTCAAAGTCTAGGGTGCTTCAGAATCTGTGGGAAATCTTGTTGAAATTGAAATTTCTGGGTTCCACTCCTAAAGATTCTGATTTAATAGGTCAACCATCATGCTTGAGAATTGACATTTCTTTTTCATTTTTAAATTCCTCTCTCTCTCTTTTTTTTTTTTTTTTTTTTACATTTATGGGGTAAAATGTGGTGTTTTGAGTTATGTAAACCATATGAATGATTGAATCAAGCTATCTAACATATTCATCACCTCACTCATTTTTTGTGGTGAGACATTTAACATTTACTTCCTTAGTTATTTTGAAGTACACAATACATTATTATTGATCATAGTCACCAGCCTCTGGGAACCATCATTCTACTCCCTATATCCATGAGTTTGACTTTCTAAAGATTCCACCGAAGTGGGAATTTGCATTTCTGAGGGGTCCCCACATGATGCCCATGTCTGGCCAGGGCTCATGCTTTCAGAACCAGGAACTCAGTTCATTTCATGGGAACTGGCTGAAGTTCTGGAACAAAATAAAGGTAACTCAAACCAGAGACATTTTCAAAAAGATACAAACAAAAATATTAAAATAGCATATCAATTCCTCTGCCATTTCTGCTTCTATCATCTTGAAAACCCAGAGACCACAGGCTCAGGAAAAGAGGTTTTCTTTTCTCTTTCTTGCATTTTGTTTTAAATTTTTCTTGTCCAAGGGCTTTGTCTTGCCCTTTGATACTCAAAATTTACAAAATCACCCCTAAATTAACCACTGAGCTTTGAAGATCCATGGTTACCTAAGCACATCACTGGTGTTTCTGCTCAAAGCTTTACAGGAAATAGTGAAGGAGTCATAAGGGAGGGATATGGGCACGGGGGAGTTGCAGGGAAGTTCCGTGGAGAGGATGCCCTTCCAGGTCCCGTGGGGCACCCAAGGACGGGGAAGGGCAGCAAAGCAGCTTTCTGCCCTTGAGATGTCACTTCCCATCCTGCTTTCTATTTTATTTTAATTATGGTAAGATACAACATAAACTGTACCATCGCAATCATTTTTAAACATAGAGTTCGGTGATATAAAGAATATTCACTTTGTGCAACCATCATCATCATCCATCTCCAGAGCTCTTTTTCTCTTGCCAAACAAAATTAAACTGTAACTGTCCACCCTCCGCTTCCCCCAGCCTCCTGGCAACCCCCCATTCTACTCGCTGGGTCTATGGATCTGACTACTCTAGGGACCTCAGATAGGTGAAATCATATAGCATTTGTCTTTTTGTGACTGGATTATTTCACTTAACATAATGTCCTCAAGGATGATCCATATTGCAGCATGTCAGAATTTCAGTCTTTTTTTTAAGGCTGAATAATATTTCAGTGTATGTATATAGTACATTTTGTTTGTTCATCTGTCGTTAGACATTTGAGTTGCTTCCACCTTTGGGCTACTTGTGAATAATGCTCCTGTGAACATGGGTGCACAAATATCTCTGTGAGCCCCTGCTTTCAATTCTTTTGAGCATATACCTCACAGTGAAATTGCTGGATCATATGGTAATTCTATTTTTATTTTGTTAAGGTACCGCCATACTGCTTTCATGGCAGCTACACCATTGTATGTTCATTTGCAGCAACAGAGCACAGGGTTCCCATTTCTCCACATTCCCTCCAACTCTTCTCTTCTCTTCTCTTCTCTTCTCTTCTCTTCTCTTCTCTTCTCTTCTCTTCTCTTCTCTTCTCTTCTCTCCTCTCCTCTCCTCTCCTCTCCTCTCCTCTCCTCTCCTCTCCCCTCCCCTCCCCTCCCCTCCCCTCCCCTCCCCCCCTCCTCTCCTCTCCTCTCCTCTCCTCTCCTTCCTTCCTTTCTTTTCTTTCTTTCCTTCCTTCTTCTCTTTCTTTCTTCTTTTTGTTTTTTGGAAATAGCCATCCTAGTGGGTATGAGGTGGTATCTCATTGTGGTTTTGATTTGCACTTCCCTAATAATTAGGGAGGTTGAGCATCTTTGCATGTTCTTATGGACATTTGTATATCTTCTTTGGAGAAATGTCTATTCAAGTCCTTTGCCCATTAAAAAAAATGGATTATTGTTGAGTTGCAGGAGTTCTTTATATATTCTGGACCAACCCTATTTTGATTAATAACATTCCAGACTGGTGGCTGGAGAAGCTGCTTTCTGGTGTTAGCTCTATCTTTAAGTAGCTGTGTTATGTTAATCCAGTGGTTCTCAACTGGGGGAGATTTTGCCATCACCTGTGGTCAGAGGTCAGGGATGCTATTAAGCCTCCCACAATGTAGAGGAAAGTGCCCCCACAACAAAGAGTGACCTGACCCAGGAAGCCAAACGTGCCAAGGCTGAGCAACCTGCGTAGAGCAAACCATGCCCCTCCTGGGGATGACAGTCCTCACCTGCATGGTGGAGGCTGGACTATGTGGTCATGGAGGCACCATCCTATTTTAATCTCCTGTGTGCTCACTCCCTTTCTATCAATTAAAAAAAATCTTTACTGGTCCTCTTCAGTCTACAATGGATGTTTACACAGTCTCAATTTTTGCTTAATCCACATCAGTTCTCAGTTTGTTGAGCTTCTGGTCCACTTTGGCAAAGCCGGCCAGGAACAAGAGGGAGCAGCGCCCTGACCACTCCTCCCTTGTACAGCTGAAGAGGCTGCACGTGTTGTGGTGGGAAGGCCGGAGCTTGTGGGTACAGGCTTGGATTCAAACCCTTGCTAGTCGAGCGACTTGAGGACAAGTGTGCTATTTACTCATCATGCATATTTCAGCTCACACCCATTCAGATTTGTGGGAACAGAGATGTCCGTAAGTCTAGCACTGCTCCCTTGAGGGACTCAAACAATCTTGACCCCATCTGAGCCTCAGTGCCCCCAGCTATGAGATGGAGACAGTAATAGCTGGCTCAGAAGCTGACGTAGGGTAAATGAGGAAGCCTGGAGAGCATACCCCAGCAGCGCTGCCTGGCACACGGCAGGCGCTCATGAGTGCTCACTGATGACTGAGTGGAAAGCTTCCTCCAAGAGTCTTCTTGGGAATAAAAAATCCAGTTATTCTACAGATTCTGGGAATCTGAGTAATAATGATCATGATCTGCAGAAATTCTATCATCTTCTTCATTCTGATCTACACCTGTGTATGGAAAACAGCCCCCTAGAAGTTGCAAATTCTTTCTCATGGTGTTCGGCCTAGAAGTCCTAAACCACGGATGTGTTATCATCGCAGGCACTGAAAAGATGGGGTTGTTTTCTCTCTGTTCAGCGGGCCAGTGATTGCTCTAAGGGAAAGAAGGGTCCCTTAGCGCGGGGAGTAAGTTTGGCCTAAATTGAATCATATCCTGGTGCCAACCCTCTGTGCTTGGTTATTAGTGGCCCCATCAGGGGCTGTCAACACTCACAGAGATATGTGGCTGGGGAAAAGCGCCTTTTCATTTAGAGCAAATTCCTTGAAGACTTTTCTTAAATTATTTCTTTCCCAAGAGTGGCTGGAAAGTGGTTATTCATTTAAATATTTACCATGGGGAAAATTTCTCACCGACTGCAGGCTCTCCTTGACTGAGGGACCTGAGACCTGAGGCTGTGGGAGTGTTTCTGCAGTTTCCTTTACAATTTGGAATTGCCTTTTGAAGCACTACCAAAATACAGAGCCGATGAAGCATCAGTCTTACACACATTGGGAGAACAAAGCCAGGTGTTTTGTAAGGAAGCCACGGCTGCCATGTAGTTAGTGAGGATTGAATGGTTTTTCACGCGGGCACTGAGCTATGGGCTCTCCTGTATTATCTCATTGCATCCGACAACCCTATGAGGTCGGACTCATTTGACAGAGGTGGAAACTGAGGTGTACAGGGATTCAGTCAATTGTCTACAATCCAGTATATCTGGTCAGTGGGGAGCCCGGGTCTTCCTGATTCCAAAATGTATGCTTTTAACCACCCTGTTATATTGCAGTGAATGACCCTACACTGGGAGAATGTTCAACTTTTATTATTTATGTTCTTTTTTAGTGTAGGTAGCACTAAGCTTAGAGAGGTCTTTTTGGAGGAAATGGGAAGAAAATGTCTATTCATTTCAAGGATGAATGCCAGGCTTTCAAGAATTAAAAATTAGGCTTATTGATGAGAGCTTTCAAGTCCCACAGCGGTGGTGCTGTGGTTAAATCAGCAAGGCTGTGTCATGCATATTTTCCTTTGCAGCTAGAGGTGAGGACACCATAGAGAGACAGCGGAAAGTCTGAGGACACAGCTTCCCTGGTGATGCTGTCCCTGGATGGTGTTTACAGGGAGGGTTCCGAGTGAGAATGGATGGCTATTTTCTGATCAGCCAGCCTGCCATTCCCAAGCTCGGCTTGGCCAAATGCAGAGAAATCTTGAGAGCCTGGGGAAAATGCTTTGGTCATGCACTGTTCCTTTTCCTCCGTTCTTTCCACCTTTTTTAAAGCTAAAAACTTAGTAGAATAAGCTCTTTAAAAATTGGTTTAATTGCAAAAGTAATACACACCTTTACAGAGTATATAGAAAATATAGGCAAGGAAACGGAAGAACACAGAGATAAACCATAATTCAACTGCCTAGCAATTAGCAGTCCCCACTAGGAAGATTTTGGGGTTGGCATTTCCAGCCTTTTTGTTATGCATGTGCACACCTCCCCGACTCCAGACACAAGATAAAAACATTTGGAGTTAGCAAAATAGAAAAAATAATGCGTATTTTGTTCTCACAGTATTTTTTTCTTTCTTCAACTTTTGAGTTCTGGGTACAGGTGCAGGGTGTGCAGGTTTGTTCCGTAGGTAAACATGTGCCATGGTGATTTGCTGCACAGATCATCCCATCACCTAGGTATTAAGCCCAGCACCCATTAGCTATTCTCCCTCCCCCCAGGCCCCACCAACAGGCCCTGGTGTATGTAGTTCTTCCCCATGTGTCCATGTGTTCTCATCTTCTGCTTGCTCCCACTTATAAGTGAGAATATTCGGTGTTTGATTTTCTGTTCCTGCATTAGTTTGCTGAGGATGCTTCCAGCACCATCCATGTCCCTGCAAAGAACATGATCTTGTTCCTCTTTATGGCTGCATAGTATTCCATGGTGTATATGTACCGCATTTTCATTATGCAGTCTACCATTGATGGGCATTGGGTTGATTCCATGTCTTTGTTATTGTCTCACAGTATTTTAAAAACTATTTTCTTAATATAATCAGCTCTTCTTTTTAATTTTCTGTTTCAGGCTCATCTCACTGTTGTACTATGTAGGCTGGTTGATGTATAGGTTGTCAGACATTCTCAGTTGAACTGAACACACATACTTGGGCTTTCTCTGATCTGTTCATTACCTCCTTGGTATGTATGGGGCAACTGTCAAGGGCAAGGTGTGTGTGGCATACACGATGTTTTGGAGGACTCGAGCCCAAAGACTGACACCCAAGGAGGTGACATGCATGTGAACACCCAGGAGTTTGAAGCTAGTGAAGACACCTCAAGATGGCTCACTAGGAGTTTACCAGCCTCGCTTTGTGAAGGTAGGGGCATTTGTCAGGGTCCTCATGGATGGGTGGTCTATTCTGGGGGAGGCGGTGGTGAGTAGAGGTGTGTCTTTCTAGATGACTGGGCTACCTGGGGCAAGGAGCCTGGGGCATGGTGGGGGTAATGGCTGGACCAGTCTGGCTGAGTGGAGGGACGAGAGGAGTTACCCAGTGAGTTCAGCCCAAGAGCCAGACCAGGCCCAAAGTAGGAAACACCTTGCATTCTGGACCAAAGTCTTGGAAATTTCTGGTTCTCACATTAAGCGGCACTGTGACCTTGAGCAACTGAACCAAACTCAGTCTCTTTCCATCCCATTCCATAAAATGGGAATAATGTATTTGGAACTACATGTATTCATTGGCCAGGATAATTGAATTTATAATAAAATTTTACCATCATAATGTGCCTAATAAACAACTCCCCTCTGGTTGTCTGTACAGTGGGTTGCACCACTGCCTGGCTCCCAGGGACACCTGGCATGGTGAGTGGAGCTGGGACAGAGCTCAGGGCAGGTCAGCGTCTTACCTGAAGCCACCACCTGTGACTGTGGGAATGAAGTCCACATCTGCGCACTCCTCCTCTCGCTGTCACGCTGCGTCCGTTCAGCTTTATGACATCTGGGGCACCCTGTGGTCAGAAGAGCCCCCTGACCTACGAAGCCCAGTTTCTGCTCCTGATCGACGGGGCTGACGACTCATCAGGATGTTGTGTTTTTTTGTTTGTTTGAGGTTTTTTTTTTTTTTTTTTTTTTTTTTTTTTGAGACAGAGTCTCGCTCTGTCACCCAGCCTGGAGTGCAGTGGTGCAATCTCAGCTCACTGCAAGCCTCCCAGGTTAACGCCATTCTCCTGCCTCAGCTTCCTGAGTAGCTGGGACTACAGGCAACTGCCACCACGCCCGGCAAATTTTTTGTATTTTTAGTAGAGACGGGGTTTCACCATGTTAGCCAGGATGGTCTCAATCTCCCGACCTCATGATCCACCTGCCTTGGCCTCCCAAACTGCTGGGATTATAGGCATGAGCCACCGCGCCCGGCCATCAGGATGTTTTTATAGGGAGATGACTACAATTTGCTGCAGGCACCTACAGTTCTTTGGAAATTTTTAGGAATCTCTAATTAGAAAGTGGTATCCCAGGAAGTAGGTTAAATTCAAGCACTCGGTCCTATTGGCGAGCGGTTTAGTGGGGATTAACTTGAATTGGAGGCAGACTTTGGCATGAGTTCAAGCCTTGGCTCGCTTTACCCGCTGATTGTGACCCCAGACAAGTCACCTGAGTCTTAGCCTCCTTGTCTTTAAAATGGGAGCAGTGGCCAGGCATGGTGGCTCACGCCTGTAATCCTAGCACTTTGGGAGGCTGAGGCAGGCAGATCACCTGAGGTCAGGAGTTCAAGTCCAGCCTGGCCAACATGGTGAAACCCTGTCTCTACCAAAAAATATAAAAATTAGCCAGGCATGGTGGTGCATGCCTGCAGTCCTAGCTACTTGGGAGGCTGAGGTGGGAGAATTGCTTGAACCCAGAAGGTGGAGGTTGCAGTGAGCCGAGATGGCACCACTGCACTCCAGCCCGGGCAACAGAGTGAGATCCTGCCTCAAAAAAAAGGAGGGTTAGTGACGCTTACGCCTGGGGAGGATGCAGGATTCCAACGTCTCGCATGTGGCAAGTCCTTTCCAGGGCCTCACCCCTCTCAGAGGCTCAACAGAGCCGGTTCCCTGCTTGACCGCCCTGTCTCTGTCGGCCGCAGGGGTGGTGTCCTGGCTGAGTCAGCCTCTGGCCCCACCTGGCCCTCTCCTTGAGGTCTGTGTGGCCTTCTCAGGACACTCGACTTTGGGGACCCAAGGTCCCAGCGTGCACGTTAACCCTTGTTAATGGGCCCTGTGGATGGGTCAGCTGTGAAAAGAGTTGTCTAGGACTTAGGGCTGGAGGCTGGTGGAGAGGCTTGGGATTTGCAGTGCCATCTCCAGCTGTCTTTCTAAAGCATGCAGGGGCTGTCATGGGTCTCAGATCACCTCACGTTCCCCATAAGCTGACTTAGACGCCTACATGATTGGTTGCATCTGCCTTTAATCTCCCCATTCTCGGAGGTTCAGGTGCAGTGTGGGCCTGATAATGAGGATGCCTCCCCCTGTGGTGGTTCTGGGAGAATGCTCCCCTGAGTGTGCTGCAGGGAGGTGATTTCTGGATTTCACAGACAGCCTGTGATCTTCATCTTCCAAAGGGGTACAGGTGATGGAAGAACAAGTAGTGATTGCTCCTACACATCTCCAGCCTGAGTGCACAGAACCAGAGGCTCTTCCAAGCCAGAAGATTCTGCAGCACGCACATCCTCCAACTCCATCCACCTGGGAGATGCAGAGCCTGGGGCTCGGGATCTTAAACGCCATCCTGAGGGTGCTTTCGGCTGGTGGAAACAGAGCCGGGGCAGACCCAGCTTCTCTCTGTGCATCCCAGGGCATTTCTGGACACCACAGAGAGACTTGAAAACGTGGCTCTCCAGAGGAAGGGGGAGACCTCGCTTGACAAATGCCTGCTCTGCACTGGGAATGTCACCTGTATTATCACATAGGAGCCAAATTTTGCAGGAGAGCAGAGGACGGAAGACATTGGCTCAAAGCCACATGATTGAATTCAAGACTGAGCCTGAAATATTTCTCAGTAGTAACGTCAGCTACCACCTTACGCACCATCTCAGTTTACCCTCCCAGTGACCCTACAGGAGAAATATTATTATTCCTACCTCACCGAGAAGGAAATGGAGGCTCAGAGGGATTAAGAAGCTTGCCCCAGTTTGCAGCAACAACACGCCTTGGTCAGGCACGGGGCGAGGTCCGCTCGACTCCTCAGTCCGTTCCCTCCTTACTGTGCTCTAAGTCTGTTCCCTCTGCACTGAGTAGGCACTCAAATGTATTTGATGTAGTTTGTCCCCCTTGCCAGTGATTTATGTTTATGAAAGTAATTGTCATAATGCATAAATGATGTAAGGTTTTATGTTGTGAAGCACTGTATGGTTTATAGGACAGCTCTGTAGTTTTTCACTTGATTCTCCCAACAGGGCTGTCTATATTTTTTGTAGATTTGGGATCTAGACCTAGAGAAATTCAGCTAACTTGCCCAAGGTCACAGGCCTGACCTTGACCTTGACCTTTGTCAGTGGTGGAGCTTGGTTCAACCTTTCTACCTTTTCAGCAGTTTGGTTACAGGAACCAACACAATTCTTCTTCATTTGCTGACAGCGGTTCAAGTTGCATTTCTGTCATTTACAATGGAGGATCCTGATGAACATCTGTGACATATGCTGGACTTGTGGGTGGGGAAGGCCTGGGAAGTCTCGCCAGCCTCGGTCGGGTGGCTGTCCTGAAGGAGGCTTCCTCAGCTGTCCTCAGGTGGGTCTGTGGTCCCTATGCTGGCTGGCAGGTGTCAACAGGACAGGGCCTGGTCAGTGCGTCCATTTCTAGTCTCTTCTCAAGGACAGAGGTTTCCTGACCACAACAGGAGAAGTGGAAACATTTCTAAAACAGAAATGTAGACAAACTGCTATTTTTATGCGGACTCGGTACTTTAAAGTAGAATAAAGAAATAGAGACTTTTTTAAAAAGTCTAATTTCTGACCTGACAATTCCCCTTTAAATACTTTATTACTTTTTAAAATTGCTTTCCGTGTCCCCAAGAAAAATTATCCCTATAGTGACAAATGGCTTGTTTGTCGTGGGATTCAATTGTGCTTATAGTTAACTAATATAAGAGTTTGGGCTAATATAAAAATGTTGAACAAAAGGTGCCTTTCTCTAAACCAATTATTCTTTCCTTTCCCATATTGCATTACCAGGGGCCACCATCATGGGACCTCGTATATTCCTTTTTCATGAGCCACATTTTATTTCTTTATCCTCTTTTCTGGGATTCCGCATTGCAGGCCCCATTGCCTACAGAGAGTAGACAGGAGCTCAGGTGAGGCAGGCCGGGGAGCGCCCAGGAGCACTGAGGCCATTTTGAGTGAAGATTTTCTCTCTGGAGCAGTTATTTGGGAAAAGATAAAAGCCGATTCTCAATTGATTCTCATCCTTCTTTAGATTGATTTAACCGTGAATCCGGTTCGCCCTCCTTCTCCCATAGGGGCCTGGAAATGGACCGTGCCGCCTTCTGAGCCCAGAGTGTCAGCTCTCGCCTTTCCCTCACTCACCCCCTCACCTCCCTCTGTCTGCTTACTGCATTTTTAATATTTTGTTTTCTTTCCTTAAAAAAAATGAAAAAAAAAAAAAAAGAATCCTTTCTCCAACTGGTGTTAAGAAAGCATGCAGGAGATCAAAGCCACAGATCCAAAGATGCGTTTCCGCTGCTCATCTTTGGCCCATTTAAATATTTTAGCAAATAGATGTCAAGTCAATAAAGCTACCAGATCAGAGGATGCCT
Source organism: Homo sapiens (assembly GCF_000001405.40). NCBI lineage: Eukaryota > Metazoa > Chordata > Mammalia > Primates > Hominidae > Homo > Homo sapiens. Next base: position 3,060,418 of record NC_000002.12, on the reverse strand, counting down.
GTAAATTATTTGTAGAAAATAATTCAACTCTCTGGATATTCATTGTTATCTCCCCCACGAAACACACCCACACCGCAAGAAAACGTCCGGCAACACCCCACTGTCTCAAGGCGAGGAAGATAAATAGCAGCTGAACACAGGCCTGGCTGGTTCACGGAGGGAGAGACGTGATTGATGACACTGGTTTGAGTAACCTGCGCTCCATCCTCACCCACGCTCCCACCGATGACAGCCCAGGAGCCGATGGGGAGAACTTGAGCATCGCCTGACCCACAGCCAAATCCTCACGCCCGGGCTGTGGGCTCCTCAAGGCTGCAAAGTCTCCGGGCACTTTTCATGCTTCCACCACCACGCCTGGTATTTGGCATATAGTAGAAACTAAATTTTGAGAACTCCTAATTTATGAATGGGCAGAACCTTCTCCCTTTCCCCCTGGGGTCTGCTGTGTAGCTCCTCACTCCGCTGGGTGCCGGGGAGGCTGATCTCAATGGATGGCATCTGTCTGGCCCCTTGGCCTCCGCGGAGGGTGCCGAGAAGGCGGAGATGGGGTGGGCATGTATGCTCCCAGCTCCTTCCAGCCGGGCTGCCCCACGGAGCGGGAGGGCCAAGGCCTTCTCCCCGGTCACGGCCTCTCCCCTTGCCCTGTAAGCCTGGACCGCTGCTGCCGGCCCCCGGGGCCTCATCATCCTGCTTTGTTCCTTGCACTCTGTCCACGCCGTTGTGAACAGTGCCTCTGATGCACGGTGGCAGGTGCCATGCGTTTTCCGCTGAGATCCTGACCGGCACGATTAACAGCGTTCCAGGCGGTGGTGGTCTCGTCTGTTTGTTTCTGGGAGAGGCTTATTTTTACTCCTTTGAGAACATAGATTTAGGAGGTTGGTGAGGAAATAGTGTTCTTTCTCTGGGGCTAGATTTGCCAGATAATTTTTCCATTTCCCTCCGGGTCTTTGAGCCGCACTCTGTTCTGTGTTGAGGGCGCGCTGGGTACTGTAGGGGGTATGAAGTCAGGCAGGATTCCTGGCTCGAAAGGGCTTCTTGCAGGGTGCAGGGGCCTGCACGCACGCTTCCACGGACCGTTCCGCACCCACGTGGCCCCCGCTTGCTGCTGTCGCCTGGGCTGCCTGCTTTCTTCTCTGAGTGGGACTTTCCTGAAGGCGGAGCTGAGCGTTTCTCATCTGGGCCCTCCCAGGAAAGACTGAAGTCTGGCTCCTGAATCTGTACCCAGGAAAGATTTGTTGAATGAATGCTCAGGGTTGAGGAGATGCCAATACCAAATTTTGCTTCTTTTCAGAGCCAGGGTAGGTCCCACGATTAAGCATTTAGATGCTTCTGCACCCAATGTGATCAGCACTGTTAGAACTGCAGGTTTTAATAGACTACCAATGGTCTGGCTGATTCAGATACGATAATATGCAATTTTCCTCCCTGAAACAAGTTTTCTGATATAAACTTTGTTACTGTATAGAAGTAACAAAGTAAGCCAGGTGCAGTGGTTCACGCCTGTAATCCCAGCACTTTGGGAGGCCAGGGCGGGCAGATCACTTGAGGTCAGGAGTTCGAGACCAGCCTGACCAATATGATGAAACCCTGTCTCTACTAAAAATACAAAAATTAGCCAGGTGTGGTGGGGGGTGCCTGTAATCCCATCTACTCGGGAGGCTGAGGCAGGAGAATCACTTGAACCTGGGAAGCGGAGGTTGCAGTGAGCCAAGATCGTGTCATTGCACTCCAGCCTGGGCAACAAGAGTGAAACTCTAAAAAAAAAAAAAAAAAAAAAAAAAGTAACAAAGTAAAATACTAGTTACTGGCTTTAAATATTCCATAGAAACTAAACCATTAACAATAGAAAGTTGTCAGAAACGTGAATTTCTTCCAAGTGTGTGTCATATTTGTCAAGCTCTGTGTCGAGATAGGAGAACCCTGCCTGTTATCTTACATTAAAAGGAAGGCAACTGTGTAAAATGCTCATAAAAGTTCTCCTATTGTTTGTGATCATGGGTAATATAATTTATATTTTCCATTTTAGAGGCTTCAAATCTATACATGATTATCACTAACAATAATTCACCATGTTCAAAATCAGAAAGCCTGTCATTTTATATCTTTCAAGCCCCATCTCTTTAATTTGAGATTGCTGGGTGAGCCTCTCTGCTGAGATGATATACTTTAACATTTAATATCTTTTTCACTGGATGAAATGATGAGTATTTTTGAATCCCTTGCCCATTAATTAGTGGTGTTGCACTCCTGTTGAGAATAGAGAGGTGTGCATATACATTCTTTTTAGAAAACTCATTGCAACATTCTAAAAATTGGAGTTACTATAAACAGAATTTTCAAAAGTAGAAGTGAGGGGTAAGGAAGTGGGAAGAATGACATGATAACATCAATACCACCACCATCACCACCATCACCACCACCACCACCACCACCACCACCACCACCACCACCACCATCATCTTTGCCATCACCATCACCACCATTATCATAATCCTTGTCTTCATCATCATTATCACCATCACCATCACCACCACCACCACCATCATCATCGCCATCACCACTACCATTATCACCATCACCACCACCACCACCACCATTATCTTTGCTGTCACCATCACCACCATCATCATAATCCTTGTCTTCATCATCATTATCACCATCACCACCACCACCACCACCATTATCTTTGCTGTCACCATCACCACCATCATCATAATCCTTGTCTTCATCATCATTATCACCACCACCACCACCACCATCATTATCATCACCATCTTCTCCATCAGGACACTAGTAACAATACTGACACTTATTGACCCCTTACTCTGTGGCAGACACTGTGGTAAGCACGTTTCATGTAATCTTTCACCTTTGCTATAACCTTTGAGGTAGGTAGAGTCTTACTGCCATTTAACAGATGAGGAATATGAAATACAGGGAAGTTTAAATAAATTGGCCAAAGTCTCTAAGCCAGCAACTGGTGGAGCTGAGATTTAAACCCAGCACCCTGACTCTAGAATGTGTTTTCTTAAAGCATCTGGTATAGCTGTGCACACACTGGCGTTTCATTTGTATAATAACACCTTATCATTAAAAGGCAGGCTAGGCGTACATAACCCCTTTGCTACAGCTAGTGAAACAAAGTCCCAGACAAGGAGGAAACAGCTGTATTTGTCTTCTCTGTGCAACTTCCCTTCTTTGCACAATCCCTCTGCTTCCTTCTCTTCAGAGGTGTCCGTTCCCCTCATATCTTTCACTCTCAGAGTTCTGAGCGCTTGACGGCCCAGTGGGAAAGGCACACAGGACTCATCTTCATCACTTCTGCCTCCATGATGCAGAAGGATGCTCCCCATTTCCCAAACCGTCCTGAAACTCTGTCCTTGGGCAACTTTGTCCTACTCTGACACTGAGTGTGGCCACAGGACTTGCTTTGCTGATGGGACAGAGATAATCTTGATGTCCACCGAGGATGGAAAAGGTGCTCGTGCATTTCTGCCTCTTCCTCTGAACCCCTGCCTGCTGAGGGAATTGAGAGGCAAGGGGAGGAGAGCTGAGTCCTCCATCCAGGCCCAGGATGGTAATCTCGGGTGCATGGGCAAATCCAGCCAAGAGCAGTGCACCTGCCCTGCAGGCACTAGACCTGTGAACAAGAATAAATGATTGTTTATTTTTATTTTTATGTTTTTCTATGGCTTTGGCATTTCTTTTTTTTTTCTTTCTGCTTCTGTTGCCTTTTAAAAAACTTTTAAGTTCAGGGGTACAAGTGCAGGTTTGTTCCACAGGTAAACTTGTACCATGGGGGTTTGTTGTACAGACCATTTCTTCACCCAGGTACTAAGCCTAGTAACCATTAGTTATTTTTCCCAATCCTCTTCCTCCTCCCACCCTCTGACAGGCCCCAGTATGTATTGTTCCCCACCATGTGTCCATGTGTTCTCATCATTTAACTCCCACTTATAAGTGAGAAGATGCAGCACTTAGTTTTCTGTTCCTGAGTTAGTTTGCTAAGGATAATGGTCTCCAGTTCCATCCATGTCCCTGCAAAGGACATGATCTTATTCCTTTTTTATGGCTGCATAGTATTCCATCATTTATATGTACCACATTTTCTTTTCTTTTCTTTTTCTTTTTTTTTTTTTTTTTGAGACAGAGTCTCGCTCTGTCGCCCAGGCTGGAGTTCAGTGGCACAATCTCGGCTCACTGCAAGCTCCACCTTCTGGGTTCACACCATTCTCCTGCCTCAGCCTCCCGAGTAGCTGGGACTACAGGCACCTGCCACCACACCCAGCTAATTTTTTGTATTTTTAGTAGAGACAGGGTTTTACTATGTTAGCCAGGATGGTCTCAATCTCCTGACCTCATGATCCACCTGCCTCAGCCTCCCAAAGTGCTGGGATTACAGATGTGAGCCACTGTGCCCAGCCATATGTACCACATTTTCTTTATCTAATCCACCATTCATGGGCACCTAGGGTGATTCTATGTCTCTGCTATTGTGAATAGTGCTGTGATGAACAAACGCATGCATGTGTCTTTATAACAGAATGATTTATATTCCTTTGTGTATATACCCAGTAATTTGATTGTTGGGTTGAATGTTATTTCTGTCTTTAGATCTTTGAGGAATCGTCATACTGTCTTCCACGATGGCTGAACTAATTTACACTTCCACCAACAGTGTATAAGTGTTCTCTTTTCCCCACAATAGTTGTTATTTTAAACCACTAAGTTTGGGGTGGCTTGTTATGCAGCACTATCACGGCAATTGGCAGCTGATACAGCATCTAGATAATTTCCAAGTTATGATGGTTCAACTTAATGATTTTTTGACTTATAATGAATTTGTTGGGGTATTAAATTCATTTTTGACTTATGATATTTTTGATTTACAATGGATTTATTGGGATGTAACCCCATCTTAAGTTGAGGAGCCTCTGTATAACTGGAATCAAAGCCTTGCAATAAAGGAACAGAATAGGACACAGATGAGCTGTCAGGCACGGGGCTGTGGTAGGGATGGAGGATGTGCACACAGGAGGCCCTCCCAAGCCTCTGGCTGCCCCTTGAGGTCCAGGTGGCTCTGGGCCCTGGGCTGCCCTCCCCACCCTGGAAAAGGCTGTCTTTGTCTTTCTCCCCATTGCACTGACTCTTCAATCTGATGCCCTACTTTTATTTTCTGTCCAGGCAATTGTTAAACTTTAGAGAAAGACATAAATGCATGTGCATAGAGGTTGTGAAAACAGATAGTGTGTGGGGTAAAGTGACTGCCCACAGACTGGCTCTGTCTTTATTCCTTGAAAAGGGGCTGACGTGAGCTAGAATTAGCAACTCCTTGAGACAAGGTAGCCGCTTGTGTCTAGCTGAACACTCACCGAGAGTGATGCCACCCAGTAACCCTCCACTCGGTGCAGAAATGCAGGCCAAAGAGCCCGGGGATTCAGGTGTTTGTGCAGCCCTTGGAGCTGGGGGAGCTGGGTTCTGTTTTCAGCCTTAACTCTGTTTTACGGTGGCACCTGGGACAAGTGACCCATCCTCTCGGCACAGACACCTGACCACCTGTGTTGCTGCCATTCTTCCTTCCTGTCCCCCGCTGCATTTTTCCCAGTGTTTGCCGACATGCATCTGATGCTGCTGGCATCCTGCTGCTCCTCCGCCTCTGGCAGCTGGGGACAGAGGCCTGGACTACCCCCTGCTACCCCCACCCTGGGATGATGCCTGGAGTGCTCACTGTGGAGTGAGCACAGCGCCCCACATAGGAACAGCAGAGATTGGGGTCACTGTACCTGAGGTTCCAGTGGGGAGAACCCCCTCCCACCTGTTATCTGGCTAAGTGGCCTCAGCAGCGGCCGTGCTGCCTCCCGGTTGTCTTCTGTGGAGGAGCAGAGCTACGTCAGTGGTGCCTACTCTTCTCCACCCAAGAAACACCTTTTATTATTATTGTTTTTAACTCTTCTCTCTCTCTCTTCCTCTAATTTCAGGAGCAGAAGACATTTATTAACTAGATGATAATGTTTATTAGGAAATTGTTCTCTTTTCATCAACGAAATTTACACTCCTCATCAGAGCTCATGAGTAGCAAGGTCCGTGACGTTACCTTCCCACAGCGACAGTTTCCCCACTTGGGAAGAGCAGGTGGTTCCATGAGCTCCAGCAGCGCTGGGGAAGGTGCGTCCTCTTGCCCTGGGCTGGAGGCTGTGGTGTCGCTGCTGCCTTCATTGCTGAGGGACCTGAGGACCAGGCTGAGTGAGACTCACTCCCATTTCCTTCAGCTCACACGTACTGTTTTTTCAGGAATACAAATTTTAGGTGTTCCTTCCCATTTCCTAAATGCCCCAATCTGTGGGCCCAGGACAAATGGAAATACAGGACCTTTTGGAAAAAAATTATTAAGAATTTCAAAATGGGACAGCAGATCCTTAAACCAAGTATGGGGCCTTCTGAACACAGTGGCCTGTTCTGGGCTGTTCCGTTCCTGCTTCTCTCAGTGTTTCTAGAGAGGCATAATTTATTAAGTGGGTGTTCTAGGTAATACTGGATAGATAATGTTTCCAAAGCGCATGACAAATCAGGGTGCCAAATATTATATAGGAAAATAGGAATTGCTTAACGAAAATTTTCCTCATTCATTTTCTGAAGGTGATTTTTTTCTCTTTCTACAATCAGGTGATGTAAGTATTTACCATGCATACTGGTATTGGTACTAGTAACAGTGGCATTAGTAAAATCATTAATTTCATTGCAAATATATTTTTGTTTACATAAATATCAATGCCATTAGCATGTGGAACTATTACAAACTTATGTTCTTCCTTCCTACCTCTTTCTCCCTCCCTCCCTCCTTCCTACTTTTCTTCCTCCCTCCCTCCTTCCCACTTTTATTCCTCCTCATGGGGTGAGAGCTGAGAAGAGAGCGATCAGTGCAAGAGAAAGGGGTGACAGGGCTCATCACCTGCACCCCACTCCCCAGATGTTCATGCTGCTCGCTCCCCCCATGAACTGGGCTCCTCCTCCAGATGTTCACCCTGCCTGGATCCTTCCCTCACCTGGACTCCTCCTCCCAGGTGTTATGAGGACTAAATTATATAAAGCAGGTGACGTACTTTGTCAATTGTTTGCTTCATAATGCATGCCCAGCTAATGGAGGTCATTTTTGTTGTTAAGAAAATGGCAAAGAAACCAAGACACTGTTGAGTGTGGCAGGTTTGCCAGGCAGTCCTTTGGGGTTTCTTTCCGGTTCCATCTGTGGAAGGTTGCGTGGCAGGCTGGAGGGGGGCAGTGCGCATATTGACATGGTGCCGGGATCATAGTGCAGTCTTGACTTTGCGAGGGAGTCTGATTGTCAGGACAAGGACAGACATGCAGGTGGGAACCATGACCCTCACTTGCTCCCAGCCTGCGAGGTTGCGTCCTGTGAATCCCGTGGTCCCGGCAGTGTTCCCCAGGAACTCTTTGCCTTTGTTACCCACTTGTACCCTGGTTCTGCTCATTCTACTTTCTTGGCATAAATTCATTGCACCTGAGACTCTATCAATTACAGAATCAATTTCACTGGGTAATGGAGAAGAAACAGCAGGATAATTCTCACCAAAATGACCTTTATGTGAATACTTAAAGTTTTACTAAAAAATTAGAGCTATTCTGAAATCCTCCCACAGTATCAAACACCTATCTAAGGCTATCCTCACGATTTTATTCTCCTGGACATGCTCACTCTTTTGATACTTGCTGTATACAGGGCCTATTAGAGAATGCTGTTGGCATGGGCTGCTCATTTTTTAGGTGTTGCATCCTGGAAGACACGAATCATTCTGAAAATCTCAGGTGTGCAGTTTTTTTGCAGCACTGAGCACCTGCATTTGTCAAAACTCTTTTGACAGTTTATGTGATCCCTTTCACCTAACCTTAAGATAAATCCAGGAAGCCTGAGGGGGACGTGGGCTCCGGGGACAGCTGGTGGCAAATGCTCTCCTTGAATCCCTCCCCCTTCCCATCTGGTGGGTCTGCTCACCTCTTCTTGGCTTTATTCTTGAACAAGCTTCTCCAAGTGGCAGTAAGATGGCTACTGGCTGCCGTGTGTCACTCATGCCTAGAGAGATCTCAGAGAAAAGAGACAGCCTTTCACTTTCAGATCTGCCCAAATTCCTAAGGAGATGCTCACTAATTGGCCTGCTTTGAGTCCCATGCTTGCCATGAAAACACATGGCCTAGGTGGGAGGTGGTGGGAGTGGGGGTGAGGGCCAAGGGTGGTCAAACCCAGACAACACGGATGGGTGGAATTGTTCTAGGCTGGAGGAGAGGGCTTTCTCCGGAGGAAAGAATACTGAACAGACAACACTAATGTCAACCACGCTAGTTATTCCAAAGGGGATCATCTTTTTAAAATAAAAAATTTAGAAAGACAGAAGGATTCCAAGGAGTGGGCCCCAGAGTCTCAAGTTTTGGGTACCATATAGCATTGAGGTATTTTGTAAGCAGAAGGAACGGTTTCCTCTTTGATCTGGAGATTTTCATACTATTGAATCCTCAGAAGGTTTAGTGATATATATCAACCAATCAGGGATAGTCACTAAGTCACTGGCACTGCGTATGAGATGCATGGTCAATCAGAGTCATAAGATGTGGTTTCATTACTAGGAGTTGTGCAAATACCAATAACGGCAGCAAAACAACTGTGAAAAATAGAGTCCAGGAAAATAATGGTTTGCCAGAATTTGTAATATCGACCGTTGGTTGCTGGGGGAGTTGGGAAGCTAGGGAGAGGTGCGAAGGCTGGGACAGAGGGGAGGGCCCTGGGAGACGTGAACCCAGTGCTGGAGGAAGGGCAGGGTGAGGAGAAGAGCTGATCAGTCCTGATCAGCCACAAGGCCTCCTCAGGGCCTGCCCTTCCATCCTTTCCCTGCCTGGGCCGTGGTTTGCTTTCACTGTGGCTCTGAGCCATCCATCGTGTAGGAGTTTGTGGGTTCCACTTAAGGGAGAACTTGTAATGTTTTTGGCTTTGTCATTTGTTGTGCTTCTGCAGAACTGCATTTGAAGTTTCCTCTTGCTTTGCTCTGAGTTGGGTGATGTAATGATCACATCCTGGCCATCAAAGCTGCTCTCTGAGCACCGTTTGCAAGAGAGAGCTTATCAAGACATGGGCTTCTTGTCTAGTGGATTGGGCCGTCTTAGTCCCTCTTCTTTGCTTGTAGCAAACTTCCAAGCAAACTACTTGAAACTGGGTAGTTTAGAAGAAAATGAATTTCTTTCTTAAGGTTACAGAGGCTGAGAATTCCCAGGTTGAGGGGCCGTGCCAGGTGAGAGCCTTGTTGCTGTGGAGACTCTCCGAGGAGTCCTGAGGCAGCCCAGGGTGTCCCTGGCAGGGAGGTTGGGCGTGCTCACGTGCCCAGGCCTCTCTTCTTTTTATAAAGCCACCTGTCCTACTCCCATGACAACCCGCTAATCCATTTATCCATCGGCCCACGAGTGGTGAATCCATTCAGGAGGGCAGGGCCCTCAAGACCCAGCCACCTCTTAAATTCCCCACCCCTTGATACTGTCCTGTTGGGATTAAATTTCAACTTGAGTTTTGGAGGGGACAAATATTCACACTATAGCATAGACCACGGTGTCATAGTTGTTATGCTTGGGGAAAATGAGTCTTTTTGTTTCAACACCTTGAGATGAAAGAGTGTGAGTTTTTAATCTTTATTTTCTCATGTCATCTAGGCAAGATTTTTGGCTAATTCATTTTAGCATTGAAACATCGATTATATAGCTTAGACCTGTGTTTATGTAAAGAAAGACAACTAGTATTAGCAGAGTGTATATTGTTACAGACATTGGTTATTAATGGCTACAGTAGGATTTTTACAAGTTGACAGATTGCTAAAAATGTTAAAAGGTTTTTGGAAATCATTCTGTCAGAGTTTTGAGGAAACTCAGTGAGGATCACCTCTCGATAGTCTTCCTGGAGGAGGGAAGCGTTGGTGCGGGGGCAGAGGAAAATGCCAGTCTTCTGTTTCCTGGTAACAGAAGGCAGTCCGGTGTCAGGACACCTGAGTCCTCCATTCAGTTCTGATGCCGACTGTGGCTTGGGCAAGTTTGTAGAACTTTCTGGCCTCAAAATTCTTCATCTCAAAATAGGGTACTGGATCCTTTTTTCCCTAAATTCATATGGTTTTGTGATTGTGCCTCATTGAAGTAGTTCAATTCTCTGCCACTTAATACCTAAATGTGAAGGTGGCCTGTTTTCTCCAGGGGTCAGGTGCGGGTCTCATCTGCTGGAAGGTGGAGGAGATGAGCCTCTGAAGGCATCAGAAGGTCTCTTAGCACTGAGGCCACTCATCACTAGGATTCTTCTCACTCAGAGAGGAAGAGCCTCCTTCCCCATGCAGCCGGAGATCCGAGGCTAAGCTTCGGTGTTGGCTCTGCTGTTACCCAGCCATGTGCCCTGAGCACACCCTTCGCCTTCTGGGGCCCAGTGTCTTCCACAGTACGGTGAGGGCTGGGCCGCGTGACCTTGAAGGTGGCCTCTGACTTCAGCGGAGTTTCTGCTTACTTGCTTTACTCTCTCCTTAAGAATCACACTCAGAAGCTGCAATCCTTCTTCGTTATTGTATTTTGAGATAGCTTCTCATTGCCCAAAGGAGGTGCAAAATGCATCCAAGTTTCTTTTTAAAATAAAAGTGAATTAACATTTGATTTTATTTGGATGTACAGATACTGATAGAGAAATATGTTTAGATGTATTTTGAGGTGAAAAAAGCAGGTAAGACTTTGTGTACCTGACGCCATATATATATATATATATATTTTTTTTTTTTTTTTTTTTGAGACAGAGTTTTGCTCTTGTTGCCCAGGCTGGAATGCAATGACACGATTTTGACTCACTGCAACCTCTGCCTCCTGGGTTCAAGCGATTCTCCTGCCTCAGCCTCCCTAATAGCTGGGATTACAGGCACTCGCCACCACATCCAGCTAATTATTTATCTTTTTAGTAGAGATGGGGATTCATTATGTTGGCCAGGCTGGTCTCGAACTCCTGACCTCAGGCGATCCACCTGCCTCAGCCTCCCAAAGTGCTGGGATTACAGGCGTGAGCCACTGCGCCTGGCCCCTGATGCCATTTTTGTAAAAAGAACAAACTTCTCTGAGCATATTTTTAGGGGAAAAGTCTGGAAGGATAGACACCAGAACTTTCCCAGTGGCAGTAAGATTTGGGGTTGCTTAATTTACTTTACTTTTGTTTTGTTTTGTTGTATTTTCTACCTTTTCTATAATGACCATATTTTACTTAGAAAAAAATTGGGGGTGTGAAATTTTATTTTGTTGGTTTTATGACTTTCTCCTTCTGAGCATATTGGGACATGAGGAGAAACATGGGATCTATCCATAGAAACAGGAGATTAACCAGCACCAGGGACCAGTCCCGGGCCCCCTAGGACTGGTTTCCACCTTCTTGGGAAGTACAATTTCTTCAGAACCTTCATGAGCGGGACTCGCCTCTCCCTGCCAGTCTCACCTCGGCTCCTCCACACTGACACATCCCCCGTCCCCCTGAGAACCCACCTGCTCCTCATGGCCCACACCTGCAGAGCACCACCCCCTCCCCTGGGGCCTCCTGCCCTGTCCCTCTGCCTCCCAAGTAGCAAACACCTCATTTTCTGCTTCAGACTTTCTTCCCAGAGAAGTCACCCTCCCCACGACATTCAGATCAAACAAGGCGGATGAGTGAGCTGTTTGCCACAGTTCCTCAAGCCCGTTGATTGTGTTGATGTTCTTCTCACACCTGTCCTGTGTCTCTCCCCAGCTCATGAGTGGTGGGAGGTAGGGGCAGTCCCTCAGCCAGTCACATCCCTGGTGCTGGCACAAACCTGGCACATAGAGGAAGCTGGATGCATGTTCACAGGACACATGTCGACCACTGTCAGGGACAGCCCTCGAGGCAGTTTCTATTGTCTTCGATGTGTGGCCTACCGCTTTTGAACTCTGCATGAGAATTTTAAATATACTCAGCATAATAAACTCATGTATCCATTGCCCACCTTCAATCATTCTGATATTTCATCAGTCTTATTCTATCTACCTACCACTTCTTTTCCTTTTGTAGGAATATTTTCCAGCCAATCCCAGATAGACCATTTTACCCATAATACTCCAATTTATCTTTAGAAGTTAATTTTTTAAACGTAGCATCATGGCACCTAACAAAACTAGCAGTGTATTAATATCATCGATGTATGGTTCAACTCTCCCTGGCTGTCCCTTGCAGACAATTGGATATAATTTTGTATTTGTGAAGACACACATGCCTGAGGGAGGGAGGGCACACAGGTGAGGAGAAAGGCTTCGGGTCAGGAGCTTTGGAACATGGGCCTCACTTGACCACTCAGGCACTGGGAGCCTTTGGTGAGACTGTTGGATTCCAGATCCCAGGTGCTTGATTGGTTATTGTTAGAGAATGTTATTAGTCAGCATTCTCTAAAGGTACAGAACTAATAGGATAGATGAACAAATTAAGGGGAGTTTTTAGGAGAGTTGACTCATACGATCCCAAGGTGAAGTCCCACAATAGACCATCTGCAAGCTGAAGAGCAAGGAAGCCAGCCCAAGTCCCAAAACCTCAACAGTAGGGAAGCCGACAGTGCAGCCTTCAGCCTGTGGCTGAAGGCCCAAGACCCCCTGGCAAATCACTGGTGTAAGTTCAAGAGTCTCAAAGCTGAAGAACTTGGAGTCTGATGTTCAGGGGCAGGAAGCATCCATCGTGGGAAAAAGAGGAGGCCAGAAGACTCAGCCAGTCTAGTCCTTCTGCATTCTTCTGCATGCTTTATCCTAGCCATGCTGGCAGCAGACTAGATGGTGCCTACCCAGACTGAGGGTGGCTCTGCCTCTCCCAGTCCATGGACTCAAATGTTCATCTCCTTTGGCAGCACCCTCACAGACACACCCAGGAACAATACTTGGCATCCTTCAGTCCAATCAAATTGACACTCAGTATTAACCATCACAGAGAACAGCATTGTGCTTGCTTGAAAATTGAGGAAAGAAGCATGTTATTACTATTACTATAATTTTTGTGTACATAGTAGGTGTATATGTTTATGGGGTACATGAGATGTTTTGGTACAGGTGTGCAATGTAAAATAAGCACACGGCAATTAGGTTGATGATTCCCTGACGTGCAAGGGTCACCCCCTAGAGCCAAGGCCCGAAGGTGGATTTGCAGGGGGCTGTCAGTTTCCTAGATGTCCAGGTGCACTTGCTGAGGGCAGGGCAGGCTCTCCTGAGCTTCCTGATGTCTGCAGATAGAGCAGGATTTGAATAAGAGACCTCGGCCATCCCGCAGGGACAGTCTGTCTCGGAGATCTTGGGGATCTCTGAGAAGGCCCATGGCCTTGATTTGTAACGCATCCCAGTATCTGCCAGCCCCACTAAAGCACTGCTATGGCGACGGGGAGTGCAGGGAACAGTGAGACTCACAAAGCCATGGAGGTACCGCAGCGGCCTCGGGGAGGCTTTCCTTTCCCACACGGCACTGCATCTGTCATTTAGGGGATGTTCACATATTTCCCTTCTTAAAAAACGTGGTTTTGGCTCCCTGTGTGGGAGCCGGTGCCTGCCTGGTGCACAGCAGGTGCACAAACCCTTTACCCACCCACGTCCCTCCCATCCTATCCCGTGCTCCATGGTGAGCTCAGGGCAGGGGTCCCTCTCCCTCCGAGCCCTGGCTGTGAGCCCATAGCCCCTGCTTGGAGGAGCGTGGGGTTCATCGCCCCCACCAGGCGCTGAGCAGGGTGCTGGCCACTCATCCTGGGAGCTGACGACCGTCATCATAGCTGCGGCTGCAGGATGAGGAGCTGGGTCTGACCCAAAGCAGGCTCCCGGCGTGGCCCTTACGCACATATGCACATACATAAACATTACACACCATATATATCCACACACCACACAACACATGCATACACACAACACTCACAGTATGCACACCACACAACACAAACACTATACACACACTACACTCACACCACACACCTACACACATTACACATCACACATCACATACCAGACACATATATGCAAACCACACACCACACATCACACACCACACACATGCATACACATACATTGCATACATACACACCACACATACAATAAACACACCACACACCACAAACACTACACACACACCACACACCACATATATAAACCCATGTCACACATATCCACACACCACACATCACACATCAAACATCACACATATACACCACACACATACATACACACCACATACACACCCCACACTACACGCATACACACCAGACACATGTGCACACATTTCCACACATATGTACACAAGCCACACACATACACACCACACACATACACACATGCACACACAGCACACATACATAACACACACACACACACCACACACACCATACAATGCACACCACACATACATACACACACATGCACACACACCACACACACCACACATGTGCACACCACACCTACATACACACACGTACACATGTATGCACACACCACATATCCACACACATACATACCACACATACACACACATGCACACACACCACACATATACATACCGTACACATACATGCCACACACATACACATGCACACACACCACACACACGCACACCACACCTACATGCACACACCATACACATGTACATACATATACACCACACACATATGCACACACACCACACACATACACATGCACACATACATTCACACACATACGTGTCACCTATGTGTACACAAGCCACATACCATATCACACACACACCAGACACTTGGCACACACACACATCACACACATGTACAGACACACACCAGAGATGCACCACACACTCATACACACATATCACACGTGCCACACACACCACACACACATTCATACACATACATATACCACACGGACCACACACAGGTGTGCACACACAGACCCCCCCGTCCCCACTACCCACACAGTGCTCTCTTCAGGATAAGCTCATTTTTGTAGTGAGAGTTTCTGAGATGAGGCTCTAGGGAGATACGCACCCAGCGTGGCTGAGCCTGCTGTCTCACTGTGGCGGAGGCAGTGACCTGAAGACCTCCTCTGTTGCTCAGGAGGGTGTGCAGTGAGAGCTGGTCCTGGAGGTGCAGCATGACGGTCATTGGCCAGTGAGGACATGGAGCCCAGGCAGGTTCCTGTGCTTAGAAAGCAAAAAAGTGTGTGCGCCACTGCAGGCAAGGATTGTAAACTTTCCCTACTGTGGAGCGTGTTTATTCTTCCCTTCACCGTTCCTCCCCCTTCCTGCTGGGGTAAAGGTCACCGAAAATGATCGTCCAACTGTGGACAACCAGGCAGGACTAAAGGTTGCTATGTGATGCCCATGAGAGATGCGTCAGGTGCAGGAAGCCCCCCACAAACCCTCCTAGACTAAAGGCGGCAGTGCGGTGCCCATGAGAGACAAGTCAGGTGCAGGAAGCCCCCCACAAACCCTCCTGGACTAAAGGCGGCAGTGCGGTGCCCATGAGAGACAAGTGAGGTGCAGGAAGCCCTGCAAACCTTCCTGGACCCCTGCAGAGCCACCTGCCCCCACAGCTGGCTCAAATCCACCCTGACACACCCCAGCCAGGGTGTGTGGCCACCCAGGGAGGAAGAAGGAGAGAGACGCTCTGGCCAAGCATCAGGCAGCACCTGCCTCCCTGCACCCTGGCTGCCTGAGAGTTCCTGGACAATGCCGTGCCCAGCAGTGCCGCACAGAGACCAGAGGTGGAGCACGCTTCCCTGTGCCTGTGGCTATTTGTGTATTCCTTGCAGTAATGCCTGTTCAAACCCTTCACCCCTTTCTTTTAATGGGGCTAGTTGTCTTTTTATTGTTGAGTTGAAGAGTTCTCTATATAGTCTGGATACCAGATCCTTATCAGACACGTGACTTGCAGATATTTTCTTCCATTCTTTGGGTTGTCTTTTCATTCTCTGAATAGTGTGCTTTGGAGCAGGAAAGTTTTTTAATGTTGATGATGTCCAACTTCTCGATTGCTTTTTTTGTTGCTTTTGTGCTTTTGGTGGCGTGTCTAAGGAACCATGGCCTGATGCAGTCATGACAGTTTACGTGTGTGTTTCCTTGTAAGCATTTTATAGTTTCAGCTCTTCCGTTCAGGCTTTTATCCAGTGAGAAATTCAGTATGGCTCTTTGAACAGGGGATCATGGTCCTACAGTCTGTAAGATTTGAGCTTGGGATTTCACCCACATGAGAGACTGGCTGAGACCTCTGAGACGCAGGAGTAGACATGGCTGTGGTGTGGCTTCCTGTTCACAATGGCCCTAAATCCCTCTCCAAACACAGGCCCCTGTGACCATGTTTGCCTCACATGACCCACCTTTAGGGTCAGTGGTCGTGGAGCTGGAGGAGGACTCTGGTGCCAAAGTGGCCATTGTGGCCCCTCCCCTGGGCATTCCTGTGCCTAGTTCTCGCTGCTCATTGCTCCCAGCTCCCAGGCTGGGCTCCATACCCTCGCTGCCTTTTCTGTTTTCCTCCCAGCTCCCAGGACTCTGCCTATGGGCTTCAGAGGAATGCTCTGTCCGGGCACCGATTGTGGTCAGTGCTCAGTGGGCTACGTGCAGGGAGATCTGTCCTCAAGAACGGGGCCCAGACATCCCTTCGCCCTGTGTGCAAAACACAGACTCATCATCCAGGCCTGCTCAAACCTTCTCCCAGGCTCAACAGCTTCTCTGTCTTCCTTCCTCTGTTTGTCTCTCTCTCCCTCTACCCCGTCTCTCCTCTTCCCTGTCTCTTCATCTCTGTCCCTCTCTCATCTGTCTTCCTCCGTCTCTCTGTCTCTCTCTGTCAATGTCTCTCTTCCTCCCTTGTCTGTATCTCTGTCTCTTTTTTCCTCTCTCTGTCTCTCCTCCCTCCCTCCCTGTCTGTCCCTGTCTCTCTTTCTTCCCCTCTCTCTCCCGCTCTCCTTTTCCTCCTTCTTCCATGTGACTCCTGACACTTTATCCCCACCCTGCCACAGCATGCCTGGCCGCCCCGGAGTATGTCTATTTCTGGACACGAGATCCTTGTGGTCAGGGACTTTGTCTTATCCATTCTGTATCCTCTGAAGCCAGAGAGCCCGAGGCATCATAGGTGCTCAGCGATGATTTGCTAAGTTAATGAGCTGAGGAGGCTTTGCAGTGCCTACAGGGGCACTCTTCCATTTTGTTATCCCAAAGGTACCTGTGTGTGTGATAAACACCTGTGTGCCTGGCCTTGTCACGCCCCTGTCCCGTGCTCAGCCTTGGCACACCTCTGTCCCATGCTTGGCCTTGGCACGCCCCTGTCCCATACTCAGCCTTGGCACGTCCCTGTCCCGTGTTCGGCCTTGGCACGCCCCTGTCCCGTGCTCGGCCTTGGCACGCCCCTATCCCATACTCAGCCTTGGCACACCCCTGTCCTGTGCCTGGCGTTGGCTGCCATGCCTGGCCCCTGCATGCCCCTGCCCTGTACCTGGCCTCAGCACGCTTCCCATGAGCAGGATTGTTAGGGAGCACCCAAGGGGAGTTTCCAGAAGCATTGGTGAGTTGCTCCTCCAAAGTCATTTTCCTTTACCCTGATGGAAAACCAGGGAAGTGTACTTTATTATTTCTGGCACCAAGCCACAGATGAGGCCCCACTGTGATCTGGTTATTCTCAAATCTATGTGGGCACAAGAGCATTTTAAATTATGCCAATGAACCTGCTTTGGAGGTCTGGCTGGTCTAGGGCTGTGCAAACGTAAAGTGGCAGGCACTGGCTCTGTGGATTCAGGGCACTAGGGCCCGTGGTGGCCTGTCTCTACCTGGGATAAAGGGGTTAAACTGAAACCTTGAAGGAGCGGACCATGGCTTGGCTTCAGCAGTCCGCTTCTCTCTGAGGATCAGTGGATGACGGTGTGGGAGTCGCACCAGCTGGAAAGGGGCAGGTCCCAGGGGAGCCGCCTCGGGGTGGGGAGGCCAGACAGCAGCTGCGCTCACTTCCAGGGCAAGATTGCTCAGAATTCTGGAAGCTCTTCTAGCCCAGCCACTTGCTACGGATTTTCCAGTTAAAGACACTGAAATCCAGGCAGTTCCAATGAGGTCAGGCTGAACGGGCCCCGCAGCAGAGCAGAGCAGCAGAGGCCGCGGCCGGGCCAGGGGCAGCTGGGCACCAGGCCCATCCCTGCCCGGGCTGAGAGCTCCTGGGCTCTGTTCTCCCAGGGAGACCTCAGAGCCCTGCAAGGGAGCATCTCAGACTTCCTGTGGAGAAGGCATGTGAGAGATGCTAAGTAACCGATAAAGAAAATGAAAAACGGAGCTGAAATTTACCCCAGGGTGGTGACGTGCTGGTGAGTGAATGACTGGCTGTTGTACCGGAATCCAACTCCAAACCAAAGGCCCCTCGGGAGAAACCAGGAGACGGCCCCTGTGAGCCCTGGCTGCTCCCCAGCAGCTCACGCGTCAAAAAATGAATGAAAAGACCAAAGGAACGGTCATCTGATCCCACATCCTAAGTGAAAAATACAGTCCTGCTTCCAAATATTCCCCGCACATTTGTAAGTTCTGTTTCACGATCTGACAGCATTAAGAAAGGTGAACAAAGACGAGATTGTATCTTTTCTTCTAAATCATTAATAACAAAAGATCCAGGCCTTTAAACAAGATCTCCAAGAAAAACCATCTTTCTTACTCTACAAATGTCATGACACCCATTCTAATCCAACGCCAGGAAAACTTTGACTGGGGTTTCTAGGCCTGTTTTCTTGCAGCAGTCAGAGCAAGAGCCTCTTATGTTTTCCTACTGATTAACTCTGATGAGCCCTGAACAATTACTCCTGTGGTTGCCGATGCTGCAAACACACCGTGCTTCCCGTCGGGGTGAGAGAAGGAGGCATCACGCGTCATGCCCGAGGCTGCCCCGTTCCTCCAGTGAGCCTCCCTCCTGTGCAAGTCGTGCTGGCTGCAACCACCCTAGGGTGAACTGAGGCAAAGCCACTCAAATCGTCTCTGAGGGCCTCGTGTCCTCACAGAACCCTGGTTGAGAGAGGATGCAACAGACAGTTCAGACCTGGCTTCAGGCGGGGTTCCGTTTGGAGAGTGCTCCACGCAGGCATCGCTGATTAGGAGCCAGTCCCACGGCTGGGCCTGCCTTGGCTCTGACCGCTGGGTGTCTTAGTAGCCTCAAATATTAAAAAAAAAAAGAAAAAGAAAAAAGTGGGGGAGCTAAGAAGAGTTAAATCCTTAGATTTAAAAACATCCTCACATTGTTATGACTTAAGAAATATAATTTTCTCTTTCACAAATCTTTCTTAGTCAAATAAAGACATGCCCCTTCTCTGCAGAACCAAACGGTCCTTTGTTCACGACTCAGAAATGCTTCACCTCCCTTGGGGACGCTCCCGAGGCTGCCCGGGAAGTCGTGTTGGCCCCACCGCTTCTGCAAGGATGAGAGCACACGTGGTCAGCAGCACAATTCCAGCAGGAAGATGTCAAAGCATTCAACAAAATCTCAGATGTGAGCACCGGGGATTACCAGGACTTTCAGATTCACATTCGTTTTCATAATGTGCTTCATTTTCTGAGAATTCTGTGGCATTTTGGCCTCTGCCATGAGGAATACATTCCCGTTCTGACAATTCAGAATTGGCTCTTTGTAGTGTTTGTCCTTGGGGAAGAATGAATTGTTGGAGAAGGTGTTTGAATGACCTTGTGCTTCGGGGCTCATCGAGAACCATCCGCACAATCCGTCTGGGCATCAGCCTCTTTCTTCTGGGCTGCTAGGCTGTCATTCTCCAGCAGTGCAGGGTCGTGGGGGGAGGACGCACTTTGGAGTCAGGAATCTAGGTTTGAATCATGTTTCTGCCACTTAGAACTATGTGGCCTTCAGTGAATTTCTCAGCTGTTTTGGACCTCAGTTTCCCTATTTGTACAATTGCATTTTATGATCGCAGCCTGAACAGACCAAGAAAACTACCTTCGAAATGTGTTCAGAATTTAGCTTGTTCCCACCCCACTCTGAGCCACTGTCATGTCTCATTTGGAATTTTGTCTTAGTCTCCTACCTGGCCTCCCTCTTCTCCCTGCTACCTGGCCTCCCCTCCTCCCTGGCCTCCCTGGCC